>NC_000024.10:11037032-11337032 GCF_000001405.40 Homo sapiens | reverse complement strand
CTGCCATGAAGTCAATTGAAGAAGGTGCTGGCTGATAGGGACTGATTCCCAGGTTGAGCATAGTTTTTACACTTGCCATTCTTTGCACATACTGTACTGGTTAATGAGCTGAGCCTGTTTCTGTTCATTGCTTTTCTTCCCATGGAGTTAACACTATATACAATGGCTCAGTGCCCACAATTCTACCATTCATTTCTGAAAGTGCTTTAGTTTCTTCCTCTGGAGAGGAGAAACATACACAAATCAAACCCTTTGTTGTGAAAACCATCCTTCATAACTTTTGCATTGGTGATTGTACCAAGTGGACAAAGTTTTTCCAGAGACATTCATCAATACCATCAAGATTTTTTGCATAAATGTTAACACTTTGTTATCTGGTGATCCTATATTACTTGATCTTTTCAAATTTGCACACAAGTTCCATGTGCCATTCTACTTCTTTCTGAGCTTGACTAACATCATTTTGTTTTCCATTGAGCTTCTTTCTGTTCATCTCATCTGCGCATCTTTATGCCTTTCAAAGCTGACAAATCCAAAACCTTTGGGTTTTGCACTTTCATTAACCACTACTATCACACTTAAGACACATCCCAACTTGCCAAAGAGATCTTTAAGGCACCTACCATCCATGTCTTCTCCAAAAATCTTCCTGTAAACATTGGTGAGCTTTTTAACTCTGAGTTTTGCTTCTCATTGTTTACAAGACTTAATCCAACAAAGAATTTGCTATCATTTAGAAGCATCCATTTCATTTTTGAATAGATCTTTCAGCTGCTTCTGTGTCTCAAAATGTACAATGCCATCACCCCTGAAACCGTTTTCACCACAAAGCACCTAATGTGAAAGTGATAGAGACAGGATGCAGCCAAGGGTCCCCTGGTAAAACCCCACCTTCAAGACTAAAACAGCCTGAACGTTGATAAACTGGACTGCAGGTCCTGGTTGAAGCCTCCCTTTCCTCACTGATTCTGAATAATGCCCACCTGTGCACTGGGATTACAGGGTGGAGCCTCGGGAAGTTTGTGCAGTGTGCAGTGGAGAGGAGTCTGGCGTGTTCCCATGTAGTGACCTAGGATTTAATCTATGAGGCGGGAAACCCGCTAGCAGGACTCTTTCTCTCTTTGCAGAGAGTTATTTTTCTTTTTTCCTTTCCACCCAATAAACTCCATTCCCCCTCACCCTTCAAGTGTTTGCATGCCTTTTCATGGTGGTATGACAAGAACCTGGTTTTTTCTACAACAAAAAGATATTACCAAAAGCAGATGTATCATGCAATGCTTTATAAACAATAGATTTGTCCAATTTTTTTTATGAACATGTTGCCCACTCCAATTTTGCGGAGTGATGGATCACACCGAGACCACTTAGTGTGTATTGGCTAGTCTTTTACAACATCAAAATTCATGGGGTCTTAAGCACATTCCACATCCTGCGTTTCCCAAGGAGCGCCGGTGATCTGGTTCCTGTAGCCCGGGATAGAAAGGACCGGCCAGCAGGCCTGGTCACGTGCGGTGCGAGGACAGGGGATGGCTGGGAAGCTGGGCTCACCTCTGCACCTGTCTGTCGGTAGGGCCACAGGCTGCGACATTTCAATGAAAGGAGAGTAAGGGCTGAGGCAGAAGCCTGGGCCAGCGCAGAGAGACAAAATCACCTGGGATCCAAAACTACTCCACGTCGGAGGAACTGAGGCCCGCAGCGGGCTGGGACGAGGGTGGCGTTGTAAGGTCCAGCGTCCAGGCCTCGGGATCCTGTTCCTTCTTGAAGCTGCTTCGGAGCAGCGAGGTGGTGGGTGGGTCACTCTTGGCTGCCTCACCGGGTAATCTTATACAAGAAGAAAAGGAAAATGTCTCTGGCAGTGAAGACAAGGATTTTTTGGTAAAGTGTTTTGCAGGGGTGACGGTTGTTAAAACAGAAACCTTTTTTTTTCTTTTAAGTTTTTTTCATGGGATTTTTTTCGGGGGAATGGATTTTTCAAGATAATAACGATGTGCTGATCCTGGAGAACACACTCCACACTCTCAGCACTAACCGCTTGGGAGAAGGGACCCATTAATGTTTAATTGTACCTTCTCTTGTGGCCCCGTTTTTTCCCTTTTAATTATGAAACATTGGAGCCTACAGAAAGGTAGAAAAAATGGACACCCACATAACCACCACCTAAATCCAATTAATTGTTAATATTTTGTCAAGTTTTCTTTATGTAATATTTCAATTTGAAATAAAAGTAAATTATAGGCATCATGCTAATTTGCCTGTGTATACTTAAGCCTGCATATTCAAAAACTAAGGCCATTTTCTTTCATGACCAAAATTCCCTTATCCTTTCACACCAAGTTATCAGTAATTCCTTAAAATTATTCAACTCCCAAATATTTTCAAATATAAACAGTCAAGCCCAATGTAACACATTTCAGTCAACTAGTCCACCATCTACACTGCGGTGGTCTCATAAGATTAAACTGGAACATAAATAGAAACTTGATAAACAGTATATGGCCCTTGATATTGGCATTGCAGCTCAACTAGAGGAAATGACTGATGCTCATTAGTGGTTCTGGAACATTTGATTTACCTTATAAAAAATAAATAAGTGAAAATATTGTGATATATCACTGCACTGATCACCCAAATGATGCAAATCTTCTCTAGGCTCCGCAGGGAGGGGGCATTGTGACATATTTCTGAACCGATCATCCAGGAGATATAAGTATTCTCCAGGATTTGACAAAAGAGCTTCGGAAGGTGTTGGGAGAGACTCAGCCGGAATTTCACGGACGGACAAGGGCACAGAGAGGACAGCGGTCTCCGTTGCACGTCAGCCTGGGTGCGCAATGAGCGCAGGTCTAGCCAGGAGGCCGGCAAAGAGAGCTAGAGGTGTGCGTTCCACCACCAGGCACTCCATGGGGGCAGCTGGGAGGCTGCAGGGGCACAGGCGGGCCGGGTACGGTGGCGCGGAGGCGCAGAGGAGGCGAGCGGCCAGAGGGGTGTCAGGCCTGGACGCTGTGCGGGCACGGTGTTTCATGGGACGGGGGTCTCCACCCAGCCCAGGGGAGGACGCATTTTCCGGGGGTGGTGGGTGGTGGTGGGGGTGGGTGGTCAGGCGGGGGTGGGGTGGTGGAAAGGCATGAGAGCTCTGCCCCGGCTGCTCCCAAAGCCCAGGCGGCTGCCCGCAAACCCGCGGGTGCGCAGTAGGCGGCCCACCTGCTGGTACCTGGGCCGGCTCTGGGATCCCCAGGATGCCCAGGAAAGAATGGCAGTTCTCCGCTGTGTGGAGCCTCTCACCAGGCCTAGACCTAGAAGGCAGGAATCCCAGGCAGGTCAGCCCGGTGGAGGGGGCGGGGAGAAGACACGCACCTCCATAGCCAGCCAGGTGTTCCCTGCGAAAGAGAGGCCACCGCCCTGCCCCGATCCGACCCTGTCCCAACCCCGCATCCTAAAGCTCCTCCAGCAGAGTCCGGTATTCTTCCTCGCTGAAGGGTGCTTCCAGCAAGGCGGCCTCTTCGAAGGCCTCCAGCTCCCCCGGGGCCTCCGTTTCTAGGAAAGGTTGCGCCTGCTGCAGAAACTCCGGGCTCGCCAGGAGCTCATCCAGCAGCAGGCCGGAGGGGAGTGCAGACGAGCGCCCCGGCTCCTGAAGCGCCTTGGAGGGCGCCGGGATGCCTTGCATCCGCCCCTGCCGCGCAGAGGCCTCCAGGGGCATGGGCTGGCGAGGTGGAGCTACCCTGGCTTGGGGTTCCCAGGCCGCCCCTGGGCCCTGGGAACCCCTGCCCCAGCCCCAACACGGACTCCCCTGGGACGCGGGTGGCGCAAGCACACCTTGGCCCTGTGGCCCCGCTTGAGCGGGCCCAGGCTGTCCCACCGCGCAAGCAACCGGCAGGCTGTCACGCTGCGGGTCCGGGTCCTCCCGGCTTTTGCCCGGGTGCGGAGGCCACGGAGGAGCCTGAGGGTGGGAGAGCGCCCCTTCTGGAGGAGCCGGGGCGGTGTAGGCAAAATCCTGGCGTGACGGGACAGGTTGGGAGATCCCCTCTCCTGGCGCGGCCTGGCTGGGCTGGAGCACGGGGACGGCCCTCGCTCCCTGGCTCACAAAAGCTCCCTGTGGGAGAGCCCCAGTCGTGCAGGGCACGTGGGGTGTGGGAAGCCCCGTTCCCAACGCGCCGGTGTGGGCGAAGGCGACCCACGAGGGAGCAGGGTGACACCCGCCTGGGGCCGCTTTGCACAGGCCGCCTGACTGCGCGGGCGCCCTGTCAGCCTGTCCCGGCTGCCTGGCCCTTCAATTCTGAAATCAGATCTGAATCCTGGACTCTGGGAGGCCCGTCTCTCTGGCCACCTCTTCCCTGGCGGCGATGCCTGGAAAGCGATCCTTCTCAAAGGCTCGGAGGAGTAGGGCGGTCTGGGATCCGGTGACCGCGGTCCGCTTTCGCCTGCCTTCTTGCGGGCCGCGTCTTCCGGGCCAGGGCCGAGATTCCCGCCGGTGCTGCCTCAGCTGGCGTGACCTCGCATTCTGAAACCAAATCTGGACTCTGGGCTCCGGAATGTCGATGGCCTGGGCCAGCCGTTCTCTGGTGGCGATGCCCGGGTACGGGTTCCGCTCAAAGCAGGCTCGCAGGGCCTGGCTTTGGCTCGGGGTCCAAACGAGTGTCCTCCACCGTCCCCGTCCCCAGGCTTCCGTGGGGAGGGTGCTGTCCGAAGTTGTCGGGAAGGCCATCGCGGGGAGCCCCAGCCGGAATTTCATGGACGGACGCGTGCAGAGAGGGGCCGGCGGGCTCCCGTGCACCTCAGCCGGCCTGTGCACTGCGGCAGGTGCACCCAGGAGGCCTGCCCAGACAGCCAGCCAGCAGCTCCTATAAAGGCCCACAGGCAGACAGGCTCCACCCCTTCATGAATGGCGGTGAGCCCTGGGACAGCCAGCCCCACCCCGGAAGGGTCCCAGGGCGTCGAGGCCTGTGGCCGGGGGGTTGTGGGGTGGGGAGGGAGGGCGTGGTGATGCTGGTGGTGGGGCCGGAGAGACGAAGAGGAAGGGGGCGAGGGGGAAGGGGTGATGGGGGCTGGCTCTCCGGACATCTCCAGGAATCCAGCAGGAACTGGAAGCCGCTCTCTGATCTCCCAGGCGTCTTCAGCAGGGCGAAACTGGCCTGGGTGGGTGGAGGGGAGTGTGGAACTGAACCTCCATGGGATTCTTGAGTGTTCCCGGCCCTCTCTCCATGAAGAAGGCAGTGCCTGTGGGTGTCGCCGTTGCCGGGACTGTCTGAAACACGCAGGCGTGTGGCTCTCGTTCATTTCTAAGTAGGAGACCAGACCGAGACCCCAGAGAGAAGATGCCTCTCCGGCGTGATGGCCTGACGATGGATTCCCTTATGCGGCAACTTGGGGAGTCTGCAGTGTGGCCGGTTTGGAAACTGGCAAGGAGAGCGAAGGCACCATGCCAGTGTTCCACCCTTAGCTGCATGTTTCCGAGTGCCCGCAGAGCTGCCGGAGCAAACAGTCAGCATGACACATCTCTGAACTGATCAACAAAGTGATAGCCGGGCGCGGTGGCTCACGCCTGTAATCCCAGCACTTTGGGAGGCCGAGGCGGGCGGATCACGAGGTCAGGAGATCGAGACCATCCCGGCTACAATGGTGAAACCCCGTCTCTACTAAAAAAAATACAAAAAAATTAGCCGGGCGTAGTGGCGGGCACCTGTAGTCCCAGCTACTTGGGAGGCTGAGGCAGGAGAATGGCGTGAACCCGGGAGGCGGAGCTTGCAGTGAGCCGAGATTGCGCCACTGCACTCCCACCTGGGCCACTGAGCGAGACTCCGTCTCAAAAAAAAAAAAAAAAAAAAAAAAAAGTGATGTAACTCTTGTCTAGGCTCTGCCTACAGGGGCTTTGTGACATATCTCTGCACTGATCACCCAGGTGATGGGACTTTGTCTAGGCTCTGCCTATGGGGACATTGTGACATATCTCTACACTGATCACCCAGGTAATGTAACTCTTGTGTTGGATCTGCCTATGGGGGCATTGTGACATATCTCTACACTGATCACCCAGGTAATGTAACTCTTGTGTTGGATCTGCCTATGGGGGCATTGTGACATATTTCTGCACTGATCACCTAGGTGATGGGACACTTGTCTAGGCTCTGTGTATGGGGGCTTTGTGACATATCTCCGCACTGATCACACAGGTGATGTAACGCTTGACTAGGCTCTGTCTACGGGGCATAATGACATATCACTGCATTGATCACCGAGGTGATGTAACTCTTGTCCAGGATCTGCCTATAGGGGGCCTTGTGACATATCTCTGCACTAATCAACTAGGTGATGTAAATCTTGCTTATGCTCTGCCTGCAGGGGCATTGTGAAATATCTCTGCACCGATCACCCACGTGATGGGACTCTTCTCTAGGCTCTGCCTACTGGAGGCATTGTCACATATTTCTGCACTGATCACCCAGGTGATGCAACTGTTCTCTATGCTCTACCTACAGGGGCATTGTGACATATCTCTGCACTGATCACCCAGGTGATGTAACTATTTTCTACTCTGTGGCTACAGAGGGCGTTGTGATATCACTCTGCACGGATCACCCCAGTCATATAACTCTTCTCTAGGCTCTGCCAATGGGGGCAGTGTGACTTATCTCTGCACTGATCACCCAGGAGATGTGACTCTTGGCTAAGCTCTGCCTAGAGGGACATTGGGATATATCTCTGCACTTTTCGCTGAGGTGATGTAAAACTTGTCTAGGCTTTGCCTACAGTGGGATTTATGACATATCTCTGCACTGATCACCCAGGTGATGTAACTCTTGTCTAGGCTCTGCTTACAGTGGGTATTGTGAGATATCTCTGCACTGATCACCCAGGCGGTGTAACTCTGATCTAAGCTCTGCCTAAAGGGGCATTTTGACAGTTCTCCGCACTGATCACTCAGGTGATGTAACAATTGTCTAGGTTCTGCTTAAAGGGGCCTTGTCACATATCTCTGCACTGATCACCCAGGTGATGTAACTCTTGTCTAGGCTCTGCTTACAGGGGGTATTGTGACATATATCTGCACTGATCACCTAAGTGATGTAACACTTGTGTAGGCTCTGCCTACAGGGGCATTTTGACATATCTCTGCACTGTTAAACGAGGTGATGTAACTCTTGTCTAGGCTGTGCCCACAGGGGGATTGAGACATATCTCTGCACTGATCCCGAGATGATCCAACTCTTACCTGGTCTCTGCCTACTGGGGACTTTGTGACATATCTCTGCACTTATCTCCCAGGTGCTGTAACTTTAGTCTAGGCTCTGGCTATACGGCATTGTGACATATCACTGCACTGATCACCCAGGTGTTATAACTCTTGTCTAGGCTCTGCCTACAGGGGCTTGTGACATAACTCTGCACTGACCACCCAGGTGATATAACTCTTCTCTAGGATCTCCCTATAGGGTGCTTTGTGACATATCAATGCAATGGTCACCCAGGTGATATACCACTTGTCAAGGCTCTGCCTACAGGGGCATTGCGATGTATCTCTGCACTGATCACCTAGGTCATGTAACTCTTGTCTAGGCTCAGCCTACAGGGGCATTGTGGCATAACTCTGCACTGATCAACCAGGTGATGTAACTCTTGTCTAGTATCTGCCTAAGGGGACTTTGTGATATAAATCTGCACTGATCATCCAGCTGATGGGGCTGTTGTATAGGCTCTGCCTAAGGGGGCATTGTGACATATTTCTGCACTGATCACCCAGGTGACAGACTCTTGTCTTCGATCTGCCTATGGGGGCATTGTGACATATCTCTGCACTGATCGCCCAGGTGATGTAACTGTTGTATAAGCTCTGCCTACAGGGGAATTGTGAGAGGTCTCGCCACTGATCACCAAAGTGATGTAACTATTGTCTAGGCTTTGCCTACAGGGGGCTTTGTAACATTCCTTTGCACTTGTCACCCAGGTGATGTAACTCATCTAAGTTCTGCCTACAGGAGCTTTTTGATATATCTCTGCACTGATCACTTAGGTGATGTAACAGTTTTCTAAGCACTGCCGACAGGGAACTTTGACAAATCTCTGCACTGATCACATAGGTGATGTAAGTCTTTTCTACCCTCTGCCCAAAGGGGGCATTGTGAAATATCTCTGCACTGATCACTCAGGTGATTCAACTCTTGTCTTGGATCTGCCTACAGGGGTATTGGGAAATATCTCTGCACTGATCACCCAGGTGATGAAACTCTTCTCTATGCTCTGCCTACAGGGGGCATTATGACATATCTCTGCTCTGATCACCCAGGTGATGTAACTCTTTTCTAGGCTCTGCCTACAGAGGGCATTGTGACATTACTCTGCACGGATCACCCGGGTTATGTAACTCTTGTCTAGGCTCTGCCTATGCGGGCATTGTGACTTATCACTGCACTGATAACCCAGGAGATGTGACTATTGTATAAGCTCTGCCTAGAGGAACATTGGGACATATCTTTGCACTGACCGCTGATGTGATGTAAAACTTGTCTAGGCTTTGCCTACAGTGGGATTTATGACATATCTCTGCACTGATCACCCAGGTGATGTAACTCTTGTCTAGGCTCTGCTTACAGGGGGTATTGTGAAATATGTCTGCACTGATCACCCAGGTAATGTAACTCTTGTCTAGGCTCTGCCTACAGGGGCATTTTCACATATCACTGCACTGATCACCGAGATAATGTAACTCGTGTTTAGGCTTCGCTGACAGGGGGCATTGAGACATATCTCTGCACTGATCACCAAGGTGATGCAACTCTTGTCTGGGATCTGCTTTCACGGGGCATTGTGACATATCTCTGCCCTGATCACCCAGGTAATGTAACTCTTGTCTAGGTTCTGCCTACTGGAGACATTGTGACATATCTCCGCACTGATCACCCAGGTGATGTCACTTTTGTCAGGAATATGGCTACAACAGGGACATTGTGACAAGTCACTGCACTGATCACACAGCTGATGTAACTCTTGTCTAGGCTCTGGCTACATGGGGCTTGTGACAGATCTCTGCACTGATCACCCAGGTGATGTAACCCTTGTCTAGGCTCTGCCAAAAGGGGGCATTTTGACATAACTCTGCACTGAACACCCAGGTGATGTAACTCTTGTCTAGTATCTGCCTAAGGGGAATTTGTGATATAAATCTGCACTGATCATCCAGCTGATGGTGATGTTGTATAGGCTCTGCCTAAGGGGGCATTGCCGCATATTTCTGCACTGATCACTCAGGAGATGGACACTTGTCTTGGATCTGCCTATGGCGGCATAGTGACATATCTCTGCACTGATCACTCATGTGATGTAACGCTTGTCTAAGCTGCGCCTAAAGGGGAATTGTGACAGATATCTCCACTGATCACCCAGGTGATGTAACAATTTTCTGGGATTTGTCTACAGGGGGCTTTGTGACATATCTTTGCACTGATCACCCAGGAGATGTAACTCTTGTGTAGGCTCCAACTACAGGGGGTATTGTGAAGTATCTCCGCACTGATCACCCAGGTGATATAACTCTTGTCTAGTCTCCACCTACAGGGTGTATTGTGACGTATCTCTGCTCTGATCAGCCAGGTGATGTAACATTTATCTAGGCCCTGCCTACAGGGGCGTTTTAACTTAGCTCTGCACAGATCACCTAAGTTATGTAACTCTTGTCCACTCTCTGCCTACAGGGGGCATTGTGAAATATCTCTGCACTGATCACCCAGGTGATAGGACTCTTCTCTATACTCTGCCTAGAGGGGGATTTGTGACATATATCTGCACTGATTGCCCAGGTGATGGAATTCTTGTCTAGGCTCTGTCTATGGGGGCAGTGTGTCAAATATCTGCACTGATCACCCAGGTGATGTAACTCTTTTCTAGGCTCTGTCCACAGGTATTTTTGTGACTTATCACTGCACTGATCACCTAGGTGATGTAAGCCTTGTATGGGCTTTACCTACAGAAGGCTTTGTGACATACCTATGCACTGTTCTCTGAGGTGATGCAACTCTTGTCTAGGCACTGCCTACAGGGGCATTGGTACATATCTCTGCACTGAACACCCAGGTGATGGACTCTTGTCTTAGATCTGCCTACATGGACATTGTCACACATCTCTGAACTGATCAACCAAGTGATGAAACTCTTGTCTAGGCTCTGCCTACGGGGCTTTGTGACACATCTCTGCACTGTTCACCCTGGTGAGGGAACTCTTGTCTACGCTCTGCCTACAGGAGGCTTTATGACTTATACCTGCACTGATAACCTATGTTATGTTACACTTCTCTAGGCTCTGTCTACACGGGAATTCTCACATATCTCTGCACTGATCACCCAGGTTACGGACTCTTGTCTTGGATTTGCCTATGTGGGCATTGTGACATATCTCTGCACTGATCACCCAGGTGATGTAACTGTTGTATAAGCTCTGCCTACAGGGGAATTGTGAGAGATCTCGGCACTGATCACCCAAGTGATGTAACTATACTCTAGGCTTTGCCTTCAGGGGACTTTTTGACATACATTTGCACTGATCACCCAGGTGATGTAGCTCATCTAAGTTCTGCCTACAGGAGCTTTGTGACATATCTCTGCACTGATCACTTAGGTGATGTAACACTTTTATAAGCACTGCCTACAGGGAATTTTGACAAATCTCTGCACTGATCACCTAGGTGATGTAACTCTTGTTACCCTCTGCCATAACTGGGCATTGTGAAATATCTCTGCACTGATCACCTAGGTGATTCAAATCTTGTCTAGGATCTGCCTACAGGGGCGTTTTCACATATCCCTGAACTGATGAAAAAGGTCATGTAACTCTTGCCTAGGCTTTGCCTACAGGGGACATTGAGACCTATCTCTGCACTGATCACCCAGGTGATGCAACTCTTCTCTATGTTCTGCCTACAGGGGACATTGTGACATATCTCTGCAAGGATCACCCAGGTGATGCAGGTCTTCTCTATGTTCTGCCTACACGGGGCATTTTGACATATTTCTGCACTGATCACCCAGGTGATGTAACTCTTTTCTAGTCTCTGCCTACAGAGGGCGTTGTGAAATCACTCCGCAGGGATCACCCAGATTATGTAACTCTGGTCTATGCTCTGCCTATAGGGGCATTGTGACTTATCTCTACACTGATCACCCAGGAGATGTGACTCTTGTCTAAGCTCTGCCTAGAGGGACATTGGGAGCTATCACTGCACTGATCGCTGAGGTGATGTAAAACTTGTCTAGGCTTTGCTTACAGTGGGGTTTATGACATATCTCTGCACTGATCACCCAGGTGATGTAACTCTTTTCTAGGCTCTGCTTACAGGGTGTATTGTGAGATATCTCTGCACGGATCACCCAGGTGATGTAACACTTGTCTAGGCTCTGCCTACAGGGGCAATTTAACAAATCACTGCACTGATCACCGAGATGATGTAACTCTCTTATAGGCTTCACCAAGAGGGGGCATTGAGACATATCTCTGCATTGATCACCGAGGTGATGCAACTCTTGTCTGGGATCTGCTTACCGGGGGCATTGTGACATATCCCTGCCCTCATCACCCAGGTGATGTAACTTTTGTCTAGGCTCTGCCTACTGGAGACATTGTGACATATCTCCACAATGATCAACCTGGTGAAGTCACTTTTGTCAAGGATATGGCTACAGGGACATTGTGACATGTCACTGCACTGATCACACAGCTGATGTAACTCTTGTCTAGACTCTGGCTATAGGGGGCTTGTGAGACATCTCTGCACTGATCACCCAGGTGATGTAACCCTTGTCTAGCCTCTGCCAAAAGGGGGCATTGTGACATAACTCTGCACTGATCACCCAGGTGATGGGACTCTTGTCTAGGCTCTGCCTACAGGGGCATTGTGACATATCTCTGCAGTGATCACGCAGGTGATGTAACTCTTGTCTATATCTGCCTATTGGCGGCATTGTGGCATATTTCTGCACTGATCACTCAGGTGATGGACTCTTGTCTTGGATCTGACTATGGGGGCATAGTGACATATCTCTGCACTGATCACTCATGTGATGTAATGCTTGTCTAAGCTGCGGCAAAAGAGGAATTGTGACAGATATCTCCACTGATTACCCAGGTGATGTAACAATTTTCTGGGATTTGTCTACAGGGGCTTTGTGATATATCTTTGCACTGATCACCCTGGAGATATAACACTTGTCTAGGCTCGGCCTACAGGGACTTTGTGACAGATTTCTGCACTGATCACCCAGGTGATGTAACCCTTGTTTAGGCTCTGTCTACAGGGGCTTTGTGACATATCTCTGCACTGATCACCCAGGTGAGGTAACTCTTGTCTAGGCTCCACCTACAGGGGGTATTGTGACATATCTCTGCACTGATCACCCAGGTGATGTAACATTTATCTAGGCTCTGCCTACAGGGGCGTTTTGACACAGCTCTGCACAGATCACCTAGGTTATGTAACTCTTGTACACTCTCTGCCTACAAGGGGCATTGTGAAATATCTCTGCACTGATCACCCAGGTGATGGGACTCTTCTCTATACTCTGCCTAGACGGGGATTTGTGACATATCTCTGCACTGATCACCCAGGTGATGGAAGTCTTGTTTAGGCTCTGTCTATGGGGGCATTGTGTCAAATATCTGCATTGATCACCCAGGTGATGTAACTCTTGTCTAGGCTCTGTCTACAGAGATTTTTGTGATGTATCACTGCACTGATCACCTAGTTAATGTAAGCCTTTTATGGGCTTTGCCTACAGTAGGCTTTGTGACATATCTATGCACTGATTTCTGAGGTGATGCAACTCGTGTCTAGGCACTGCCTACAAGAAACATTGGCACATATCTCTGCACTGATCACTCAGGTGATGGACTCTTGACTTAGATCTGCCTACATGGACATTGTTACACATCTCTGAACTGATCAAGCAATTGATGAAACACTTGTCTAGGCTCTGCCTACAGGGGCTTTGTGACACATCTCTGCACTGATCACCCTGGGGAGGGAACTCTTTTCTACGTTCTGCCTACAGGTTGTGATATACATTTCCACTGATCAAACAGGTGATGTAACCCTTGTCAAGGTTCTGCTTACAGGGGCTTTGTGACATATCTCTGCACTGATCACCCCAAGGAGGAAACACTTGTCTACACTCTGCCTAGAGGAGGCTTTACGACTTAACCCTGCACTGGTCACTAGGTGATGTAACACTTGTCTAGGCTGTGTCTACACGGGAATTTTCAAATATCTCTACACTGAGCACCTAAGTGATGTAACCCTTGTCTATGTTTAGCCTACTGGGGATTTCTGACATACCTATGCACTGATCACCTAGGTGATGTAAATCATTTCCAGGCTTTTTGTACAGGGGACATTGTGATATATCTCTGCACTGGTAACCCAAATGATGCAAATCTTCTCTAGGCTCCGCAGGGAGCGGGCATTTTGATATATTCCTGAACCGATCATCCAGGAGATATAACTATTCTCCAGGCTCTGACTACAGAGCGTCGGAAGGTGTTGGGAGAGCCTCAGCTGGAATTTCACGGATGGACAAGGGCACAGAGAGTCCAGCAGGCTCCCTTGCACAATAGCCGTGGTGCGCAATGAGCGCAGGTCTAGCCAGGAGGCCGGCAAAGAGAGCTAGAGGTCTGCGTTCTGCCTCCAGGCACTCCATGGTGGGAGCTGGGAGGCTCCAGGGGCACGGGCGGGCCTGCGACGGTGGCGCGGAGGCGCAGAGGAAGCGAGCAGCTGGAGGGGTGTCAGGCCTGGACGCTGCACAGGCCCGGTGTTTCGCGGGACGGTGGTCTCCACCCAGCACATGGGAGGACGCATTTTCCGGGTGTGGCGGGTGCGGTTCGTGAGGGGGTGGTCAGGCTGGTGTGTGGTGGTGGAAAGGCATGAGAGCTCTGCCTAGGCTGCTCCCACAGCCCAGGCGGCTGCCCGCAAACCCGCACATGTGCAGTATGCGGCCCAGCTGCTGGTACCGGGGCCGGCTCTGGGATCCCCAGGATGCCCAGGAAAGAATGGCAGTTCTCCGCTGTTTGGAGTCTCTCACCGGGCCTAGACATAGAAGACAGGAATCCCAGGCCAGTCAGTCTGGTGGAGGGGGTGGGGGGAAGACACGCACCTCCATAGCCAGACAGGTGTTCCCCACGAAAGAGAGGCCACCGCATTGCCCCGACCCGACCCCGTCCCAACAATGCATCCTAAAGCTCCTCCAGCAGAACCTGGTATTCTTCCTTGCTGAGGGGTGCTTCCAGCGACGCGGCCTCTTCCAAGGCCTCCAGCTCCCCCGGGGCCTCCGTTTCTAGGAAAGGTTGCTCCTGCTGCAGAAACTCCGGGCTCGCCAGGAGCTCATCCTGCAGCAGGCCGGAGGGGAGTGCAGACGAGCGCCCCGGCTCCTGGAGCGCCTGGGAAGGCGCCCGGATGCCTTGCATCTGCCCCTGCCACTCGGAGGCCTCCGGGGGCGCGGGCTGGCGAGGTGGAGCTACCCCGGCGTGGGGTTCCCACGCCGCCCCGGTGACCTGGGGACCCCGGCACCAGCCCCACCGCGGACTCCCCTGGGACGCAGGTGATGCAAGCACACCTTGGCCTTGTGGCCCCGCTTGAGCGGGCCCAGGCTGTCCCACTGCACAAGGGCCCGGCAGGCCGTCGCTCTGCGGGTCCCAGTCCTCTCGGCTTTTGCCCGGGTGCGGAGGCCACCGAGGAGCCTGAGGCTGGGAAAGCGTTCCTTACGGAGGACCCGGGGAGGCACAGGAAAAACCCCTACAAGCCAGGGCAGGTTGGGAGATCCCCTATGCCGGTGCGGCCAAGCTGGACTGGAGCACGGGGACGTCCCTTGCTCCCTGGCTCACGAAAGCCCCCTGTTGGAGAGCCACAGGTGCTCAGGGCACTTTGGGTGTGGGAAGCCCTGTTCCAAACACGCTAGTGTGGGCGAAGGCGACCCACGAAGGAGCAGGGTGACACGCGCCGGGGGCTGCGTTGCACAGCCCGCCTGCCTGGGCGGGCGCCCTACCAGGCTGTCCCAGGTACCTCACCCTTTGATTCTGAAACCAGATCTGAATCCTGGACTCTGGGAGGCCCGTCTTTCTGGCCAGCTCTTACCTGGCGGCGATGCCTGGAAAGCGATCTTTCTCAAAGGCTCAGAGGAGCAGGGTGTTTCGGGGTCTTGTGACGGCGGTCCGCTTTCGCCTGCCTTCTTGCGGGCCCCGTCTTCCGGGCCAGGGCCAAGATTCCCGCCGATGTTGCCTCAGCTGGCGTGACCTCTCATTGTGAAACCAAATCGGGACCCTGGACTCTGGAATGCCGATGGCCTGGGCCAGCCGTTCACTGGTGGCCATGCCAGGATACGGGTTCCTCTCAAAGCAGCCTCGCAGGGCCTCCCTTTGGCTCGGGGTCCAAACGAGTCTCCTTTGCCGTCCCCGTCCCCGGGCTTCCGCGGGGAGGGTGCTGTCCGAAGTTGTCAGGAGGGCCATCGCAGGGAGCCCCAGCCGGAATTTCATGGACGGACATGGGCAGAGAGAGGTCTGCGGGCTCCCGTGCACCTCAGCCGGCGAGTGCGCTGCAGCAGGTGCAGCCAGGGGGACTGCCCGGACAGCCAGCCAGCGGCTCTTATAAAGGCCCGCAGGCAGGCAGGTTCCACCCCTTTATGAATGGCGGTGAGCCCAGTAACAGCCTGACACACCCCAGAAGGGTCTCAGGGCGTCGCGGCCTGCGGCCGGGGGCTGGTGGGGTGGGGGAGGAGGGCGTGGGTGGGTCCAGAGACACGAAGAGGAAGGGGGCGAGGGGGAAGTGCTGAAGGGGGCGCGTTTTGGGGGCTGGCTCTCCGGACCTCTCCAGGAATCCAGCAGGAACTGGAAGCCGCTCTCTGGGCTCCCATGAGTCTTCAGCAGGGAGAAACTGGCCTGGGTGGGTGGAGGGGAGTGTGGAACTGAACTTTCGTGGGAGTCCTGAGTGTTCCAGACCCTCTCTCCGTGAAGGAGGCAGTGCCTGTGGCTGTCGCCATTGCCGGGACAGTCTCACACAGGCAGGCTTGTGGCTCTGGTTTATTTCCACGTAGGAGACCAGAGGGAGACCCCAGAGAGAAGATGCCTCCCCGGAGTGATGGCCTGACGATGGATTCCCGTGTGCGGCAACATGGGGAGTCTGCAGTGTGACCGGTTTGGAAACTGGCAATGAGAGAGAAGGCACCATGCCGGTCTTCAACCCTTCCCTTCATGTTTCCGGGTGCCCGCAGAGCTCCGGGAGAAAACAGTCAGCATGACACATCTCTGAACTGATCAACAAAGTGATGTAACAGTTGTCTAGGCTCTGCTTACAGGGCTTTGTGACATATCTCTACACTGATCACCCAGCTGATGGGACTTTATTCTAGGCTCTGCCCATGGGGGCATTGTGACATATCTCTACACCTATCACCCAGGTGATGTAACTCTTGTGTTAGATCTGCCTATGGGGACATTGTGACATATTTCTGCACTGATCACCCAGGTGATGGGACCCTTGTCTAGGCTCTATTTATGGGGACTTTGTGACATATCTCTGCACTGATCACCCAGGTGATGTAACGCTTGACTAGGTTCTGCCTACGGGGCATAGTGACATATCACTGCATTGATCTCCGAGGTGATTTAACTGTTGTACATGCTCTGCCTATAGGGGGCCTTGTGACATTTCTCTGCACTGATCACCTAGGTGATGCAACTATTGCTTACGCTCTGCCTGCAGGGGCATTGTGAAATATCTCTTCACTGATCACCCAGGTGATGGGATTCTTCTATAGGCTCTGCTTATTGGGGGAATTGTCACATATTTCTGCACTGATCACCCATGTGACGGACTCTTGTCTTGGATTTGCCTGTGGGGGCATTGTGACATATCTCTGCACTGATCACCCAGGTGATGTAACTCTGGTCTAAGCTCTGCCTAAAGGGGCATTGCGTCAGATCTCTGCACTGATCACTCAGGTGATGTAACTATTGTCTAGGCTCTGCTTAAAGGGGCCTCGTCACATATCTCTGCACTGATCACCC
Source organism: Homo sapiens (assembly GCF_000001405.40). Classification (NCBI taxonomy): domain Eukaryota; kingdom Metazoa; phylum Chordata; class Mammalia; order Primates; family Hominidae; genus Homo; species Homo sapiens. Next base: position 11,320,000 of record NC_000024.10, on the reverse strand, counting down.
AGGTGATGTAACTCTTGTCTAGGCTCTGCTTACAGGGGGTATTGCGACATATCTCTGCACTGATCCCCCAGGTGATGCAACCCTTGTGTAGGTTCTGCCAAAAGGGGGCATTGTGACATACCTCTGCACTGATCACCCAGGTGATGGAACTCTTGTCTAGGCTCTGCCTACAGGGGCATTGTGACATATCTCTGCAGTGATCACGCAGGTGATGTAACTTTTGTCTATATCTGCCTACCGGCGGCATTGTGGCATATTTCTGCACTGATCACCCAGGTGACGGACTCTTGTATTGGATCTGCCTATGGGGGCATAGTGACATATCTCTGCACTGATAACTCATGTGATGTAACACTTGTCTAAGCTGCGCCTAAAGGGGAATTGTGACAGATATCTACACTGATCACCCAGGTGATGTAACAATTTTCTGGGATTTGTCTACAGGGGGCTTTGTGACATATGTTTGCACTGATCACCCAGGAGATGTAACCCTTGTCTAGGCTCGGCCTGTAGGGGCTTTGTGATATATTTCTGCATTGATCACCCAGGTGATGGAACATTTGTCTAGGCTCCACCTACAGGGGGCATTGTGACGTATCTCTGCACTGATCACCCAGGTGATGTAACATTTATCTAGGCTCTGCCTACAGGGGTGTTTAGACATAGCTCTGCACAGATCACCTAGGTTGTGTAACTCTTCTCCACTCTCTGCCTACAGGGCGCATTGTGAAATATCTCTGCACTGATCACCATGTGATGGGACTCTTCTCTATACTCTACCTAGAGGGGGACTTGTGACATATCTCTGCACTGATCACCCAGGTGATGGAAGTCTTGTCTAGCCTCTGTCTATGGGGGCATTGTGTCAAATATCTGCATTGATCACCCAGGTGATGTAACTCTTGTCCAGACTCTGCCTACTGGAGACATTGTGACATATCTCTGCACTGATCACCCAGGTGATGTCACTTTTGTCAAGGATATGGCTACAGGGACATTGTGACATGTCACTGCACTGATCACACAGCTGATGTAACTCTTGTCTAAGATCTGGCTACAGGAGGCTTGTGACATATCTCTGCACTGATCACCCAGGTGATGTAACCCTTGTCTAGGCTCTGCCAAAAGGCGGCATTGTGACATAACTCTGCACTGATCACCCAGGTGATGGGACTCTTGTCTAGGCTCTGCCTACAGGGGCATTGTGACATATCTCTGCAGTGATCACGCAGGTGATGTAACTCTTGTCTATATCTGCCTACTGGCGGCATTGTGGCATATTTCTACACTGATCACCCAGGTGATGGACTCTTGTCTTGGATCTGCCTATGGGGGCATAGTGACATATCTCTGCACTGATCACTCATGTGATGTAACACTTGTCTAAGTTGCGCCTAAAGGGGAATTGTGACAGATACCTCCAGTGATCACCCAGGTGATGTAACATTTTTCTGGGATTTGTCTACAGGGGACTTTGTGACATATATTTGCACTGATCACCCAGGAGATGTAACTCTTGTGTAGGCTCCAACTACAGGGGGTATTGTAACATATTTCTGCACTGATCACCCAGGTGATGTAAGTCTTGTTTAGGCTCTGCCTACAGGGGCTTTGTGACATACCTCTGCACTGATCACCCAGGTGATGTAACTCTTGTCTAGGCTCTACGTACAGGGGGTATTGTGACGTATCTCAACACTGGTCACCCAGGTGATGTAACATTTATCTAGGCTCTGCCTACAGGGGCGTTTTGACATAGGTCTGCACAGATCACCTAGGTTATGTAACTCTTATCCTCTCTCTGCCTACAGGGGGCATTGTGAAATATCTCTGCACTGATCACCCAGGTGATGGGACTCTTCTCTATACTCTGCCTAGAGGGGGTTTGTGACATATCTCTGCACTGATCACCCAGGTGATGGAAGTCTTGTCTAGGCTCTGTCTATGGGGGCATTGTGTCTAATATCTGCACTGATCACCCAGGTGATGTAAGTCTTGTCTAGGCTCTGTCTACAGGGATTTTTGTGACATATCACTGCACTGATCACCTAGGTGATGCAAGCCTTGTACGGGCTTTGCCTACAGAAGGCTTTGTGAGATATCTATGCACTCATCTCTGAAGTGATGCAACTCTTGTCTAGCCACTGCCTACAGAGGACATTGGTATATCTCTCTGCACTGATCACCCAGGTGATGGACTCTTGTCTTAGATCTGCCTACATGGACATTGTGACACATCTCTGAACTGATCAACCAAGTGATGAAACTGTTGTCTAGGCTCTGCCTACAGGGGCTTTGTGATACATCTCTGCACTGATCACCCTGGGGAGGGAACTCTTGTCTACTCTCTGCCTACAGGAGACTGTATGACTTATACCTGCTCGGATAACCTAGGTGATGTAACACTTTTCTAGACTCTGCCTACACGGATATTCTCACATATCTCTGCACTGATTACCCTGGTGATGTTACTCCTGTCTAGGTTCAGTCTACAGGAGAGTTTTGACATATCTCTGCACTGATCACCCTGGTGATGTAACCCTTGTCTAAGCTCTGCCTACAGGGGCATTGTGACAGATCTCTCCACTGCTCACCCAGGTGATGTAACAATTGTCTGTGCTTTGCCTACAGGAGAATTTGTGATATACATTTCCACTGATCAAACAGGTGATGTAACCGTTGTCAAGGTTCTGCTTACAGGGGCTTTGTGACATATCTCTTCACTGGTCACCCCAGGGAGGAATCAGTTGTCTACACTCTACCTACAGGATGCTTTACAACTTATTCCTGCACTGATCACTAGGTGATGTAACACTTCTCTAGGCTGTGTCTAGACGGGAATTTTCACATATCTCTATGCTGATCACCTAAGTGATGTAACCCTTGTCTAGGTTCAGGCTACTGGGGATATCTGACATACCTATGCACTGATCACCGAGGTGATGTAAATCATTTCCAGGCTTTTTGTACATGGGACATTGTGATATATCTCTGCGCTGATCACCCAAATGATGCAAATCTTCTCTAGGCTCCGGAGGGAGGGGGCATTGGGACATATTTCTGAACCGATCATCCAGGAGATGTAACCATTCTCCAGACTTTGACTAAAGAGCGTCGGAATGTGTTGGGAGAACCTCAGCCAGAATTTCACAGATGGACAAGGGCACAGAGAGGCGAGCGGGCTCCTTGCACATCAGCCAGGGTGTGCAATGAGCGCAGGTCTAGCCAGGAGGCCGGCAAAGAGAGCTAGAGGTCTGCGTTCCGCCGCCAGGCTATCCATTGTGGCAGCTAGGAGGCTGCAGAGGCACACGCGGGCTGGCAACGGTGGCGTGGAGGCGCACACAAGGCGAGCCTCCGGAGGGCTGTCAGGACTGGATGCTGCAGGGGCCCAGTGTTTCGCTGGACGGGTTTCTCCAACCAGCCCAGGGGAGGAAGCATTTTCCGTGGGTGGGGGGTGGGGGTGGGGTGGGTCTGGTCAGGCGGGGGTGGGGTGGTGGAAAGGCATGAGGGCTCTGCCCGGGCTGCTCCCACAGCCCAGGCAGCTGCCCACAAACCTGCGCGTGCGCAGTGGGTGGCCCACCTGTTTGTACCTGGGCCGGATCTGGTATCCCCAGGATGCCCAGGAAAGAATGGCAGTTCTCTGCTGTATGGATTCTCTTACCGGGCCTAGACCAAGAAGGCAGGAATCCCAGGCCGGTCAGCCCAGTGGAGGGGGCGGGTGGAAGACACGCCCCTCCATAGCCAGCAAGGTGTTCCCCACGAAAGAGAGGCCACCGCCCTGCCCCGACCTGACACCGTCCCAACCCCGCGACCTAAATTCCTCCATCAGAGCCCAGTATTCTTCCTTGCTGAGGGGTGCTTCCAGCAAGGTGGCCTCTTCCAAGGCCTCCAGCTCCCCCGGGGCCTCCATTTCTAGGAAAGGTTGCGCCTGCTGCAGAAACTCCGCGCTCGCCCGGAGCTCATCCAGTATCAGGCCGGAGGGGAGTGCAGATGAGCGCCCCGGCTCCTGGAGCACCTGGAAGGGCGCCGGGATGCCCTGCATTTGCCCCTTCCGCGCGGAGGCCTCCGGGGACGTGGGCTGGTGAGGTGGAACTGCCCCAACTTGGAGTTCCCAAGCTGACCCGGCGACGTGGGGACCCCGGCTCCAGCCCCACCACGGACTCCCCTGGGATGTGGGTGGGGAAAGCACAACTTGGCCCTGTGGCCCCGCATGAGCAGGCCCAGGCTGTCCCACCGCGAAAGGGCCCATCAGGCCGTCGCGCTGCGGGTCCCTGTCCTCCTGGCTTATGCCTGGTTGTGGAGGCCACCGAGGAGACTGAGGGTGGGAGAGCACCCCTTCCGATTGAGCCCGGGTGGCGTAAGCAATATCCCCGCGTGCTGGGGCGGGTTGGGAGATCCCCTCTGCTGGCGTGTCCCGGCTGGGCTGCAGTACAGGGGCGGCCCTCGCTCCCTGGCTCATGAAAGCCCCCTGTGGGAGAGCACCAGGTGCGCAGGGCACGTGGGGTTCTGGAAGCCCTATTCCCCACGTGCTAGTGTGGGCGAAGGCGACCCACGAGGGAGCAGGGTGACACCCCCTGGGGGCCGCGTTGTACAGGCCGCCTGCCTGCGTGTTCCATCTGCCACCCTGTCCCGGGTGCCTGGCCCTTTGATTCTGAAACTAGATCTGAATCTTGGACTCCGGGAGGCCCGTCTCTCTGGCCAGCTCTTCCCTAGCGGCGATGCCTGGAAAGCGATACTTCTCAAAGGCTCAGAGGAGCACGGTGGTCTGGGATCCGGTGACGGCGGTCCGCTTTCGCCTGCCTTCTTGCGGGCCACGTCTCCAAGGCCAGGGCCGAGATTCCCACCGGTGCTGCCTCAGCTGGCGTGACCTCCCATTCTGAAACCAAATCTGGACCCTAGGCTCCAGAATGCCGATGGCCTGGGCCAGCGGTACTCTGGTGGCGATGTCCGGGTATGGGTTCCGCTCAAAGCAGGCTTGCAGGGCCTCACTTTGGCTCGGGGTCCAAACGAGTCTCCTAGACCGTCCCAGTCCCCGGGCTTCCGCGGGGAGTGTGCCGTCCGAAGGTGTCGGGAGGGCCATCGCGGGGAGCCCCGGCCGGAATTTCACGGATGGACACTGGCAGAGAGAGGCTGGCGGGCTCCCGTGCACCTCAGCCAGCCTGTGCACTGCGGCAGGTGCAGCCAGGAGGCCTGCCCGGACAGCCAGCCAGCGGCTCTTATAAAGGCACGCAGACAGGCAGGCTGCACCCCTTCATGAATGGCGGTGAGCCCTGGGACAGCCCACCCCACCACGGAACGTTCCCAGGGAGTCGAGGCCTGCGGCCGTGTGGTGGTGGGGTGGTGGGGAGGGCGTGCTGATGGCTGTGGTGAGGCTGGAGAAATGAAGAGGAAGGGGGTGAGGGGGAAGGGGTGAAGGGGGCGCGTTTCAGGGACTGGCTCTCCGGACCACTCCAGGAATCCCGCGGGAACTGGAAGCCACTCTCTGGGCTCCCACGCGTCTTCAGCAGCTAGAAACCCCTCTGGGAGGGTGGAGGGGAGTTTGGAACTGAACCTCTGTGGGAGTCTTTGGTGTTCCAGGCCCTCTCTCCGAGAAGGAGGCAGTGCCTGTGGGTGTCGCCGTTGCCGGGACAGTCTCACACAGGCAGGCTTGTGGCTCTCGTTCATTTCCACGTAGGAGACCAGAGCGAGACACCAGAGAGAAGATGCCTCCCTGGCGTGATGGCCTGAAGATGGATTCCCGTGGTCAGCAACATGGGGAGTCTGCAGTGTGGCCGGTTTTCAAACTGGCAAGGAGAGCGAAGGCACCATGCCAGTCTCCCACCCTTCCCTGCATGTTTCTGGGTGCCCGCAGAGCTCCGGGAGCAAACAGTCAGCATGACACATCTCTAAACTGATCTACAAAGTGATGAAAATCTTGTCTATGCTCTGCCTACGGGGCTTTGTGACGTATCTCTGCACTGATTACCCAGCGGATGGGAATTTTGTCTAGGCTCTGCCTATGGGGGCATTGTGACATATCTCTACACTGATCACCCAGGTGATGTAACTCTTGTGTAGGATCTGCCTATGGGGGCATTGTGACATATTTCTGCACTGATAACCCAGATGATGGGACTCTTGTCTAGGCTCTGTGTGTGGGGGCTTTGTGACATATCTCTGCACTGATCACCTAGGTGATGTAACGCTTGTTTAGACTCTTCCTACGGGGCATAGTGACATATCACTGCATTGATCACTGAGGTGATGTAACTCTTGTCCAGGCTCTGCCTATAGGGGGCCTTGTGACATATCTCTGCACTGATCATCTCAGTGATGTAACTCTTGCTTACACTCTGCCTTCAGGGGCATTGTGAAATATCTCTGCACTGATCACCCAGGTGATGGGACTATTCTCTAGGCTCTGCCTACTGGGGGCATGGTCACATATGTCTGCACTGATCACACAGGTGACAGAATCTCAACTTGGATTTGCCTATGGAGGCATTGTGACATATCTCTGCACTGATCACCCAGGTGATGTAACTCTGGTCTAAGCTCTGCCTAAAGGGGCATTGTGACAGATCTCTGCACTGATCACTCAGGTGATGTAACTATTGTCTAGGCTCTGCTTAAAGGGGCCTTGTCACATATGTCTGCACTGATCACCCAGGTGACGTAACTCTTCTCTAGGCTCTGCTTACAAGGGGTATTGTGACATATCTCTGCACTGATCATCTAAGTGATATAACAATTGTGTAGGCTCTGCCTACAGAGGCATTTTGACATATCTCTGCACTGTTAACCGAGGTGATGTAACTCTTGTCTAGGCTGTGCCCACAGGGGGATTGAGACATATCTCTGCCCTGATCCCGAGGTGATCCAATTCTTGCCTGGTCTCTGCCTACTGGGGACATTGTGACATATCTCTGCAATGATCTCCCAGGTGCTGTAACTTTAGTTTAGGCTCCGTCTACATGGCATTGTGACATACCACTGCACTGATCACCCAGGTGATATAACTCTTGTCTAAGCTCTGCCTACAGGGGGTTGTGACATATCTCTGCACTGATCATCCAGGTGATATAACTCTTCTCTAGGATTTGCCTACAGGGTGCTTTGTGACATATCCCTGCAATGATCACCCAGGTGATGTACCACTTGTCAAAGCTCTGCCTACAGGGACATTGCGATGTATCTCTGCACTGATCACCTAGGTCATGTAACCGTTGTCTAGGCTCTGCCTACAGTGGCATTGTGACATATCTCTGCACTGATCACCCGAGTGATGTAACTCTTCTCCAGGATCTGCCTAACGGGACTTTGTGACATAACTCTGCACTGATCATCCAGGTGATGGGGCTTTTGTCTAGGATCTGCCTAAGGGGGCATTGTGACATATTTCTGCACTGATCACCCAGGTGATGGACTCTTGTCTTGGATCTGCCTATGGGGGCATTGTGACATATCTCTGCACTGATCACCCAGGTGATGTAACTGTTGTATAAGCTCTGCCTACAGGGTAATTGTGAGAGATCTCGCCACTGATCAACCAACTGTTGTAACTATTGTCTAGGCTTTGCCTACAGGGGGCTTTGTGACATACCTTTGCACTGATAACCCAGGTGATATAACTCATCCAAGTTCTGCCTACAGGAGCTTTGTGACATATCTCTGCACTGATCACTTAGGTGATGTAACACTTTTATAAGCACTGCCTACAGGGAATTTTGACAAATCTCTGCACTGATCACCTAGGTGATGTAACACTTTTATAAGCACTGCCTACAGGGAATTCTGACAAATCTCTGCACTGATCACCTAGGTGATGTAACTCTTGTCTACCCTCTGCCCAAAGGGGGCACTGTGAAATATCTCTGCACAAAATCACCCAGGTGATTCAACTCTTGTCTAGGTTCTGCCTACAGTGGGTGTTGTGAAATATCTCTGCACTGATGAACTAGGTGATGTAACTTTTGTCTAGGCTCTGCGTACAGTGGCGTTTTCACATATCCCTGAACTGAAGACAAAGGTGATGTAACTATTCTCTAGGCTTTTCCTACAGGGGACATTGTGACATATCTCTTCACTGATCACCAAGGTGATGCAACTCTTCTCTATGCTCTGCCTACAGGAGGCATTGTGACATATCTCTGCACTGATCACCCAGGTGATGTAACTCTTTTCTCTTCTCTGCCTACAAGGGACGTTTTGACATCACTCTGCACGGATCACCCTGGTTATTTAACTCTTGTCTAGGCTCTGCCTATGGGGGCATTGTGACTTATCTCTACACTGATCACCTAGGAGTTGTGACTCTGGTCTAAGCTCTGCCTAGAGGGACATTGGGACATATCTCTGCACTGATCACTTAGGTGATGTAAAATTTGTCTAGGCTTTGCCTACAGTGGGGTTTATGACATATCTCTGCACTGATCACCCAGGTGATGTAACTCTTTTCTAGGCTCTGCTTACAGGGTGTATTGTGAGATATCTCTGCACGGATCACCCAGGTGATGTAACTCTTTTCTAGGCTCTGCCTACAGAGGGCATTGTGACATTACTCTGCACGGATCACCCGGGTTATGTAACTCTTGTCTAGGCTCTGCCTATGGGGGCATTGTGATTTATCACTGCCCTGATAACCCAGGAGATGTGACTATTGTATAAGCTCTGCCTAGAGGAACATTGGGACATATCTTTGCACTGACCGCTGATGTGATGTAAAACTTGTCTAGGCTTTGCCTACAGTGGGATTTATGACATATCTCTTCACTGATCACCCAGGTGATGTAACTCTTGTCTAGGCTCTGCCTACAGGGGCATTTTCACATAGCACTGCACTGATCACCGAGATGATGTAACTCTTGTATAGGCTTTGTCGACAGGGGGCATTGAGACATATCTGTGCACTGATCACCGAGGTGATGCAACTCTTGTCTGGGATCTGCTTACCGGGGGCATTGTGACATATCTCTGCTCTGATCACCCAGGTGATGTAACTCTTGTCTACGCTCTGCATACTGGAGGCATTGTGACATATCTCCGCACCGATCACCCAGGTGATGTCACTATTCTCAAGGATATGGCTACAGAGACATTGTGACATGTCACTGCACTGATCACACACCTGATGTAACTCTTGTCTAGGCTCTGGGTACAGGGGGCTTGTGACACATCTCTGCACTGATCACCCAGGTGATGTAACCCTTGTCTAGCCTCTGCCAAAAGGGGGCATTTTGACATAACTCTGCACTGATCACCCAGGTGATGGGACTCTTGTCTAGGCTCTGCCTACAGGGGCATTGTGACATATCTCTGCAGTGATCACGCAGGTGATGTAACTCTTGTCTATATCTGCCTACTGGTGGCATTGTGGCATATTTCTGCACTGATCAACCAGGTGATGGACTCTTGTCTTGGATCTGCCTATGGGGGCATAGTTACATATCTCTGCACTGATCACTCATGGGATGTAAAGCTTGTCTAAGCTGCGCCTAAATGGGAATTGTGACAGATATCTCCACTGATCACCCAGGTGATGTAACAATTTTCTGCGATTTGTCTATGGGGGCATTGTGACATATATTTGCACTGATCACCCAGGAGATGTAACTTTTGTCTAGGCTCGGCCTACAGGGGCTTTGTGACATATTTCTGCACTGATCACCCAGGAGATGTAACACTTGTTTAGGCTCTGCCTACAGGTGCTCTGTGACATATGTCTGTACTGATCACCCAGGTGATGTAACTCTTGTCTAGGCTCCACCTACAGGGTGTATTGTGACGTATCTCTGCACTGATCAACCAGGTGATGTAACATTTTTCTAGGCTCTGCCTACAGGGGCGTTTTCACATAGCTCTGCACAGATCACATATGTTATGTAACTCTTATCCACTCTCTGCCTACAGGAGGCATTTTGAAATATCTCGGCACTGATCACCCAGGTGATAGGAATCTTCTCTATACTCTGCCTAGAGGGGGATTTGTGACATTTCTCTGCACTGATCACCCAGGTGATGGAAGTCTTGTCTAGGCTCTGTCTATGGGGGCATTGTGTCAAATAGCTGCAATGATCACCCAGGTGATGTAACTCTTGTCTAGGCTCTGTCTACAGGGATTTTTGTGACATACCACTACACTGATCTCCTAGGTGATGTAAGCCTTGTATGGGCTTTGCCTACAGAAGGCTTTCTGACATATCTAAGCACTGATCTCTGAGGTGATGCAACTCTTGTCTAGGCACTGCCTACTTGGGTCATTGGTACATATCTCTGCACTGATCACCCAGGTGATGGACTGTTGTCTTAGATCTGCCTACATGGACATTGTGACACATCTCTGAACTGATCAACCAAGTGATGAAACTCTTGTCTAAGCTCTGCCTACAGGGGTTTTGTGACACATCTCTGCACTGATCACCCTGGGGAGGGAACTCTTGTCTACTCTCTGCCTACAGGAGGCTGTATGACTTATACCTGCACTGATAACCTAGGTGATATTACACTTGTCTAGGCTCTGCCTACATGGGAATTCTCACATGTCTCTGCACTGACCACCTGGGTGATGTAACTCCTGTCTAGGTTCAGCCTACAGGAGCGTTTTGACATATCTCTGCACTGATCACCCAGGTGATGTAACCCTTGTCTAAGCTCTGCCTACAGGGGCATTGTGACAGATCTCTCCACTGCTCACCCAGGTGATGTAACAATTGTCTGGGCTTTGCCTACAGGAGGCTTTGTGATATATATTTCCACTGATCAAACAGGTGATGTAACCCATGTCAAGGTTCTGCTTATAGGGGCTTTGTGACATATCTCTGCGCTGATCACCCGAGGGAGGAAACATTTTTCTACACTCTGCTTACAGGAGGATTTATGACTTATCTCTACACTGATCACCTAAGTGATGTAACCCTTGTCTAAGTTCAGCCTACTGGGGATTTCTGACATACCTATGCACTGATCACCGAGGTGATGTAAATCATTTCCAGGCTTCTTGTACAGGGGACATTGTGATATATCTCTGCACTGATCACGCAAATGATGCAAATCTTCTCTAGGCTCCACAGGGAGGGGACATTGTGCCATATTTCTGAACTGCTCATCCAGGATATGTAACTATTCTCCAGGCTTTGACTAACGAGCGTCGGAAGGTGTTGGGAGAGCCTCAACAGGAATTTCAGGGACAGAAAAGGGCACAGAGAGGCCAGCGGGCTCCCTTGCACGTCAGCCGGAGTGCGCAATGAGCGCAGGTCTAGCCAGGAGGCCGGCAAGGAGAGCTAGAGGTCTGTGTTCCACCGCCAAGTGCTCCATGGTGGCAGCTGGGATGCTGCAGGGTACCGGCGGCTGGGCGACGGTGGCGCAGAGGCCCAGAGGATGCGAGCTGCCAGAGGGGTGTCAGGCCTGGAGCTGTGCGGGCCGGTGTTTCGTGGGATGGGGATTTCCACCCATCCCAGGGGAGGATGCACTTTCCGGGGCTGGTGGGTGGGGGTGGGGAGGCGTTGGTCAGGCGGGGTTGTGGGGGTGGAAAGGCATGAGAGCTCTTCCCGGGCTGCTCCCACAGCCCACGTGGCTGCCCGCTAACCGGCGCGTGCACAGTCTGTGGCCCACCTGCTGGTACCTGGGCCGGCTCTGGGATCCCCGGGATGCCCAGGAAAGAATGGCAGATCTCCGCTGTGTGGAGTCTCTCACCGGGCCTATACCTAGAAGGCAGGAATCCCAGGCCGGTCAGCCCAGTGGAGGGGGGGGAAGACACACCCCTCCATAGCCAGCCAGGTTTTCCCCGCGAAAGAGAGGCCACCACCCTGCCCCGACCCGACCCCGTCCCAATCCCGCGTGCTAAAGCTCCTCCAGCAGAAAACGGTATACTTCCTCGCTGAGGGGTGCTTCCAGTGAGGCGGCCTCTTCCAAGGCCTCCATCTCCCCCGGGCCTCCGTTTCTAGGAAAGGTTGCGCCTGCTGCAGAAACTCCGGGCTCACCAGGAGCTCATCCAGCAGCAGGCCGGAGGGGAGTGCAGACGAGCGCCCAGGCTACTGGAGTGCCTGGGAGGGCACCGGGATGGCTTGCTACTGCCCCTGCAGCGTGGAGGCATCCGGGGGCACGGGCTGGCGAGGTGGAGCGGCCCGGCTTGTGGTTCCCACGCCGCATCGGGGACCTGGGGTCCCTGGCCCCAGCCCCACCACAGACTCCCCTGGGACGCGGGTGGCGCAAGCACTCCTTAGCCCTGTGGCCCCGCTTGAGCCGGCCCAGGCTGTCCCACCAGGCAAGGGCCCAGCAGGCCGTGGCGCTGCGGGTCACAGCCCTCCCGGCTTTTGCCTGGGTGCGGAGGCCACCGAGGCGCCTGAGGGTGAGAGAGAGCCCCTTCCAGAGGAGCCGGGGAGGCGTAGGCAAAATCCCCGCATGCCGGGGCAGGTTGGGAGATCCCCTCTGCTGGCGCGGCCTGGCTGGGCTGGAGCACGGGGATGGCTCTCGATCCCTGGCTCATGAAAGCCCCTTGTGGGAGAGCCCCAGGCGTACAGGGCACGTGGGGTGCGGGAAGCCCTGTTCCCCACGTGCCGGTGTGGGCGAAGGCGACCCACGAGGGAGCAGGGTGATACCCGTGGGGGGCCGCGTTGCACAGGCCGCCGGCCTATGCAGGCGCCCTGCCAGCATATCCCGGGTGCCTGGCCCTTCGATTCTGAAACCAGGTCTGAATCCTGGACTCTGGGAGACCCGTCTCTCTGGCCAGCTCTTCCCTGGCGGCGATGCCTGGAATGCGATCCTTCTCAATGGCTCAGAGGAGAAGGGCCGTCTGGGATCCGGTGACGCAGTCTGCTTTCGCCTGCCTTCTTGCGGGCCGCATCTCCTGGGCCAGGACCGAGATTCCCGCCCGTGCTGCCTCAGGTGGCTTGACCTCTCATTCTGAAACAAAATCTGCAACCTGGGCTCCGGAATGCCGATGGCCTGGGCCAGCCGTTTTCTGGTGGCGATGCCCGGGTATGGGTTCCGCTCAAAGCTGGCTCGCAGGGCCTCACTTTGGCTCCGGGTCCAAACGAGTCTCCTTCGCCGTCCCCGTCCCCGGGCTTCTGCAGGGAGGGTGCTGTCCGAAGGTGTCGGGTGGGACATCGCGGGGAGCCCCGGCCGAAATTTCGCGGACGGACATGGGCAGAGAGGCCAGCGGGCTCCCGTGCACCACAGCCGTCCTGTGCACTGCGGCAGGTGCAGCCAGGAGGCGTGCCCGGACAGCCAGCCAGCGACTCTTATAAAGGCCCTCAGGTAGGCAGGTTCCAGAACTTCATGAATGGCCGTGAGCCCTGGGACAGCACGCCCCACCCCGGAAGGGTCCCAGGGCGTCGAGGCCTGAGGCCGGGGGATGGTGGAGTGTGGGGGGTGGGCGTGGTGATGGCGGTGGTGGGGCCAGAGACACGAAGATGAAGGGGGCGAGGGGGTAGGGGTGAGGGGGGCACGATTCGGGGGCTGGCTCTCCGGACCACTCCAGGAATCCCGCGGGAACTGGAAGCTGCTCTCTGGGTTCCCATGCGTCTTCAGCAGGGAGAAACCGGCTTGGGAGGGTGGAGGGGAGTGTGGAACTGAACCTCCGTTGGAGTCTGGAGTGTTCCAAGCCCTCTCTCAGTGAAGGAGGCAGTGCCTGTGGGTGTCGCTGTTGCCAGGACAGTCTCACACACGCAGGCGTGTGGCTCTCGTTCATTTCCAAGTAGGAGACAAGAGCGAGAACCCAGAGAGAAGATGCCACCCCGGCGTGATGACCAGACGATGGATTCCCGTGTGCCGCAACATGGGGAGTCTGCAGTGTGGCCGGTTTGGAAACTGGCAAGGAGAGCGAGGGCACCATGCCAGACTTCCACCCTTCCCTGCATGTTTCTGGGTGCCCGCAGAGCTCCGGGAGGAAACAGTCAGCAGGACACATCTCTGAACTGATCAACAAAGTGATGTAACTCTTGTCTACGCTCTGCCTACAGGGGCTTTGTGACATAACTCTGCACTGATCAGCCAGGTGATGGGACTTTTGTCTACGCTCTGCCTATGGGGGCATTGTGACATATCTCTACGCAGATCACCCAGGTGATGTAACTCTTGTGTAGGATCTGCCTATGGGGGCATTTTGACATATTTCTGCACTGATCACCCAAGTGATGGGACTCTTCTCTAGGCTCTGTGTATGGGGGCTTTGTGACATATCTCTGCATTGATCACTCAGGTGATGGGACGCTTGTCTAGGCTTTGTGAATGGGGGCTTTGTGACATATGTCTGCACTGATCACCGAGGTGATGGAACGCTTGACTAGGCTCTGCCTACGGGGCATAGTGACATATCACTGCATTGATCACCGAGGAGATGTAACTCTTGTCTAGGCTCTGCCTAAAGTGGGCTTGTGACATATCTCTGCACTGATCACCCAGGTGATATAACTCTTCTCTAGGATCTGCCTACTGGGTGCTTTGTGACATATCCCTGCAATGATCACCCAGGTGATATACCACTTGTCAAGGCCCTGCCTACAGGGGCATTGCGATGTATCTCTGCACTGATCACCTAGGTCATGTAAATCTTTTCTAGGCTCTACCTATAGTGGCATTGTGACATATCTCTGCACTGATCACCCAGGTGATGTAACTCTTTTCTAGGATCTGCCTACAGGGTGCTTTGTGACATATCCCTGCAATGATCACCCAGGTGATGTACCACTTGTCAAGGCTCTGCCTACAGGGACATTGCGATGTATCTCTGCACTGATCACCGAGGTCATGTAACTCTAGTCTAGGCTCTGCCTACTGTAGCATAGTGACATATCTCTGCACTGATCATCCAAGTGATGTAACCTTTCTCTAGGATCTGCCTAAAGGGAATTTGTGACATAACTCTGCACTGATCATCCAGGTGATGGGGCTTTTATCTAGGCTCTGCCTAAGGGGGCATTGTGACATATTTCTGCACTGATCACCCAGGTGAAGGACTCTTGTCTTCGATCGGCCTATAGGGGCATTGTGACATATTTCTGCACTGATCACCCAGGTGATGGGACTCTTGTCTAGGCTCTGTGTATGGGGACTTTGTGACATATCTCTGCAGTAATCACCCAGGTGATGTAACGCTTGACTAGGCTCTGCCTACGGGGCATAGTGACATATCACTGCATTGATCACTGAGGTGATGTAACTCTTGTCCGACTCTGCGTATAGGGGGCCTTGTGACATATCTCTGCACTGATCATCTAGGTGATGTAACTCTTGCTTACACTCTGCCTGCAGGGGCATTGTGAAATATCTCTGCACTGATCACGCAGGTGATTGGACTCTTCTGTAGGCTCCGCCTCCTGAGGGCATTGTCACATATTTCTGCAATGATCACCCAGGTGACGAACGCTTGTCTTGGATTTGCCTATGGGGACATTGTGACATATCTCTGCAATGATCATCCAGGTGATGTAACTCTGGTCTAAGCTCTGCCTAAAGGGGCCTTGTGACAGATCTCTGCAGTGATCACTCAGGTGATGTAACTATTGTCGAGGGTCTGCTTAAAGGGGCCTTGTCACATATCTCTGCCCTGATCACCCAGATGATGTAACTCTTGTCTAGGCTCTGCTTACAGGGGGCAATGTGACATATCTCTGCAGTGATCACCTAAGTGATGTAACAGTTGTGTAGGTTGTGCCTACAGGGGCATTTAGACATATCTCTGCAATGTTAACCGAGGTGATGTAACACTAATCTATGCTATGCCCACAGGGGTATTGAGACATATCTCTGCACTGATCCCAAGGAGATCCAAATATTGTCTGGTCTCTGCCTACTGGGGACATTGTGACATATCTCTACAATGATCTCCCAGGTGATGTAACTATACTGTACGCCATGGCTAAATGGCATTGTGACATATCACTGCACTGATCACCCAGGTTTTATACAGGGATATCCGTGGACATATACAGAAAGGAATGGAATGGAATGGAATGGAATGGAATGGAATGGAATCAACCCGACTGGAACGGAATGGAATGCAAAGGAAAGAAATGGAACGGAATGGAATGGAATGGAACGGAATGGAATGGAATGAGATAGAATCAACCCGACTGGAATGGAATGGAATGCAATGGAAAGAAATGGAACGCAATGGAATGGAATCGAATGGAATGGAATGGAATGGAATGGAATGGAATGGAATGGAATGGAATGGAATGGAACGGAACGGAATGGAATGGGAAGGAATCAACCCGAGTGGAATGGAATAGAAAGGAATCGAATGGAATCAACACGAGGGGAATGGAATGGAATGGCATGGAATGGAATGGAATAATCCGAGTGTAATGGAATGCAAAGGAATGGAATCAACAGGAATGGAATGGAATATAATGGAATGGAATGGAATGGAATGGAATGCAATGGAATGGAATGGAGTGCAGTGGAGTGGAATGGAATGGAATGGAATGGAATGGAATGGAATGGAATGGAACGGAATGGAATGGAATAGAATGGAATTGAGTCAGTTGGAATGCAACGGAATAGAATGGAACGGAATGGAATGCAATGGATTGGAATGGAATGGAATGGAATGGAATGGAATGGAATGGAATGGAATGGAATCAACCCGACTGGAACGGAATGGAATGCAATGGAAAGAAATGGAATGTAATGGAATGGAATGGAATGGAATGGAATGGAATGGAACGGAACGGAATGGAACGGGATAGAATCAACCCGACTGGAATGGAATGGAATGCAATGGAAAGAAATGGAACACAATGGAATGGAATGGAATGGAATGGAACGGAATGGAATGGAATGGGAAGGAATAAATCCGAGTGGAATGGAATAGAAAGGAATCGAATGGAATCAACACGAGGGGAATGGAATGGAATGGAATGGCATGGAATGGAAAGGAATCAATCCGAGTGTAATGGAATGCAATGGAATGGAATCAACAGGAATGGAATGGAATATAATGGAATGGAATGGAATGGAATGGAATGGAATGGAATGGAATGGAGTGGAATGGAGTGGAGTGGAGTGGAGTGGAGTGGAATGGAATGGAATGGAATGGAATGGAATGGAATGGAATGGAACAGAATGGAATGGAATGGAATAAACCGGAATTTACTGGAATGAAATGGAATGGAAGGGAAGGGAATGTAATGGAATGGAATGGAATCGGATGGCATCAACAAGACTGGAATGGAATGTTATGGAATGGAATAGAAAGGAACGGAATGAAATGTAATGTAATGGAATGGAATGGAATGGAATGGAATGGAATGGAATCATTCCGAGTGGAATGGAATGGAAGGGAATGGAATGGAATGGAATGGAAAGGAATGGAATGGAATGGAATGGAATGGAATCAAAACTAGGGGAATGAAACGGAATGGAAAGGAAGGGAAGGGAATGCAATGGAATGGAATGGAAACTAATGGAGATGAATGGAATGGAAAAAAATCAACAAGAGAGGAATGAAATGGAAAGGAAGGGAATGGAAAGGAATGGAATTGAAAGGAATGGAATCAACCACAGTGGAATTGAATGGAATGGAATGGAATGGAACGGAATGGAATGGAATGGAATGGAATAAACCGGAATTTACTGGAATGGAATGGAATGGAATGGAATGGAATGGAATGGAATGGAATGCAATGGAATGGAATTGAAAGGAATGGAATTAACCACAGTGGAATGGAATGGAATGGAATGGAATGGAACGGAACGGAACGGAACGGAACGGAACGGAACGGAGTGGAGTGGAGTGGAGTGGAGTGGAATTGAATTGAATGGAATGGAATGGAATGGAATGGAATGGAATGGAATAAACCGGAATTTACTAGAATGGAATGGAATGGAAGGGAATGTAATGTAATGTAATGGAATTGGATGGCATCAACAAGAGTGGAATGGAATGGAAAGGAATGGAATGGAATGGAATCAATCCGAGTGGAATGGAATGGAATGGAATGGAATGGAATGGAATGGAATGGAATGGAATGGAATGGAATCAACACTAGTGGAATGGAGTGGAATGGATTGGAATGGATTGGAATGGAATGGATTGGAATGGAGTGGAATCAACCGAGAGGAATGGAATGGAATGGAATTTAATGTAATGGAATGTAATGAAATGGAATAGAGTAAACCCGAGTGGAAAAGAAAGGAATGGAATGGAATGGAATGGAATGGAATAGAATGGAATGGAATGGAATCGGATGGCATCAAACCAATTGGCATAGAATGGTATGGAATGGAATGGAATGCAATGGAATGGAATGGAATGGAATGAAATGGAATGGAATCGAAAGGAATGGAAACAATTCGAGTGGAATGGAATGGAATGGAATGGAATGGAATGGAATGGAATGGAATGGAATAGAATGTAATGGAATCAAAACGAGGGGAATAGAATGGAATCAAATCGAAAGGAATGAAACGGAATCAACCCGCGTGCAATGGAATGGAATGGAATGGAATGGAATTTAATTGAGATGAATTCTATGGAATGAAATAAACCCGAGAGGAATGGAATTGAACGGAATGGAAGGGAATGGAATGGAATGGAATCAACACGATTTGAATGGAATGGAATGGAAAGGAAAAGAATGGAATGGAATGGAATGTATTGAACCCGAGTGGAATTGAATGGAATGGAAAGGAATGGAATGGAATGGAATCAACCGGAGTGGAATGGTATGGAATAGAATGGAATTAAATGGAATGGCATTAAATGGAACGGAATCAACAGGAATGGCATGGAATGGATGAGAGTGGAGTGGAGTGAAATGGAATGGAATGGAAAGCAATGATATAGAATGTAATTGAATCAAACTATGTGGAATGGAAGGCAATGGAATGGAATGGAATGGAATGGAATGGAATGGAATAGAATGGAATGGAATGTAATAGAGTCAATCCGAGTGGAAAGGAATAAAATGGAATGCAATGGAATGGAACGGAATGGAATGGAAACAACCCGAGGGGAATTGAATGGAATGGAAGGGAATGTAATCAACCCAAGGGGAATGGAAAGGACGGGAATGGAATGGAATTGAATGGAATCAACCCAAGTGGAATGGAATGGAATGGAATAGAATGGAATGGAATGGAATGGAATGGAATGGAATCAACAGGAGTGGAATGCAACAGAATGTAATGAAATGGAATGGAAAGGAATAGAATGCAATGGAATGGAATCAACCCGAGTGGAATTGAATGTCATGGAATTGAATGAACTGACAAGGAATGGAAAGGAGAGGAATGGAATCAACTGAGTGGAATGGAATGGAATGGAATGGAATGCAGTGGAGTGGAATGGTATGAAATGGAATGGAATGGAATCAACCGAGTGGAAGGGAATGGAATGGAAAGGGATGGAATGGGATGGAATGGAATGGAATGGAATGGAATGGAATGGAATGGAATGGAATAGAACGGATTTGAATCAACCCGAGTGGAATGGAAGTGAAAGGAATGGAATGGAATGGAATGCAATGCAATGGAATAGAATGGAATTGAATCAACCCGAGGATTTTGGAATGGAATGGAATGGATTGGGGTGGAATGCAATGGAGTAGCATGGAATTGAATCAACCCGAGGGTTATGGAATGGAAGGGAATGGAATGGAATGGATAGGAATGGAATAGAATGGAATGGAATGGAATGGAATGGAATGGAATGGAATGGAATGGAATGGAATGGAATCAACACGAATGTAATGAAATGTAATGGAATGGAATGGAATAGAATGGACTTGAATCAACTTGAGTGGAGTGGAATGGAATGGAATGGAATGGAATGGAATGGAATGGAATGGAATGGAATGAAATTGAATGGAATAGAATGGTATTGACTCAAACCCAGTGGAATGGAATGGAATGGAATGGAATGGAATGGAATGGAATGGAATGGAACGGAATGGAATGGAATAGAATGGACTTGAATCAACTTGAGTGGAATGGAATGGAATGGAATGGAATGGAATGGAATGGAATGGAATGGAATAGAGTGGAATTGAATCAACCAGAGTGGAATGGATTGGAACGGAATGGAATGGAATGGAATGCCATGGAATGTAATGGAATTGAATCAACCCGAGTGGAGTAGAATGGAATGGAATGGAGTGGAATGGAATGGAATGGAATGGAATGGAATGGAATGGAATAGAGTGGAATTGAATCAACCAGAGTGGAATGGATTGGAACGGAATGGAATGGAATGGAATGCCATGGAATGTAATGGAATTGAATCAACCCGAGTGGAGTAGAATGGAATGGAATGGAGTGGAATGGAATGGAATGGAATGGAACGGAATGGAATGGAGTGGAATGGAACGGAATGGAACGGAATGGAATGGAAAAGAATGGAATTGAATCATCCCCAGTGAATGGAAGGGATTGGAATAGAATGGAATGGAAGGGAATAAAATGGAATGAAATGCAATTTAATGGAATTAAATCAACACGAGTGGAATGGAATGGAATGGAATGGAAAGGAATGAAATGGAATAGAATAGAATTGAAACAACCTGAGTGAAATGGAATGGAATGCAACAGAGTGGAGTGGAATGGAATGGAATGGAATGGAATGGAATGGAATGGAAAGGAAACAAACAGGGTGGAATGGAATGGAATGGAATGGAATGGAATGGAATGGAATGGAATGCAATGGAATGGAATGGAATGGAATACAATGGAAGTGAATCTACCCGAGTGGAGTGGAATGGAACGCAATGGAATGCAAAGGAATGGAATGCAATTTAATGGAATTCAATGACATGGAAAAGAAAGGAATTGAATCAACAAGTGGAGTGGAATGGAATGGAATGGAATGGAATAGAATAGAATGGAATGGAATGGAATGGAATGGAATGGAATGGAATAGAATGGAATAGAATGGAATGGAATGGAATGGAGTAGAATGGAATGGAATAGAGTGCAATTTATTCAACAAGAGTGGAATGGAATGGAATGGAAAGAAATGGAATATAATGGAATATAATGGAAAGGAATGGAATGGAATTTCATAGAATAGAATTGAATAAACCAGAGTGGAAAGGAATGGAATGGAATGGAATTGAACAGAATGGAATGGAAAGAAATAGAAAGGAATTGAATGAAACCGAGTGGAATGGAATGGAACGGAACGGAATGGAATGGAAAGGAATGGAATGGAATGGAATGGAATCAACCCGAGTGTAATCGCATGAAATTGAATGGAAGGGAAAGGAATGGAATAGAGTGGAATTCAATCACACCGATTGGAATGGAATGCAATGGAATGGAATAGAGTGGAATTGAATCAACCACAGTGGAATGGAATGGAATGGAATGGAATGGACTCTACTTGAATGAACGGGAGGGGAATGGAATGCAATGGAATGGAATTGAACGGAATAGAATAGAATGGAAAAGAATTTAATTGAATCACCTCGAGCGGAATGGAATGGAATGGAATGGAATGGAATGGAATGGAATGGAATGGAATGGAATGGAATGGAAAGGAAAGGAATGGAATGGAATGGATTGCCATGGAATGGAATGGATTTGAATCAACACAAGTGGAATAGAATGGAATGGAATAGAATGGAATGGAATGGAATGCTATGGAAAGGAATGGAAAGGAAAAAGAGTAGAATGGAATGGAATAGAATGGAATGGAATGGAATGGAAAGGAATGTAATGCAATGCAATGGAATGCAATGGAATTGAATCTACCCGAGTGGAGTGGAATGGAATGCAATGGAGTGGAATGCAATTTAATGGAATTCAATGGAATGGAAAAGAATGGAATTGAATCAACAAGTGGAGTGGAATGGAATGGAATGGATTGGAATGGAATGGAATGGAATGGAATGGAATGGAATGGAATGGAATGGAATGGAGTGGAATGGAATGGAATAGAATGGAATTGAATCAACAATAGTGGTATGGATTGGAATGGAAGGAAATGGAATATAATGGAATGGAATGGAATGGAATTTCATAGAATGGAATTGAATAAACCAGAGTGGAAAGGAATGGAATGGAATGGAATGGAATAGAATGGAATGGAATGGAATGGAATGGAATGGAATGGAATGGAATGGAATGGAATGGAATGGAATTAAAAGGAATAGAATGGAATTGAATCACTCCGAGTGGAAAGGAATGGAATGGAATTGAATTGAACAGAATTGAATGGAACAAATGGAAAGGAATTGAATGAAACCGAGTGGAATGGAATGGAATGGAATGGAATGGAATGGAATGGAATGGAATGGAATGGAATACAATGGAATTGAATCAACCCGAGTGGAATGGCATGAAATAGAATGGATAGGAAAGGAATGGAATCAACCCGAGTGGAATGGAATGGAATGGAATGGAATGGAATGGAATGGAATGGAATGGAATGGAATGGAATGCAATGGAAAGGAAAGGAATGGAATGAAATGGAATCAAACTGAATGGAATGGAATGGAATGGAATGGAATGGAATGGAATGGAATGGAATGGATTGGAATAGAATGGAATTGAGTGAACCCGAGTGGAATGGAATGGAATGGAATGGAATGGAATGGAATGGAATGGAATGGAATGGAATGGAATGGAATGGAATGAAATGGAATGGAATGGAAGAGAGTGGAATTGAATCAACCACATTGGAATGGAATGGAATGGAAAGGAATGGAATGGAATAGACTCTAATTGAATGAATGGGAGGGGAATGCAATGCAATGGAATGGAATTGAATGCAATAGAATAGAATGCAATAGAATGCAATTGAATCAACCTGAGCGGAATGGAATGGAATGGAATGGAATGGAATGGAATGGAATGGAATGGAATGGAATGGAATGGAATGGAATGCAATGGAATGGAATGGAATGAAAAGGAGGAGTGGAGTGGAGTGGAATTCAGTGGAATGTAGTGCAGTGGAATGGAATGGAATGAATTGGAATGGAGATGAGTGGAGTTGAAAGAAGTGGAGTGGAATGGAGTGGAATGGAGTGCAGAGGAGTGGAGAGTAGTGGAGAGGAGTGCAATGGATTGCAGTGGAATGGAATGGCATAAAGTGGGGTGGAATTTAGTGGAATGGAGTGGAATGGTCTGGACTGGAATGGAATGGAATGGAGTGGAGTGGAATGGAATGGAGTGGAGTGGAGTGGAATGCAGTGGTGTGGAGTGGAATGCAGTGGCGTGGAGTGGAATAGAGTGAAGAGGAGTGGATGGACTCAAGTGGAATGAAATGGAGTGGAGTGGAGTGGAATTGAATGGAGTGGAGTGGAGTGGAATGGATTCGAATGGAATCGGATGCAAAGGAATGTAGTGGCAAGGAGTGTATTTGAATGGAATGGAATGGAATGGAATGGAATGGAATGGAATGGAATGGAATGGAATGGAATGGAATCGGTGGTGAGATCGTGTCACTGTGCTACAGACTGTGTGACAGAGGGAGATCCTCTGGAAAGAAAGGAGTGGACTGGGATGGAGTGGAGTGGATTGCAGTGGAGTGGAGTGGAGTGAAATGGAGTGGAACGGATTGGTGTGGAATGGAATGGAGTTGAGTGGAGTGGACTGGAATGGAGTGGATGGGGGTGGAATGGAGTGCAGTGGAATGGAATCAAGTGGAATGGAATGGGGTGGAGTGTGGTGGAATGGAATGGAGTGGAGTGGAGCTTAATGTTATGGCGTAGAGTGGAATGGATTGGAATGGACTGGAGTGGAATGGATTGGAGTGGATTGGAGAGCAGTGGAGTGGTGTGGAGTGGAATGGAATGGAACGGAGTGGCATGCAGTGGAGTGGAAGGGAGTGGAGTGGACTGGAGTGGATTTGAGGTGAATGAAATGGAATGGAATGGAATGGACTGGAATGGGTGATGAGATTGTGCCACTGCATAAAAACCTGTGGGACAGAGGGAGATCCTGTCAAAAGAAAGAATTGTAATCGGAAGCAGTGGAGTGGATTGGAGTTGAGTGAAACGGAGTGGAATGGAGTGGAGTGGAGTGGAATGGACTGGAGTGGAGTGGAGTTGAATGGAATGTGGTGGAGTGGAATGAAGTAGAGTGGAATGGAGTGGAATGGAATGTGATGGAATGGAATGGAATGGATTATGGTGTAGTGGAGTTGATTGGAGAGGAGTAGAGTGGATTGTAGTGGAATTAAATGGGATGGAATGGAATGCCATCGAGTGGAGTGGAGTGGACTGGAGTGGCGGAGAGTGGAATAGAGTCGAGTGGAATAGAATGGAGCAGAATAGAATGGAATGGAATGCAATGGAATGGAATGCAAAGGAATGGAATGCAATGGAATAGAATGGAATGGAATGGTGAAATGAAATGTGAGCTGAATTTGTGCCACTGCACGCCAGCCTGGGTGACAGAGTGAGATGCTGTTGAAAGAAAGAAATGGAATGGAATGGATTGGAGTGGAGTGGTGTGGAGTGGAGTGGTGTGGAGTGGAATGGAATGGGATGGACTGTAATGGAATGGAGTGCTGTGGAATGGAGTGGCAGAGAGTGGAATGGAGTCGAGTGGAATGGAATGGAATGAAAGGAGTGGAGTGGAGTGCAGTGGAATAGAGTGGAATGGAATGGAATGGATTAGCGAAATGAAATGTAAGCTGAGATTATGCCACTGTATTCCAGAATGGGTAACAGAGTGACATAGTGTGGAATGTAAGGAATGGAATGGATTGGAGTGGAATGGATTGGAATGTAGTGGAGTGGATAGGAGTGAAGTGGAATGGAATGGAGTGGAGAGGAATGGAATGGAAGGGAGTGGATAGGAGTGGATGGGAGTGGAGTAGAATGGAATGGAATGGGATGGAATCGAATGGAATGAAATGGAGGGGAGTGGAGTGGTATGGAATTGGATGGAATTGAATGTAGTGGAGTGGAGAGGAGTGGAGTAGAGTGGAGTGGAACGGAATGAAATTGAATGAAGTGGAGCCAAGTGGAGTGGAGTGGAATGGAATATAGTGGAATGGAAATGAATAGAATGGAAAGGAATGTAACGGAATAGAATGGAATGATGAAATGAAATATGAGTTGAGATTGTAACACTACACTCCAGCCAGTGTGACAGAGTGAAATATTGTCAAAAGAAAGGAATGGAATGGACAGGTGTGGAATGGAATGGAATGGAATGGAGCGGAGTGGAGTGCATTATATTGGAATGGAGTGGAATGGAATGGGATGGAATGGGATGGAGTGGAGTGAAGTGGAGTGGAGTGGAGTGTAATGGAACGGTATGGTATGGTAAGGAATGGAATGGAATGGAATGGAATGGAATGGAATGGAATGGAATGGAATAGAATGGAATGGAATGGAGTGGAGTGGAGTTGAGTGGAGTTCGCAGGAGTGGAATGAAATGGGATGGAATAGAATTGAATGCATTGCAATGGAATGGAATGCAATGGAATTAAATGCAATGGAATGCAATGGAATGGAATGGAATGCAATGGAATGGAATGGTGAATTGAAATGTGAGCTGAGATACTGCCACTGCACTCCAGCCTGGGTGACAGAGTGAGATCCTCTCGAAAGAGAGGAATGGAATGCAATGGAGTGGAATGGAATGGAATGGAATGGAATGGAATGGAATGGAATAGAATGGGATGGGATGGGGTGGAGTGGAGTGGAGTGGAGTGGAGTGGAGTGGAATAGAATGGAATGGAATGGAATGGGATGGAGTGGAAGGAATGGAGTGGAGGGGAGTGGAGTGGACGGGAGTGGAGTGGAGAGAAATGGAGTGAAATGGAATGGGATGGAATGGAATGGAATGGGGGAGGGGAGGGGAGTGGAGTGGAATTGAGTGTAGTGGGATGGAATGGAATGGAAAGGAAAGAAAAAATGGAATGGTGAAATGAAATGTGAGCTGAGATTTTGCCCCTGTATTCCAGCCATTTTTGACACAGTGATATCCCATCGAAAGAAGGGAATGGAATGGAATGGGGTGGAATGGAATAGAATGGAATAGAATGGGGTTGAATGGAATGGAATGGAATGGAATGGAATGGAATGGAATGGAATGGAATGGAATGGAGAAATTAAATGTGAGCTAAGATTGTGCCACTGCACTCCAGTCTGGGTGACAGAGAGAGATCCATTTTGAAATAAAGGAATGGAATGGAATGTAGTAGAATGGAATGACTGGAGTGGCGTGGAGTGGAGTGGAGTGGCGTGGAGTGGAGTTGAGTGGAGTGGAGTGGAATGGAATTTAGGGGAGTGGAATGGAATGGAATGGTGACATGAAATGTGAGCTGGGATTTTGTAATTGCACTCCATTTTGGGTGACAGAGTGAGATCCTGTTGAAAGAAAATATTGGAATGGAATGGAGTGTAGTGGAATGGAAAAGAATGGAGTGGAGTGGAGTGGAATGGAATGGAAGGGAATGGAATGGAATGGAAGGGAAAGGAAGGGAATGCAATGGAAGGGAAGGGAATGGGGAAATGAAATGTGAGCTGACATTGTGGCACTGCACTCCAGCCTGGGTGACCGAGTGAGATCCTGTCGAAAGAAAATATTGGAATGGAATGGATTTCAATGTAACGGAATAGAGTAAAGTGGAGTGGAACGGAATGTGATGGAATGAAATGTAGTGGAGTGGAGTAGAGTGGAACGGAATGGAGTGGAGTGGAGTGGAATGGAGTGGAGTGCAGTGGAGTGAAGTGCAGTGGAACTCATTGGAATGGAATGCAGTGGAATGGAATGAAAAGGAATTTAACAGGTGCTGAGATTGTGCTACTGCACTACAGCCTGTGTGACAGAGGTAGATCCTGTCGAAAGATAGTCGTGCAATGGGTTGGAGCAGAGTGGAGTGGAGTGGAATGGAGTGGAGTGGACTGGAGTGGAGTGGAATGGAATGAAGTGGACTGGAATGGACTGTAGTGGAATGGAATGGAGTGGAATGGAATGGAATGCAGTGGAGTGGAGTGGAACGGAGTGGAGTGGTGTGGAGTAGAGTGGAATGGGGTGGAGAGGAGTGGAGTGGAGTGGAGTGGAATGGAGTGGAATGGAATGGAGTGGAGTGGAGTGGAGAGGAATGGAATGGAATGGAATGGAATGGAATGGAATGGAATGGAATGGAATGGAATGGAATGGAATGCAATTAAGTGGAGTGGAGCAAAGTGGAGAGGAGTGGAAAGGAATGGAATGGAATAGAGTGGAGTGGATTTCAGTGAAGTGGAGAAAAGTGCAATGTAGTGGAATGGAATCAGATGTAATAGAATGTAGTACACTGGAGTGGAGTGAAGTGGAACGAACTGGAATGGAACGGAATGGAACGGAACGGAACGGAATGGGTGCTGAGATTGTGCCACTGCACTACAGCCTGCGTGACAGAGAGAGATACTGTAGAAAGAAAGGAGTGGAATGGGATAGGGGGGAGTGGAGTTTAGTGGAGTGGAATGGACTGGAATGGAGTGGAGTGGAGTGGAATGGAATGCAGTGGAGTGGAATGGAGTGGAGTGGAATGGAGTAGAGTGGAGTGGAGTGGAATTCGGTGGAGTGGAGTGGAGTAGAATGGAATGCAATGGAATGGAATGGAATGGAGTCGACTGGATTGGTGTGGACTGGAATGAAGTGGATTGAAATAGAAAGGAGCGGAACGGAATGGGATGGAATGGAATGGAATGAAGTGGAGTGGAGTGGGGTGGAGTGGAGAGCAGTGGAATTGAGCGGAATGGAATGGGATGGAGTGGATGGAGTGGAATGGAGTGGAGCGCAGTAGAGTGAATAGGAGTGGAATGGAGTGGAATGGAATCGAATGTAGTGGAATGCAGTGGAGTGGAGTAGAACGGAGTGGGATGGAATGGAATTGAATTAAATGGAATGGAATTGAACGGAATGCAATGGAATAGTATGCAATGCAATGGAAAGTTGACATGTAATGTGAGCTGAGATTGTGCCACTGTACTCCAGCCTCGGTGACACAGTGATATCCTGTCAAAAGAAAGGAATGGAATGCAATGGAGTGAAATGGAATGGAATGGAAGGGAATGGAATGCAGGGGAGTGGTGTGGAGTGGAGTTGAATGGAATGTTATGGTATGGAATGGAATGGAATGGAATGCAGTGGAGTGGAGTGGAGTGGAGCTCGCAGGAGTGGAACGGAATGGGATGGAATGGAATTGAATGCATTGCAATGGAATGGAATACAATGGAATGCAATGGAATGGAATGGAACGGAGAGGAGAGGAATGGAGTGGAATGTAGTGTAATCGGAAAAGATGGAATGGAATGGAATGCCATGGAATGGAATGTAATCGTGAAATGAAATGATAGCTGAGATTATGACACTGCACTCCATCCTGGGTGACAGAGTGAGATCCTGTCGACAGAAAGGAATAGAATGGAATGATATGGAATGGAATGGAGTAGAATTCAGTGGAGTGGAGTGGAGTGGAGTGGAGTGGAGTGGAGTGGAATGCAATGTAGTGGAATGGGATGGGATGGAGTGGAATGGAATGGAGTGGAGTGAAATTGAGTGGAATGGAATGGGATGGGATGGAATGTAGCGGAGTGGAGTTGAGTGGATTGGAATCGAATGGAATGGAGTGCAGTGGAGTGGAGAGGAATGGAGTAGAATGGAATGGAATGGAATGGAATGGAATGGAATGGAATGGAATGGAATAGAAAGTAATAGAATGGTGAAATGAAATGTGAGCTGAGATTGTGCCACTGCACTCCATCCTGGGTTACAGGTGAGATTCTATCGAAAGAAAGGAATGGAATGGATTAGAGTGGAATGGAATTGAGTGGGGTGGAGTGGAGTTGAGTGTAGTGGAGTAGAGTGGAATAAAGAGGATTGGAATCGGATGTAATGGAAAGGAATGCAGTAGAGTGGAGTAGAGTGGAATGGAGTGGTGTGGAGTGGAATGGAATGGAATGGAATGGAATGGAATGGAATGGAATGGAATGGAATGGAATGGAATGGCACGGTGACATGAAATGTGGGCTGAGATTGTGCCACTTCACTACAGCCTGGTGACAGAGTGAGTTCCTGACGAAATAAAAGAATGGAATAGAATGGATTGGAATGAAATGGAATGGAATGGAATGGAATGGAGTGTAGTGGACTGGAGTAAAGTGGAATGGAGTGGAGTAGAGTGGAAGGGAGTGGAATGAAATGAGATGGAATGGAATGGAATGGAATGGAATGGAATGGAATGGAATGGAATGGAATGGAATGGAATGGAATGGAATGGAATGGAGTGGAGTGGAGTGCAAAAATCCCCAATAAAATACTAGCAAACCAAATCCAGCAGCAAATCAAAAAGCTTATCCACCATGATCAAATGGGCTGCATCCCTGGGATGCAAGGCTGGTACAACATATGCAAATCAATAAATGTAATCCATCATATAAACAGAACCAACGTCAAAAACCACGATTATCTCAATAGATGCAGCAAAGCCCTTTGACAAAATTCAACAACCTTCATGCTAAAAACTCTCAATTAATTAGATATTGATGGGATGTATCTCGAAATATTAAGAGCTATTTATGACAAACCCACAGCCAATATCATACTGAATGGGCAAAACCTGGAAGCATTCCCTTTGAAAATCTCAGTTACCTTTCTTTTGGATATGTGTGTGAGGAAAGAGTACCTACAAACTACCCTTTCAGTTAAATGCCATATACAATAAATATTAATACTTACAGTCCTCATGTTGTACATTAGATACCTCAATTTATTAATTCTACATATCTGCAACTTTGCATCCTTCGAATTCTCTATCTCCATTTTCTCTTCTCACCCCCAGCCCCTGGTAACCACTGTTTTATACTCTATCTCTGTGTATTTAACTTTTTGTTGTTTTTGTCCTGAGAAGTTTGTTGGGACTTTCAGCTAGGAGGTAATATGTTCTGAGTCTTGATTATCTCAAATTATAGCAGGTAAGAAGTTTTACTTGTCTGGAGAGCAGAGTGCAAGTGCATAATTTTATGCAGAAGAGGGAATAAAGAGAATTCTCTAATTAAAATTTGAATCAGAAATATGGCTCACATTTTTATGTACAACAATCTCTAAGGCTTCTTGGAAAGGAACTAGCTGCCTGATTTTTTTTTCATTTGAATCCACTAATACATGAAGAGGATGATCCTACCATACCAATCACAAGAATGATATCTGTAGAATCAAAAGTTGAAATCCTATTATCCTAGAACTTTTTTCAGAAAACTTGAACATGTATTGAAATGTCATGCTGGTCATATATTTTATAGCAATGAGGAATTTACTTATTATATACTTTAGCTTTTTAGCCCTTTCTGTGCCCACCAGAAATGTTTCTTTTGAATTCAATTTGGTCCTCAGAGTTTTAGAATGTTAAGGAATGTATAGGGGTTTCTTTTTTCTTCTTTTTTTTTTTTTTTGTCAAGCTATTGTATATTTTTACTTTACCTGTTTGGGTATGTAGTTACTATTTGTTTGGACTGTCATACCAGAAAAAAATTATAGTGAATTTTACATGTACAGAGTCTTCATTGATCTGTATAAACTGACAAGTTTAGAATATCAAAGTCAACACTGTAAAAAATAAAGTGATATTTTATCTGGTCTATCTCCTTGCAAATACAAGAACAATAAATTCTGTACTATTATGAAATATAAGAGCTTGAAAATTATTCAAGTGCCTTGTATAGAATGGCCTTTGAATTCAAGGTATAAACTACAACAAAACACTTTCGAGATCTAGTTTGATTGAAGAGTGCATTCTTACATATTGATATATTCTCTGCAATTTCTGATTCAAGGTAGTCCACAATTCTAAAGGAAAACCAAAATAGAATAATAATTATAAAACAAAATAAAAAGTAATTGAGGAAGATAATTGAGCAACTTATTCTTGACAACTAGCTTTTTAACAAACAGAAAAGTGCACTAAAAATACTGCCTAGTTGTTTAAAGTAGGCTGAGATCTGACTGTATCCCCTAAGTGAGTGTCATAAAGAAAAAATTACCTTTGAGGGAGCACAGTGGTTAAATTTAAAAGATTTATTGTTTAACCTCAGGAAGGCTTTCAGTAACTTTTTATAAATTGTATACAGTTAATGGAAGACACGCTATGCTTCTTGTAAGAATTTGTTCCAGATCACTGTGTATAATTAATGGCTTGTCTACATATTTTTTCAATAAAACTGTTCATGAAGAATTTGAAGTATGCACTTTCAGTACCAGAATGAATATATCTTTGTGAAGATACCATTTATGTACCATAACATCCAAAGCACAATGAGGAGATTTTGATACTCTGCAGATTTAGAACTAACTTGGAAAACAAAACTTCAACATACTGTCTTGTCAGCACAAAGCAAATAAATTCATCATTGTCAGTTGAGATTTAAATTCACAAACTTATAAGCAATAAAATCAAAGTAATTTTATTATAAGTTTTTTGACACCAGATTATGTGGGGTAAATAATTTACGTTCTAA
The DNA here is from genome assembly GCF_000001405.40 of Homo sapiens. NCBI lineage: Eukaryota > Metazoa > Chordata > Mammalia > Primates > Hominidae > Homo > Homo sapiens. The sequence goes on along the minus strand of NC_000024.10, from coordinate 11,288,624 downwards.
TCAAGCAATTGATATATATAAACCTGAAATAGAGAGTTTTGCCTTTTAATTAGATACATTGTTACGCAAAGAATGGTTGAAGCTGCAGTTGAGAATTATCTTTTTCTTTTTGCTGTTCTTACAAGGACTGTTTCTAGAATTGTTTTCAAAACAATAGAACAGAAAATTTCACTTACTCACTTAATTTAACTTTTGTTAAAGTACTTTGCCAAAATTAGCAAATTATGAAAGGAAAGTTTGCCTTTTCAATATATATGTAAGTGGCAAGTAAAAGTTATTCTTAAATCACGTGATCTCATAGAAATAACATGGGATAAAAAGAGTTCTGAAGGTGTTCAGGAAATGTCAGTCCTGAATGGATTGCTTTGGTGTACTGATTACATCGAACTGAAAATATTTGAAAAATAACAACTGCGGGACATGCTTTCTCTGCACTCTCTTTACGTTCCTCAAGAGAGATCCTCCAAAAGGAACTTTCAATACCAGAATGAATGCATCTTTGTAAAGATACCATTTATCTACCATAACATCCAAAGCATGATGAGGAGATTTTTATACACTGCAGATTTAGAACTGAATTGGAAAACAAAGCTTCAAGATACTGTCTTGTCAGCACAAAGACATTCATCTCCTTCCTAGGAGTTTCATCAGCCAGGGAAAATTGACTCCTCATATCACAGGAGACAAGACTAAGAGTCCATTCCACACCAAGACAGACTGCCACAAACTATCATCTATTCTCCTAGGGGTCTGGTCATCTTTCCCAAAAATCATTTGCTCTCCCCTAAGTTTCCTACATTCTTCCTCCTGCCTTCCTTATAAGCTCCTAAATCTCACTGGGGTTTTTTCTTGGTGGTGTTTTGTTTGTTTTGTTTTGTTTTGTTTTTGATTCCACTTTTCTTTCCATGATTCCCCCATGAGTGTAATAAATGTGTACACATTTTCTTCTTTTGACATGCTTGTTATCCATTTATTCAATAGACTCTGTTATCATACCCTCAGAGGGTAGAGGGAAAGGTCTCCAAGTCCTACAGTTCCAAAAGAAAATAGCTAGTAACTGCACATGCAAAAGTCATATAAACTTTGAGACAAAGTTAGCTTCTTATACTCTAGGTTCAGAAAGAAGAGGTGTGTTGCACACCAAGAGACATTTCCCTGGTCTTAGCTACTAAGTTTCTCTGAGAAGAAGTAGTTACTACTACAGCAGTTAAACACCTGACTCCCATATTATAAAAGCCTAAGTGTTGAGATTAAATCATTAGTTGTTACCTGTGAATCATAAAGTCTGAACTCTTTAAATTGCAAACACACATAGAAAAGTGATTCTTACACAGGGATCCATGAGTGGAACTGCAAAGTTTTGTCAAAATCTATATATATGTTTTCTTTTTAAGGGTCATATATTTCAATATATGTTAAAAGATATCTGGAGCTAGTAAAGATTAATAACCATTTTCAGTTTTGTGCTGAAATTGGCAAATCATGGCTTTTCTCCCTCCAACACACCCCCTCCCGCCTCAGCACACCACTGGTTAATCTTTATTTTCAGGAGACAAAAAGATGTTTCATATGAATAAAGGTAAATTATACACTTGTTTGTTTTACACTTTTCCACCTCTTAAGCCTAACTGTGTTTTATTAATGTATAATTGAATACATTAACTTTTAGATGTTAGTAAACTAATAACAAATGTTCATTATTTCTCTTGAGTAGAGGAATACAAATTTTGCACCTGTTGTTGTATAAAATGATTTTTAAAATCTCATTCAATCCCTCAGAAGTTTAAGGTTTTTTTCAAGAATTTATATATAAAATTTTTACTCAGAAGCAGATAGCTCTCAAAATGTATGGGATTTTTTTGGATTATAAATAAACTATTCCACTCACCAATATGCTGAGACATCCTACTTTCTGGTATTTTGAAATAAAAACAAAACAAAAGAATGTGACGATGAAGCAAGTGAAAATTAAAAGGGTACAGACTTTAGAAGTATCATAAGCTAAAAATAAAATGAAACAAATCTGTAAAGGAACCAAAAGCCCAGGCAGATATAATACAGTAAATTATGAGAAGCTAAAAAAATGAGGAGGTGATAAACAATAAAGTGAAAATCTCTCATAAAGCCAAAACTACTTGAATGGCAGTCAACAAAACAGAAGAAAAAAAATGACACTCATAACAAGGCAGAACTATGGAAATGCATCCCTGGGGGTAAGATAATAGAGTTGCGAATTAGTGGAGGTGGATCACCAATACTGGCAAAATAATGCCCACTAACATAATTCAAAGGACAGAGAAATTCTGTAGCTGAAGATAAAAAGTCTGAAATATATTATGGTATAGTCAAATGAGTGTCATTTCTAATAGACACACTTATTTTTCAAGAGTTGATAATATGAAGTAAAAATTTAGTATGCGAAGTTCAAATTTTCCATTTGTTGAGTAATTCATTTTTATTAAATATTTTCCAATAATTAAACTAAAGTGGTACCAGAACAGAGTAGACAATCTGAGCTTTCACTTATAAAAGCTACACATAAATATACTTACTTCTTAAGGGTATAAAAAAGGCAGAGCCTGTGTGATATTTCAATAAACAATTGGAGAAATTTTTTTTAAGAATAGATTATATACATATTGACCTCTTTGAGAACCTTTTTTTTTTTCTTTTTGTGTGTGTGTGTGGACATATGTTTTCATTTCTTTTTATTATTATTATTATACTTTAAGTTTTAGGGTACATGTGCACAACGTGCAGGTTCGTTGCATATGTATACATGTGCCATGTTGGTGTGCTGCACCCATTAACTCGTCATTTACATTAGGTATATCTCCTAATGCTATCCCTCTCCCCTCCCCCCCCCCACAACGGTTCCCAGTGTGTGATGTTCCCCTTCCTGTGTCCATGTGTTCTCATTGTTCAATTCCCACCTGTGAGTGAGAACATGCGGTGTTTGGCTTTTCGTCTTTGCGATAGTTTACTGAGAATGATGGTTTCCAGCTTCATCCATGTCCCTACAAAGGATATAAACTCATTATTTTTATGGCTGCATAGTATTCCATGGTGTATATGTGCCACATTTTCTTAACCCAGTCTCTCATTGTTGGACATTGGGGTTGGTTCCAAGTCTTTGCTATTGATACTAGTGCCACAATAAACATATGTGTGCATGTGTCTTTAGAGCAGCATGATTTATAAACCTTTGGGTACATACCCAGTAATGGGATGGCTGGGTCAAATGGTATTTCTAGTTCTAGATCCCTGAGGAATCACCACACTGACTTCCACAATGGTTGAAATAGTTTACAGTCCCACCAACAGTGTAAAAGTGTTCCTATTTCTCCACATCCTCCCCAGCACCTGTTGTTTCCTGACTTTTTAATGATTGCCATTCTAACTGGTGTGAGATGGTATTTCACTGTGGTTTTGATTTGCTTTTCTCTGATGGGCAGTGATAGCATTTTTTCATGTGTTTTTTGGCTGTATAAATGTCTTCTTTTGAGAAGTGTCTGTCCATATCCTTCGCCCACTTTTTGATGGGGTTGTTTTTTTCTTGTAAATTTGTTTGAGTTCATTGTAGATTCTGGATATTAGCCCTTTGTCAGATGAGTAGGTTGTGAAATTTTTCTCCCATTCTGTAGGTTGCCTGTTCACTCTGATGGTGGTTTCTTCTGCTGTGCAGAGGCTCTTTAGTTTAATTAGACCCCATTTGTCAATTTTGGATTTTGTTGCCATTGCTTTTGGTGTTTTAGACATGAAGTGCTTGCCCATGCCTATCTCCTGAATGGTATTGCCTAGTTTTTTTCTATGGTTTTTATGATTTTAGGTCTAACATGTAAGTCTTTAATGCATCTTGAATTAATTTTTGTATAAGGTGTAAGGAAGGGATCCAGTTTCAGCTTTCTACATATGGCTAGCCAGTTTTCTCAGCACCATTTATTAAATAGTGAATCCTTTCCCTAGTTCCTGTTTTTGTCAGGTTTCTCAAAGATCAGATAGTTGTAGATATGCGGCATTATTTCTGAGGGCTCTGTTGCATTCCATTGGCCTCTATCTCTCTTTTGGTACCAGTACCATGCTCTTTTGGTCACTGTAGCCTTCTAATATAGTTTGAAGTCAGGTAGCGTCGTACCTCCAGCTTTGTTCTTTTGGCTTAGGATTGACTTGGCAATGCAGGCTCTTTTTTGGTTCCATATGAACTTTAAAGTAGTTTTTTCCAATTCTGTGAAGAAAGTCATTGGTAGCTTGATGGGGATGGCATTGAATCTATAAAGTACCTTGGGCAGTATGGCCATTTTTACAATATTGATTCTTCCTACCCATGAGCATGGAAGGTTCTTACATTTGTTTGTATCTTCTTTTATTTCATTGAGCAGTGGTTTGTAGTTCTCCTAGAAGAGATCCTTCACATCCCTTGTAAGTTGGATTTCTAGGTATTTTATTCTCTTTGAGGCAATTGAGATCCTTATTGTGAGATTCAATTCAGAATCTGGGATTTTGTTTTGTTTTGAGATGGAGTCTCTCTCTGTCACCAGGCTGGAGTACAGTGGCACAGCCTCAGCTCACTGCAACCTCTGCTTCCCAGGTCCAAGTGATTCTCCTGCCTCAGCCTCCCAAGTAGCTGGAACTACAGGCACGTGCCACCATGCCGAGCTAACTTTTGTATGTTTTTTTAGTAGAGATGGGGTTTCACCATGTTGGCCAGGATGGTCCGGATCTGTTGACCTTGTGATTTGCCTGCCTCAGCCTCCCAAAGTGCTGGGATCACAGACGTGAGCCACTGCGCCCAGCCCAGAATCTGGGTCTTAACCAGATTTGCCATTATAAAATGAAATGAAACCAAAACCACCAGTCAATATCTGTAGCAGTGTTATTGTTGGAGAGCATGCACGTTTGTTTGAGCTTACTTATATATACAGAGCTGTTTAGCTTAATCTTTAAATTGAAAATTTTTAGTGTTTTTAGAATGTTTTAGATACTTTGATGAATAAATTTTGTGTTAACAAACTACTATTAAAAAAACTTATAGATTATATATTTCTGAATAAATTGGCAGATGTAAATGACAAAGTTATATTCACACAATCAGTTTTTCTTGCACATAATTGACATTTTGTCAAAAAGTTAAAATCCTTGAAATGTATTTTCTGTCCTCATCTTTCCCCTTTTGAGCATTTTTCCCCCCTGGGTTGGCTATAAAATATGCCCTAACTTCAGGCATCTGGTTAAGTTTTGGGTTTTCTCCCTTCCTACCAACTCATATGGATTGGTAATGATCTGATAGAAGACAATTGCCAAAAATCAGTCAAATATGTTTTAAATGAAATTTCTCCAATATAATATTCATATTAATCTTTCTTTAATTGCTGAAAGAGTAATAATTGTTCACTGACCCTTAAAATCCTAAAACTTAATCAGCTCACTGGAGTGGATGAATGGATATTTGTCTAGATGAGAATGCTTAGGGTTTACTTCAAGGAGTTCATAATAGTAAAAATGTCCTTTTCTTCCATCAGAAACTTCATCCTGGATCTTTTCATCATTGTTTTTCTACTAGCTCTCCTTCTCCAAATACACTGACTTGGAACCCCAGTTTCAGTGGTGGACTGCGTGGGTTTGATTCTAAGCTATGCTATAATGAGAAAGTAGCTCTAACCCTATTCTCATTTTCTTCACCTGTAATATAGAAATCATCATCAGACAATATAAAGATAGGGGCCAGTTATTTCACAGATAATAATAGGTGAAAATAGAGAGTATGTGGGTGTAGACATGGGAAAGTGAACTTAAATGGTTTCAGGAGTCTGTGGAAATTGTCTTTGGGTGATTCAATGTTCTCAGGGAAGCACAACCAAAAAGACATTGAGGATTTATGGGGAAGTGTTAGGGATTAGAGACAGGATAAGATACAAAACTAGGTAAATTAGAGAGTGAATAGATTGGAACATATGTAGTATGATTGATTGATAGGCGGCACTCAGATTCTCAGTTTCAAGTGGGATATTTTTCAATTTGATCCATATAGCTAGTTGCTAAAATATATGTGGGGATTTGGTGGAAATTTGGATGTAACCAGGGTTATTTTCCTGGTTAGGTTCAGCAAAGTGAAAGAGAAAGAAGGAAGTTGAAGTTTCCTGGGAATGGTTGGCCATGGAATTTAGGCAGGAGAACAGGAAACAGAGTACATCAGTAGGTAAGGGTCATTATGAATATGACAAAATATATTTTGGAGGTCTCAGAGAGATTGAAAAATTTTATGTCAGCGTATGAAAGGGAATGATTAAAGGAGGAGCTCAGAGAATGGGATGAATGAAATTGTGACTACAGAGAAGTTGCTACTATAAGTAACGACGATGCTTCACTCAGTCCCTCTGGAAGTGTGGTCCCTGTGCTAGCAGCAACAGCATCACCTGGGAACTTACTAGAACTGCATATTCTCAGGTTACACCCCCAGATCTACCAAATCTGAAATTCCAATAGCAGGTCTCAGCAATCTCTTATTGTAACACAACTGTAGGCAATTTTGAGGCACACAGTAGTTAGCACAACTGGTCTAGTGTATGTCCTATTTGGTCTTCCTCCCCGGTTCACAGTACAGAGCTCCTAAAACTTGAAATTTCCTGATAGAGATGAGAGGACCATCCTTTACTAGTCATAAGTCCCTCTTAGACATACCTGAGTTTATGCTATTGACATGACATGAGTGGTAGCTGGAGACCTGTATAGCTTCAGGGTGGGTGCTCGACACCAGAAACATGAAGGCATAACTAGATGGTTGAAACTGTCAGCCCTCTCCTCCATCACCTCTGAGGTGCTGGGAAGGTGATACTATGATATACTTAGAGGTCATATGGCAGCTTTGTGCCCCTTTTCACCATACCTGGCCCTATGTGTCTCTTCTATTTGACAGTTCCTGATTTGTATCAGACAGTAACTGTAAGCAAAGTGCTTTCTTGGGTTCTGTGCGCCATCTTAGCAAATTATAGAACCTGGGGAAGGAATCCATGGAAGTCCTAATTTATAGCCAGTTGGTCAGGAGTATGGGAGGCCCACAACTTCTCTCTAATGGTGGGGGGGCAGTCTTGTGGGCCTGACCCCTGAACTTGTGGGATCTGATGCTATCTCCAGATAGATAGTCTCAGGATTGAATTGAATTGTAGGACACCATCTGGTGTCCTGAGAGTTGAAAAATTGATTGGGGTGAGACTAAATCCACAAATTCCATCTCAGAATTTTGAGTAGAAATAATTCTGTTGGAAAACATTATCCTTAGATCAAAGGTGTTTATAGAACTGAGAGATCAAAATGGCAAAGAGTCATCTATGATTACACATTGTTGACATAAACTAGAATTAAGACAAGAGTATGTCAAAGAGAGTTACATTGAGCCAGGGATAAAAATAGTCAATCGATTGATTAGAATTTAGTAAATGTTATTTTTTGAAAAATTAATCTTTACTTAATTAATGGAGATACTTAATTATCTCCATTTAGACTTTAAATTTATAACTAAAAAATTGCTATTTTATCTATTTTCCATAAATGGAAATTGAAATAACAATAGCAAAATGCTTCGACAGAAAATCTGCCCTTCTTATTCCCAAGAGGAAGAATGGCCAACTACCTTAAGCAAAATGTTAGAAAAACTTTCATAATTTTTTAAGTTGCCATATTTTATAGCTTTGAACAAGTTGAATTATTAACTAGACTGCTCAGGGAATGGAGCCATTTAATATAATTTCCTTAATATTTAGATAAAATCTTTGTTGTTGAAAATCTTAATCATTTTTAATGATCCTGTTTTCAGAGACTGATATTAATGATTCGTGACACTCATTAAATGCAGTTATGCATCTGATTTGAAAATCATGAGGGAGATTTTTCGTCAGATAAGCATAGCAAATCTATGTCACTAGACATAATTCCCTTCTACCCATGCCACAAGCTTTATGTCTACTCTTGAATTGAGGTTTTGCTACGTTTTATTTTTGTGGTTTAAGAATTATTCATTTAACTGACGGAAAATTGTGTTTCTCTTGTTAGAATAGAGCCCAACTTATCTTTTCTATTTTTCATGGAGACATGAAAGGACGTGAATTTGGAATCAGAGAAACCTGAGTTCCACCATGCTTTCTTCCTCTTGCAAGCCATGAAATCCACAGTGGGTTAGTAGATATTACAAAACCTCTGGTCCCACCTTATTAAGATGAAAAAAAATAATACTAATTGAAAGAACGAATGTGATAATGAGAAGAAATGGTATCAATAAAGTTTCTGGAACACAGTAAGTTCTAACAAATGCTAGTTCTTTTCTTTCATTATTCAAAATCTAAATAGAAGCCAGTTGGTAATTCCAAGATAATAGTATGAAGACAAAAAAATGTTTGTTAACTGACCTTCAACCATTGAGACCTTATCTTATAGGAAGAAAATTAACAAATATTTTCTCCCTTCTACAAACGTATACCCTCTGAGAAAGAGACACAGTGTTCCAATCAAGACGATGACAGTATTCTGTGCACACATAGGAAGGGAAGAAGAATAAGAGAGAACCTTTAAAAAGACAATTTTAGATAGGCACCCTATTTTTACCGGCAATAACATTTTGTAGAACTTACAGCATACAAAATAGACCTTAAATGGACTCAGTGCTGAGAAATTTTTATAAGGCTGCTTTATTTTCTTCTATGGTAAATCTAGGAACCAATAAAATACCTTTGATAATTCACTCATTACATTCTTTCCGAACTAAACTATTTACATTATAAACTTTGTTGATATGCTTTGCTTTTGCATTAATAATTCTCATGTGTCTCATTTGTGAATACAAGAAAACTAGTTGTAAAATAAGGAAAATGTAATTTTGAAACATCTTCAAAAACAGTTGCATAATTTAACAATGTTTATAAATTTTTGTCCTTACTCTAAAACCATATATATCCTAAAAGTGATTGAAGGTAAAATGATTTTTTAAAGAACTGGATTTCTCACCATGATTTATTTTATCTCCGTACAAACTTTGGTAGTGTTATACGATGGTTAAGAAGAAATTACTTAAAAGTGAGAATAAAGATACAGCTTATTAACACTTCATTTTGTGGATGAGACCTTAAAAATCAAACTTTTCTTCTAGAGACATGTTGTAGTTGTGTATATAGAGTGTGACTAGATAGTGTCCATATTTTACTGTCATTATTTAAACAGAAACATGTAATTTGCACTTCAAAAACCTACTACAAATTAGCTGTGTCATTTGGAAGTGTCAAAATTATCTCATTAATGATCAGATAGGCTTTTGGCTCATTGTAATGAGATGTTCCTATAAACCTAATTTGAAAGACAAAGACAGAGGTTGGAGTCTTTAATTCTTTGTAAAATCAGTAGCTCTATTTAGGGAAATATTTGCAAAATACTATTTCTACTCAAGCATATTTTTATTTACAAGGAACTTCACAAATGTTGACCACAAAGATGTTTCTACCTAGCAGAAATAATTATAGTTACATATAGTTGTCTAGGAATATCTTAAACATGGGGTATTAAAATAACTTTCAAGAACAAGAAGAAATGTTATACCAGGCATTTTTGCAACTAGAGCTCTATTTCAGTGCAATATTTGTGGCAATTAAAAAACATAAATGGCTTGGATATATAGCTAAGATATCAAAGGAAAAATATGCAAAGTCATGATTATTTTATAAATGTGCCACATATGTGACTTGAGGTACAAATCCTCTAAGTTTAAAATTGTCTTTTTAAAAAAGAAATCAAAACAGACAAGTGAGCAATGAGTTATGGATATTATTATAGGGTACTCTGGTAAACTACTAAGAAGACGACTTTTGGTACCGAAAATTCCAATTAACGACATGCCCCCATTAAGGCCATGATCACTGCCAATTTTTACTCACAAAGGCTGGAGCTAGAGTTATATGGAATTCCATATGTATCTAAACCATAGATTTATCAATTATCACTGAAACACAACTTGGAGGACACTATCCAGAATTTGTAGGGCTTGGCCTTATTCTAGAGAAACATACACTAGAATAGGCAGTTGGATTTTAAATTCAGTCTTAAATCTGTTGAAAATAATGCATTTTTTCTCAGAGATGAGATATTGTTCAACTCTTTTGACTTATTTTAGATTTGGTATTATACAGTTCGAACACCATGGAGATTTACTAATATGAATGAACACATACCAAATTAGTCTTTGCTCCAGTCTCAAAATCAGATTAATTCTGGCTGCTGAAGAAATTTTCCAGTGTTAGGAGTATGCTTCAATGCTGGTGACTGGTACTACTTTCTGGTAAACTATAGATGACATGTGCGCTTTCATTGCCTAAACTCACTTTGTAGAACACCATTAAATGAAAATCATCACAAGCAATTTGGGAGGCTAAGGAGGGCAGATCATTTGAGGTCAGGGGTTTGAGACCAGCCTGGCCAACATGATGAAACCCGTCTCTACTGAAAATACAAAAACTTATCCAGGCATGGCGGGATGCACCTGGAATCCCAGCTACTTGGGAGGCTGAGGAAGGAAAATCGCCTGAACCCAGGATGTGAAGGTTGCAGTGAACAGAGATGTTGCCATTGCACTCCAGCCTGGGCAACAGAGTGAGACTTCATCTCCAAAAAAAGGAAAAAAAAAAAGAGAGAAAGAGAGAAAAAAAATTATCAGTGTTCAGTGACTCTTTTTTTTCATGCTGATAAACTATTACACAGAAAAAGAAAATTTTCATGCTGATAAACTATTACACAGAAAAAGAAATGTATCCATTATGGACAATTAAAAGGGCTATTCAATCTCTCTCATTGTATGATTCTGGTTTTCTTTCTTTTTCTTTTCTTTTTTTCTTTTTTTTTTAAGACAGGATCTCACTCTGTCACCCAGGCTGGAATGCAGTGGCTCTATCTTGGCTCACTGCAACCTCAGCCTCCGGGGTTCAAGCTATTCTCCTGCCTTAGCCTCCTGAGTAGCTAGGAATAAAGGCATTCACCACCACGCCAGCTAATTTGTGTATTTTTTTAATACAGGTGGGGTTTTGCCAGGTTGCCCAGGCTGGTCTTGAACTCCTGACCTCAAATGATCCTCCCTAAGTATTGGCATTACAGGCATAAGCCACCATGCTTGGCCTGATTCTGTTTTTTAACACAATTCTTATTACTTCTGTTTTTATTTTACAAAGCCATAGGTTTTTTTAATCTGGGAAACCTTTGAGAAAACATCCAGATAAATTTATAAATAGAAAAATAAATTCAGATACATAGAATTAAGTTTATGATCTAACAAGTGGGTGGCCATTGAAAACTTTCCAAGTTCCATAAACTGAAGTGAAAGGATCACTTTCCTGAAAATATTACAAAGGCTTGATAATTACCTGGATTGTACTAAAACCTACACAATCTAGTATATTCTATAGCAGCAATTCATAAAGACAGCTTCACTTACCATGTAGAATTTATACGTACACTAAATTTAAGGAATGCGTTACTTGCTATTGGAGTAGGATAATAAACTCCCAGCACAACTGATTTGCATGAATGCCTATTAAACTATCATTGACGTAGAAATTAAACAATATGTTAAGCTATTCAGCCCCAGATGTGTGAGAGACAGAGAAAAACTTAAAAAGAGTTCAGCTACCAAATCCCTTCCTCAATAGCTCTTTGAGTCTCAAGACAGTTTCAACCACACACACCCTCAGAGTCTTATGGTCCAAACAACATTTGACTGCGGCTCTAAAGTAAGCAAACATTTGAAAAGAAACAATGAAAGATCTATGCCTGTAGTTATGGTCAAGGAGGTCCACCTACTGGTGGGTGAGCATGGCAAGGATAGGGACTAAGCCAAATGATGAGTTTACCAAAACAGAAACAAGAGAAGTCATTGGAAGCACAGTCCAGGTTATAACAGGAGCCCAGGCACTTGATGTGGGAACCCTATTTGTCTCATTCAGCACCTAGAGTTTTAACATCCTATGAGGCACAGCTAATGCCCTTCATTATTTTTTTGTAATTGACTGCATAGTTTAGAACTATGGCTTGAATTTAATATCTATCTGTTGAATAAATGAATTAATAATGATGAAAATCTGTCCACAGGTTATGTGCAGTACTGAAGAGCAACTTCAGCTATTAAGGTATCTATCAGAAGTCTTACTCTCTAAAAAGCCTCTGGTTAGTTACTGATATACTTTGCGGATAATTTCACTCTCACAATGTAGGGGAAGCAGGAATGTTATCTGGCCTCTTGGCTCCTCTTCCTTTGCCTTCCACAGATCTCTCTGCTTGTTCACAGAGGAACACTTTCGTGGCTCTCAGTTCATTTTGCAATTCTGCTAGAATCTCATTCCATCCTCAGTTGTAACTAGCTTGTCCTTCACCCAACGCTTATTTATGGAGGGACAGAGAGCAAGAAGAAATCGCACTCTGGATTACAAAGTGGGACGACGCACCCCTTGGCCAGAATGCCTGCCTCCTATGTTCATGATGGATATTTCTAATTGATCTTGGCACTCTTTTCCATTGAGCCCATGTCCCAAATTGACCCTGAGTTAGGGAGAGGGCTCTAGAGTGGGAAAGGTGTACCCAAAACTTCCCTAATCTGACTATCAAGCCTAAACAATTAAACTTTCAATTCAACATCCCTTGTTTCTCCAACTTGGAGTGCCTGATGGTGTGAGAAGCCCCTACTCATAAAAATTCATAGATGAAGATTGTTGGTAATTTTGCCCAACCTCCTTCTTTTTTTTTTTATTATACTTTAAGTTCTAGGGTACATGTACACAACGTGCAGGTTCATTACATATGTATACATGTGACATGTTGGTGTGCTGCACCCATTAACTCATCATTTTCATTAGGTATATCCCCTAATGCTTTTCCTCCCCTAGCCCCTCACCCCACAACAGGCCCCAGTGTGTGATGTTCCCCCTTGTGATAGTTTGCTGAGAATGATGGTTTCCAGCTTCATCCATGTCCCTACAAAGGACAAGAACTCATCATTTTTATGGCTGCATAGTATTCCATGGTGTATATGTGCCACATTTTCTTAATCCAGTCTATCATTGTTGGACATTTGGGTTGGTTCCAAGTCTGCTATTGTCAGTAGTGCCTCAATAAACTCCTTCTTTCTTTGCCTAGTTACACCTCAATGCAACCTCCTGGAAGGCTAGCCTTAAGCCCAGCAGTCCAACCATGCATCTAAGCTGAGTTCTCGTCAGAGCCAACTTCAATTATAAACAACTGAGATGATGCCAGTGGCCAGAATTCCTGAGAACCCAATTTGCTGTCATCACCGCAGCTGAAACAAGGCGCTTGGCATCTAGAAAAGCTGATCTGTAGGAAATTTCCAATAGAGTTCAATTTTTTCCAAGTTTAAAGTGTACAATATCATCAAGGTCAGACACTCGAGGTAAAACTAGGCTTGTGTTTAAATATAATAAAAATATTTGAAGAATAGTAAGAGTGGTGACTACTTTCACACAGGAATGTTTCAAATAAATTGCTTTTTTCTTGTGCCTTTTAAATTTTGTGATTTGTCAATGAGATGCTGACATATTTTTAATGAAGCATGCCTTGTAAAATAATAAGTGAATGAAAACTACACAGTAATATTCACATCAACAAAGCTAGAAGAAGACTGTATGTCTCAAGAGGCTCCATCATCTACCCAGCGGCCACTTGACCAAATTAAGATCCAAATACCAAAAAGAAAAGTATTAAAATTTGTGTTGTATGCCTTATAAGACCAAACCTATAAAATGAGGGGAAACTTCACAATTACTTGTAATTTGCTCTGTGGAATTGTAACAGATGGATTATAAAGATGATTCCATGATAAACATCTAAATGTGGTTACTACCTTCTGTGCTTTCTTGCTTCATATTTTTATTGTTTTTTTCTTTATAAACAGATAATTCATTCTTTTCTAGGGCAATGCAAACTTTTCTGATGTATTGAATATGTCATAGTTTTTTTCTATTGTAGGCATCTCTAAAAAAGGTGTAGAAAACAAACAGAAAAGTCTGATGTTGGAAAGGAGAGAGAAATAAAGCTTTAAAGGAATGAAGATTAGAGCTTTCTGGAGATAAAAATTCTTAGAAGATACAAAAGGTAGTTATTGAATTAGATGAAGGTTCTTTTTCAGTTTTTCCCAGTTTTTCACCTCTTAGAAGGCACATATTCACAGCAGAAAAGAAAAAAAGGGTTAAAAAGAAAATACCTCGGTGTAATGAGACTGTAATTTATGAGGGCATTACTGAAGACTCACTTTTTCCAGCATCACTCAGCATGGTATTATGCATGTGTGTAATGTAAAGGAAAGTGAATACGCATTCTTGGATGGGTGATCAAATCGTAATTCCAGAATATAATCAGAAGCTGATTCATTATCCTCTTGAGATTTCACAATCTTTGTATCAGGAATTAAAATTCAGAAAAGGGTAAATGTATCTAATCTTTTGAAAGTTAAAAATTAGAGGATGGAGGCAACATGGTCGAATAGGAACAGCTCCAGTCTACAGCTCCCACCATGAGTGATGCAGAAGACAGGTGATATCTGCATTTCCAACTGAGGTACCAGGTTCATCTCACTGGGGAGTGCTGGACAGTGGGTGCAGCTCACTATGCATGAGCCAAAGCAGGACAAGGCGTCACCTCACCTGGGAAGCACAATGGGTCAGGGAATTCCCTTTCCTAGTCAAAGAAAGGGGTAACAGATGGAACCTGGAAAATCAGGTCGCTCCCACCCTAATACGGCACTTTTCCAACAGGCTTATCAAATGGCACACCAGGAGATTATATCCAGTACCTGGCTTGGAGGATCCTACACCCACAGAGCCTCGCTGTTGGCTAGCACAGCAGTCTGAGATCAAACTGCAAAGTTACAGTGGGGTTGGGGGAGGGGCGCCTGCCATTGCCCAGGCTTGAGTAAGTAAACAAAGCAGCCAGGAAGTTCAAACTGGGTGGAGCCCACAACAGCTCAAAGAGGCCAGCCTGCCTCTGTAGGCTCCACCTCTGGGGTCAGGGCACAGACAAACAAAATACAGCAATAACCTCTGCAGACTTACATGCCCCTGTCTGACAGCTTTGAAGAGAGTAGTGTTTCTCCCAGCATGCAGCTTGAGATCTGAGAACGGGCAGACAGCCTCCTCAAGTGGGTTCCTGACCCCTGAGTAGCCTAACTGGGAGGCAGCCCCCAGTAGGGGCAGACTGACATCTCACATGGCCGGGTACCCCTCTGAGTCAAAACTTCCAGAGGAACGATCAGGCAGCAGCATTTGCAGTTCACCAATATCCATTGTTCTGCAGCCACCGCTGCTGATACCCAGGCAAATAGTGTCTGGAGTAGACCTCCAGTAAACTCCAACAGACCTGCAGCTGAGGGTCCTGACTGTTAGAAGGAAAACTAACAAACAGAAAGGACATCCACACCAAAACCCCATCTGTATGTCACCATCATCCAGGACCAAAGGAAGATAAAACCACAAAGATGGGAAAAAACAGAGCAGAAAAACTGGAAACTCTAAAAATCAGAGTGCCTCTCCTCCTGCAAAGGAATGCAGCTCCTCACCAGCAATGGAACAAAGCTGGACGGAGTATGACTTTGATGAGTTGAGAGAGGAAGGCTTCAGAAGATCAAAGTACTCCGAACTAAAGGAAGAAGTTTGAACCAATGGCAAAGAAGTTAAAAACTTTGAAAAAAAAATTAGACGAATGGATAACTAGAAAAACAAATGCAGAGAAGTCCTTAAAGGACCAGATGGAGCTGAAAACCATGGCACAAGTACTACATGACAAATGCATAAGCCTCGGTATCCAACGTGATCAACTAGAAGAAACAGTATCAGCGATGGAAGACGAAATGATTGAAATAAAGCATGAAGAGAAGTTTAGGGAAAAAGGAATAGAAGAAATGAACAAAACCTCCAAGAAATATGGGACTATGTGAAACGACCAAATGTATGTCTAATTGGTGTATCTAAAAGTGACAGGGAGAATGGAACCAAGTTGGAAAACACTCTGCAGGATATTATCCAGGAGAACTTCCCCAATCTAGTAAGGCAGGCCAACATACAAATTCAGGAAATACAGAGAATGCCACAAAGATACTCCTCGAGAAGAGCAACTCCAAGACACATAATTGTCAGATTCACCAAAGTTGAAATGAATGAAAAAATTTTAAAGGCAGCCAGAGAGAAAGGTCAGGTTACCCTCAAAGGGAAGCCCATCAGACTAAATGCTGATCTCTCCTCAGAAACTCTACAAGCCAGAAGAGAGTGGGGGCCAATATTCAACATTCTTAAAGAAAAGAATTTTCAACCCAGAATTTCATATCCAGCCAAACTAAGCTTCATAAGTGAAGGAGAAATAATATACTCCACAGACAAGCAAATGCTGAGAGATTTTGTCACAACCAGGCCTGCCCTAAAAGAGCTCCTGAAGGAAGTACTAAACATGGAAAGGAACAACTGGTACCAGCCACTGCAAAAACATGCCAAATTGTAAAGACCATCAAGGCTAGGAAGAAACTGCATCAACTAACGAGGAAAATAACCAGCTAACATCATAATGACAGGATCAAATTCACATATAAAAATACTAACCATAAATGTAAATGGGTTAAATGCTCCAATTAAAAGGCACAGACGGGCAAATTGGATAAAGAGTCAAGAACCATCAGTGTGCTGCATTCAGGAAAGCCTTCTCACCTGCAGAGACACACATAGGCTCAAAATAAAGGGATGGAGGAAGATCTACGAAGCAAATGGAAAACAAAAAAAGGCAGGGGTTGCAATCCTAGTCTCTGATAAAACAGACTTTAAACCAACACAGATCAAAAGAGACAAAGAAGGCCATTACATAACGGTAAAGAGATCAATTCAACAAGAAATAACTATCCTAAATATATATGCAGACTATACAGAAGCACCCAGATTCATAAAGCAAGTCCTTAGTGATCTAGAAAGTGACTTAGACGCCCACAAAATAATAATGGGAGACTTTAACACCCCACTGTCAACATTAGACAGATCAACGAGACAGAAAGTCAACAAGGATATACAGGAATTGAACTCAGCTCTGCGCCAAGCAGACCTAATAGACATCTACAGAACTCTCTATCCAAAATCAACGGAATATGTAGTCTTTTCAGCACCACACCACACCTATTCCAAAATTGACCACATAGTTGGAAGTAAAGCACTCCTCAGCAAATGTAAAAGAACAGAAAGTTTAACAAACTGTCTCTCAGACCACAGTGCAATCAAACTACAACTCAGGATTAAGAAACTCACTCGAAACCACTCAACTACATGGAAACTGAACAACCTGCTCCTGAATGACTACTGGGTACATAAGGAAATGAAGGCAGAAATAAAGATATTCTTTGAAACCAACAAGAACAAAGACACAACATACCGAAATCTCTGGGACACATTCAAAGCAGTGTGAAGAGGGAAATTTACAGCACTAAATGCCCACAAGAGAAAGCAGGAAAGAAACAAAATTGACATCTTAACATCACAATGAAAAGAACTAGAGAAGCAAGAGCCAACACATTCAAAAGCTAGCAGAAGGCAAGAAGTAACGAAGATCAGAGCAGAACTGAAGGAAATAGAGACACAAAACACCCTTCAAAAAATCAATGAATCCAGAAGCTGTTTTTTGAAAAGATCAACAAAATTGACAGACCACTAGCAAGACCAATAAAGAAGAAAAGACAGAAGAATCAAATAGATGCAATAAAAATTGACAAAGGGGATATCACCACCGATCCCACAGAAATACAAACTACAATCAGAGAATACTATCAACACCTCTACAAAAATAAACTAGAAAATCTAGAAGAAATAGATAAATTTCTTGACACATATACTCTCCCAAGACTAAACCAGGAAGAAGTTGAACCTCTGAATAGACAAATAAAACACTCTGAAATTGAGGCAATAATTAATAGCTTACCGACCAAAAAAAGTCCAGGACCAGATAGATTCACAGCCGAATTCTACCAGTGGTACAAGGAGGAACTGGTACCATTCCTTCTGAAATTATTCCAATCAATAGAAAAAGAGGGAATCCTCCCTAACTCATTTCATGAGGCCAGCATCATCCTGATACCAAAGCCTGGCAGAGACAAAACAAAAAAAAAGAGAATTTTAGACCAATATCCTTGATGAACATTGATGCAAAAATACTCAATAAAATACGGGCAGACCAAATCCAGCAACATATAAAAAGCTTATCCACCATGATCAAGCGGGTTTCATCCCTTGGATGCAAGGCTGGTTCAACATATGAAAATCAGTAAACGTAATCCAGCATATAAACAGGACCAAGGACAAAAACCACATGATTATCTCAATAGATGCAGAAAAGGCATTTGACAAAATTCAACAGCCCTTCATGCTAAAAACTCTCAATAAATTAGGGATTGATAGGACGTATCTCAAAATAATAAGAGCTATCTATGACAAACCCACAGCCAATATCATACTGAATGGACAAAAACTGGAAGCATTCCCTTTGAAAACTGGCACAAGACAGGGATGCCCTCTCTCACCACTCCTATTCAACATAGTGTTGGAATTTCTGGCCAGGGCAATTAGGAAGGAGAAGGAAATAAAGGGCATTCAATTAGGAAAAGAGGAAGTCAAATTGTCCCTGTTTGCAGATGACATGACTGTGTATGTGGAAAACCCCATCGTCTTAGCCTAAAATCTCCTTAAGCTAATAAGCAACTTCAGCAAAGTCTCAGGATACAAAATCAATGTGCAAAAATCACAAGCATTCTTATACACCAATAACACACAAACAGAGAGCCAAATCATGAGTGAACTCCCATTCACAATTGCTTCAAAGAAAATAAAATACCTAGGAATACTACTTACAAGGGAAGTGAAGGACCTCTTCAAGGAGAACTACAAACTACTGCTCAATGAAATAAAAAAGGATACAAACAAATGGAAGAACATGCCATGCTCATGGGTAGGAAGAATCAATATCGTGAAAATCGCCATACTCTCCAAGGTAATTTATAGATTAAATTCCATCTCCATCAAGCTACCAATGACTTTCTTCACAGAATTGGAAAAAACTACTTTAAAGTTCATACGGAACCAAAAAAGAGCCCACATTCCCAAGTCAATCCTAAGCCAAAAGAACAAAGCTGGAGGCATCATGCTACCTGACTTCAAGCTATACTACAAGGCTACAGTAACCAAAACAGCATAGTGCTAGTACCAAAACAGAGATATAGACCAATGGAACAGGACAGAGCCCTCAGAAATAATGCCACATATCTACAAGTATCTGATCTTTGACAAACCTGACAAAAACAAGAACTAGGGAAAGGATACCCTATTTAATAAATGGTGCTGGGAAAACTGGCTAGCCATATATAGAAAGCTGAAACTAGATCCCTTCCTTACACCTTATACAGAAATTAATTCACGATGGATTAAAGACTTACATGTTAGACCTGAAACCATAAAAACCCTAGAAGAAAAACCAGGCAATACCATTCAGGACATAAACATGGGCAGAGACTTCATGTCTAAAACACCAAAAGCAATGGCAACAAAAGACAAAATTGACAAATGGGATCTAATTAAACTAAGCAGCTTCTGCACAGCAAAAGAAACCACTATCAGAGTGAACAGGCATCCTACAGTATGGGATAAAAGTTTTGCGACCTCCTCATCTGAAAAAGGGCTAATATCCAGAATCTACAATGAACTCAAATGAATTCACAAGAAAAAAACAAACAACCCCATCAAAATGTGGGCAAAGGAAATGAACAGACACTTCTCAAAAGAAGACATTTTGCAGCCAAAAGACACATGAAAAAATGCTCATCATCACTGGCCATCAGAGAAATGCATATCAAAACCACAACGAGATACCATCTCACACCAGTTAGAATGGCGATCATTAAAAAGTCAGGAAACAACAGGTGCTGGAGAGGATGTGGAGAAATAGGAAAACTTTTACACTGTTGATGGGACTGTAAACCAGTTCAACCATTGTGGAACTTGGTGTGATGATTCTTCAGGGACCTAGAACTAGAAATACCATTTGACCCAGCCATCACATTACTGGGTATATACTCAAAGGATTATAAATCATGCTGCTATAAAGACACAAGCACATGTATGTTTATTGTGGCACTAGTCACAATAGCAAAGACTTGGAGCCAACACAAATGTCCAACAATGATAGACTGGATTAAGAAAACGTGGCACATATACACCATGGAATACCGGGCAGCCATAAAAAATGTTGAGTTCATGTCCTTTGTAGGGACATGGATGAAGCTAGAAACCATCATTCTCAGCAAACTATTGCAAGGAAAAAACCAAACACCACATGTTCTCACTCATAGGTGGGAATTGAACAATGAGAAAACATGGATACAGGAAGGGGAACATCACACACTGGGGACAGTTGTGCAGTGGGGGGAGGGGGGAAGGATAGCATTAGGAGATATACCTAATGCTAAATGACGAGTTAATGGGTGCAGCACACCAACATGGCCCATGTATACATATCTAACAAACCTGCACGTTGTGCACATGTACCCTAAAACTTAAAATATAATAATAAAAAAAATTAACAGAAGATTTTATACAGATAAATTTGCTTTGCATCATGATCAGCACTAAAGTGCATCATAGATTTAAACCCTATTTACACAGTTAAAACAATGTAACCAAATATGCAATATATTGTGTAACATTCTACAAGATGCTTTCAAACATGCAAACTGACCTTTAAAACAATTTTGCATAAAAGAACATTTCTAGGTAAGAGAAAAGACAGACATGTGGTTAGGGCAAAATATTTCTGTTCAAATTACAAAATACTGAATGACAAATCACAGGATAGAAAAAAATTATATTGTACCTGGAATTTGAAGTCTTCAAATTTATTTAGATATATGTATCTATATGTATTAATAGAGACATATTTAACTGATTATAAGTTTAGAACATTTATATTTTGAAGATGTCATTCTTTAAAAATTATTAATATCTACAGGATTGCTGCAGATATTTTAATTTTAAACAAATATTTTTCACTAATGTGACCAGTATTTATAACCTATTTCATTGAACAGACATTTCAAGTTTCTTTTAGAGTTAATTTTTAAAAATTAAGTATCACACATATTTCTGAAGTACTACCTTAAAAAATAATACTCTTTCCTAGCTTTTCATATAGTTAAACATTTTCATAATGACTAAAAAGATAAAAATAAATTAACAACCATAATTAAATTAGAATTCTACTTTTTATATAAGATGAAATACTATATAAAATGTCCAGAAAATCTAGTGTTAATGAGGCTGTGCAGCCTGGACATTTGATGTCTCATCTGTGGGAATGTGAACTAACCCAACCATTCTGAATAATTATTGGCTCTGTGTGTTAACAGTCTAGAGTCCTGAAACAAGGATCTTAATTCTAAAATAAAATCCTATTCTAAGAATATACCAAGGGTTGATAATCAAGGAAGTTTCACAGTTATAGAGAAGAAACTTCATCCTAGCATTATATATGTAGTCATCCATATAAACCAGATAGTGTTGAATGAAACTGTGGAAAAACAAAGAGCCTACAGAATATGTTTCTCTTTGTGTACAACTGTAAATGTACACATCTATCCATGTAAAATTTCACATCTCAGGAGGATAGGTACCAACATGTTAACATGCTATAGCTATAAGATAAGAAATTTTACTTTCCTACAATTTCATACACACACACACACTCTCAGACACATACACACACACCGAGGATATATACGCACACAAATATATATATAAACATACATGTTTATATAGGTACACACACACATACATATACACTGATGGTCAACAACTTATAATGGTTCAATTTATGATTTTTTTTACTTTATGATGAAGCAAAAGTGATAGCTTTGAATAGAATATAACCATTCTGCTTTTCACTTTCAGTACAATATTCAACAAATTACATAAAATATCCAATGCTTTATTATAAAGTGGGTTTTGTATTCAATGATTTTGCCCAATTGTCAGCTGATATAAGTGTTCTGAGCACATTAAAGGTATGCCAGGCTAAGCTGTGATATTCTGTAAGTGAGGTATTAAATACATTTTTAACTTACTGTATTTTCAATTTATAATCAGCTTATCAAGACTTAACCTCATTGTACATTGAAAAGTATTTGTATTGCATTAAACATGTTATATAATATTTTTAATTGAAATTACTTGCAACTTTTGAAAAAATGTAATGAAATAATGTGCTTTGCTATTGGTTAAAATGTTTTTGGGCAGGGTCAGTGGCTTACACCTGTAATCCCAGCACTTTGGTAGGCTGAGGTGGGCAGATCACTTGAGGTCAGGAGTTTGAGACCAGCCTGGCAAACAGGGTGAAACCCCATCTCTACTAAAAATACAAAATTATCTGAGTGTGGTGGCATGTGCCTGTAATCCCAGCTACTAGGGAGGCTGAGGTGTGAGAATTGCTTGAACTAGGCAAGCAGAGGTTGCAGTGAGCCAAGATCACACCATTGTACTCCATCCTGGGCAACAGAGTAAGATTCTGTCAAAAAAAAAAAAAAGAAAGAAAAGAAAAAAGTTTTTAGCTTCAAGTAACAGAATAGTCAACTAACTGAAGAAAAAAACAAGGAGCAACTTTTACCAAATCACACAACAAATAGATGGTATCAATGCTTAGTTAATTCAACATGATCCACTTCTTTGTGATTCTCTTATCTTTCTACCTATGTTTTCAAGATGGCTATGGCATTCCCAGCCTTACAACTTCATGTGACAAAATCCAATGGCAGGAAATAATAAGTGATGGCATTTTGGAACTTTAAGGAAAAACTTTAAGGATTGGAAAACAGGGATGCCATATGTCCAGTAACATGGGATAGCCGCTCCTAATTAAGGATTGCTGCATGTCCTGAAAGACTTTCTAATGTAATGAAGGCGAATAACCTGCTTTGTTTAATTATACAATCCCAAATGTAACTGCCTAAGTGCCAAATACTTTTGCATGGTTTTAATATGCCATGAATTTTGCAAGAACGAAACTACTATGTATATGAGAAAAGACGGTAGATTTTTTCATTTAGATACTCATTTCAGAGTCTCAATAGGAAAAATAGAACACACACAAACTAAGATAATTTAACATGGGTTTATTTCCAAAGAGACTACTTACGAAAATGTCAGGGGAGAAGGGTGAAGGAATCACAGAAATCACACCCCACAATAACTCTGGGTTAGTAGCAGCAGGCAGAGTTCTTGAGAGTAAACTGCCCTGATCACACAAGGAAACACTAATTTTCTTATGAAAAAGATTGGTCAAGGAGACCTAGCAGAGAGGGAGTTTAGGCAATAACCCCCAATCCCATTACCTCCTTCCCTTTAATCTCATGAACATGCATAGAAGGCAATGAGCAAGGGAACCGATTGAGATATTCAATATGGACCATTCCACTTGGACAAAAGCCAGTAAATAGGGGAGTATAACAGGGGACAAGGGCCAAACAGAAAGTATCTATTACATTTACCAATGCAGATCAATCATGTCAACAATAGAAATGGCAGTTTTGGCATTTGGTTATTCAATGAAACTATATCTGTAGCTTTTTATTTACAATGTATCAAAGTATTGGTGAAGATATGAAAATTTCATTATGTTCTATTGTATTTGATATGTAAATGTTCTGGCACAATTATATACATTTTGGATTATATATTGACAGTAAATTATTTCTCCTTTGTTAGCTTCAGCATAACATTAATATTTTCAACAACTTGAATGCATACATTGTGTTCTCACTAATAGTTTAGAATAGCGAAGGGGTCTTTGAAGAGTTTCTTGTGAAGTAGAGGCATTGGGTCAGACAGAGCTGAAAACCATTGGCTTAGATTAATCACTATTTATCCTAGG
This sequence comes from Homo sapiens, assembly GCF_000001405.40. Taxonomy (NCBI): domain Eukaryota; kingdom Metazoa; phylum Chordata; class Mammalia; order Primates; family Hominidae; genus Homo; species Homo sapiens. The sequence goes on along the minus strand of NC_000024.10, from coordinate 11,264,660 downwards.
GCTGAAGAGGGCCAATTGAAGACACAAATGTAAAATCCCTCTATGACCTTGGAGATCTATGAACCAGAGAAATAGAGACTGGTTCTTAAGGAGGTAATAAGTGTGCCTTCTATGGTTTATAATAATATGCATTGTCTTAACAATCGAATACTTAAAAGTTAATGCCCTCATAATATGCAAAATTTTTAATAAGCACATTGGTCCCTGTGTTCAAGTAGTTGGTAATCAAATTAGTGAAGTATGGTAAGTCTTTTGAAGAGCATTAAACAGCAGAGAATGTAAGAAATTTGTCTCTATAGTAGTGTGGGTCTTCTGTGTTTCCTAAGGGCACATTCATATGATCTAATAACTGAGCAGAGAGAAGCCTAAAGGATAGTTTATGGTTTCATTTGTTTGTTTTTGCTAATTAACATACATTTCTAGATTAAAAGTCAACTATCTTTTCCTTGGGAGTCAACTATAGGAGAAGATAGTGAAGAGGCAAGGAAAATTACAGCAGCTCGACAGCTTTACCCTGGAAATATCTGTATTGTGTATCGCTATAGCCTACCTTTATCAGTCACATAACAATGCTAAAGAGACAAGCTTGGCACCATTGCTCTTAGTGAATCCCTGCTGCCAGCCTTTTATCCTAAGTGCTCTCCAAAGACCCATTTAATGGACCTTCCTGAAATTGTGCTCAGGATCAATATGAGGCTCATTGATACAGCATTTTTGGAACTCACAATTTACTTATTTATTAAACCTGGGATAGTTGCCCGACTTCTATCATCTGAAATCCTCTCCATGACTTTCAAAATTACCAACATTGGTTCCAACATCATTCCTAGAAAACATTTCAGTGGAGTATATTTATCTGACATTTGACTGTATTTATAGCAGTAAGAATCTATGATGATTCCTCCCAAAATAATCCCACAATTACCCATTTTGGGTCACCTTTGAGGGTTTTACCCTTACTATCAGAGATCTGTTCTATACATTTGAGTCTTAGAAATAATTACTAGCTTCTCTCTGAATTTAACTGAAGTTCCTTACTTTTATTCAACCTGTTACCCAAATTACATAATGTATTGAAGGCTAAAAACTGTCCAAATTTCTGATTACATTTAGATAAAAATGGGAATATGACTTTTTCTTTTTCTAACTTGGCAAAGATTATGTTTTTTTTCATGAAGAAATATAGGCATATTTAAACACTTAGGATCTGAGAATTTGAAATACATGAAACTTAGCAAGTGGTCTTTAAATAGTTTTCATTTCTAAATTATAGTACATACCATTGAATGCTACAGAAGGAAAGACAATGAGGGATTACTCATAAACATTGCCTTTATGATATCCTTCCAAAGAAAACCAATGCCCCTGTGCTTGGACTCATAAAGCAGAAATGCTCACCTTGCTTTTATGTCACTAACAAACAATTGTGCCTAGTCAATTAGTTCTAACGCATATAAGCCATCTTGAGAGTGGAGCCCCTAGGGAAAACTACAAATGGAAAATTCATTGATTTTTGACTTTGCTTTCCTATGGATTAAATTTAACACTTTCTTGTAAATCTCTCCCTTTACAGATCATATGTGATAAATAGTTATCCAACTTTCTAGATGTCCACCCAGAGCTGCTTCCATATGAAGAGATGGAAACGGATTCTGTGCATGATACTGGTTAGGATAGGAAACTGTTTTTTTAAAGGAGATTTTTAAAATTTGTTTTCCTTGTACACATAGCCTTAATATTGTGTTGCTAACTGCCCTCTGGGAACAAAGTCATACCAATCACAAATACATTGCCTAAAGCGGGAGGTTTATTACTCTGCTGTGAATTCCATCTCCTATTATGTTTTAAAGATGCTACAAACTTGAGACATTACTATGTAGATGACATTCCCAGCAAATCCCCAAACAACACTTAATGAGATTTCAAATACCAGGATCATGAAACAGTAAGAGATATAAGGAAATAAAGAAAAGCACAGTATATGTGTAGAAGGCATTAAAACACAAATTTTATAATTATGAATGCATATAATAAGGAACAAATTTTATTCTAAATAGCAATTAAATCAGAACTACGATACAGGGAATACAAGTGAATATTAAACCATTGTACCAACAATAACAGAGCCCTTTTTCTGCTGCGTGATGGAATTTAGTGTTTACTAAGGAAGAAAAAAATGCAAGATATCTTAAATTTGGTACTTTCCAACAAACTTAAGAAATGTGTACACACTTGAGGAGACTTAAGAAGTCTCTGACTAAAACACTAGAAAAGAAAAGCAGTGAAAAGCCAAATAAGTATTACTCAACAATAACAACATTTGTTACTATTATATTAATATTAAACACACTATTAAGCAACAACATTTCAGTTACTCACTGAGCCCAAAATCATTTTTCATGAACCATTCACAACACTGATAACCTATTGAAAAATGATTGAAAACAAAAAAGCTTATTGCTTTCCAAGTCCTTTTAAAGCCTTCTCATGTGTCATTTCATATAATCCTTATAAAGAATCTATAGAGTATATACTGACTTTATCTCTGTACAGAAAAGAAAACTGAGTCATATTCAGAATAAGTTGCAAAGTTCCCCAGATAGTCAGTGTCATAGGTGAAATTTGATGTCACAGTGTAGTCAAGTGTAATTTAGGGAAGCAGTACAAATGATGGTTGAAAGCACAGGTTCTGGGGTAAATAGCCTGAAGTCAAAATCTAGTTCATATCCTCAGTGGCTGTGTGATCTTGGGAAATTTCCCTTAACTCTCTGTGTCTTGGTTTTATAATTTCATCCATTTTTGCCTCTCATATGAGCTGGTGAGCATTACACTAGTTTATGCTTCTAGGACACTGAAAACAGTACCTGGCTCTTGATAAATATTAACAATTTTGTTTCATTTTCTTCACCTTGAGTATTTCATGGCCAGATGGAAATCAATGTCAATATGAAAAAATGTTCATAATTCAGCAGGAAGAAATACAAAACCATATAAACAACTTTGTTTTACTGGCAAGTGTATTTGGAAGCTATGTTGAATTGAGAAGGGGAAGCCTCTAAGGATATTGATTAATCAATAACCAAAAGCTGATGAGACTTGTCTGGAATTTTTTTTTGGAGACTCTGAGACGTAAAATTTTGACAAACTAAGGAGATGAATTGAATAGTGTGGAAGAGACATTTTCTGAAGTCAGCAGAGAAAGGAGAGACAAATATGGTAAGGGGAAAGTGGTATGAAGTAATAATATCTATGAAGTGTTTTCTAAAGTATAACACATGTAAGTTGTGTTAAATGTAATCTATCATGATTATATCATTACTGTCTGAATGACACAACTATATCCACCTCAGTTAGCCACATAAGATCAATTTTCCTATACCTTAGAGAATACCAGTAACCTCCAGTTCAGAAACAGCATAAATACCTATCCACGGCTGAGCAGACACATACAGCTAGCTACCAGATGAAATGGGCTATATCTTCAAATACTATTGTTTTCCGTTTTTTAACTGTGGCAAAACACACTCAACAATTTGCATCTTAACCACTGTTAAGTATAAAATTCAGTGTCATTAAATGTATTCACAATGTTGTGCAAGCATCACCACCACCCATCTCCATAATTATTTTTGCCTTGTAAAATTGAAATCCTGTACCCGTTAAAAAGTGACTCCCCATTCCCCACCCTCCCAGGGCAACTACAGCTTTACTTTCTGTCTTGATGAATCATACAATATCAAATGGAATTTTTAAGATATTTAAAATCTTTTGTCTGGAAGCGAAGTGGAAGTTAATATCAATGGCTATGCCTTCAGTGAGTTCTCAGACCACATTACAATGTAGTTAACTATTTATCTTTTATTACATTCTAGATCTATTATTTCTTTCTGGCACAAAAATATCTTCTTTGTACATTATGGCATTTACCTCTATCTCCACACCTTTATGCATCTGTCATCCACAGATCATCAGCCTCTTGCTTAGTCTCCATTTAATGACAATTTCTATTTAGTATACAACAGTCCTTCCCCCTGCAATGCAATTTCTTCACTCTGAAAAGCTCTAACTCTAGCTACTGGTCTGTGTTATGTACTCATCCCTAGAGCCATGTCTTCAAATATTTCTCAGAACTTCTTCACATCTAAAAATCTAGGATTAATTTATTGCTCTCTGATTATATTCTTCTGGTATTTCAAGTATCATGTATAACTTCTTCATCTGCCCTTGCTTTTCTTCTACATCAAGATGTCAAGTTCATGGACTTCCCAATTAATCATTTTAAAAATTTATTTCAAGCCTTTATGAGTCACTACAATATACATATGTTCTCAGGAATTATGGCCCTACAATTTGTATGTGAGAATAGTTCCTGTGTCAGGCATTATGGACATAAGTGTAAATAAATTCTAGCCCCTGCCTACAAGGAGCTAATTCCCAGCCTAAGACAGATTGCAAGCCAATAATTTGCAGAGTTGTAAGTCTAAGGAAACTGATTGGGATGTACCTAATTCGAGCTGGGAATATCAGAAGAAAAACTTTTTGAAAGTCATGAGACATGAGCTGTGCCTAAAAGAATAAAAAATAGAGAGAGAAATAAGAATAAATAAATTAGGGAATGAGATGGGTATAATAGTAGAAAAAGGAAATCTCTTTAGATAAAACAGGTTATGAGAGTATATAGGAGGCTTATTAACTCAGTGTGGTTGGAGAAAACAGGTTAAAAGGAGAAATAGGAGAGACAGTTACAAAGAGAATCAAATGTGTTAGTAGTTGAGGGAAAAGCAAATATTGAATACGACCCATAGATCTTGGATAACCCAGTGTTTGGTAGTAGCTTACATAAAAGGTTGTGACAAAATAACCAGAGATATGCGGAGAAAATAATAACTGAGTGTTATATTTCCTCTCAGTAGAAACCTAAAAAAAAAATGTAATCACACCCTGATCTTTTAACTGACCTCCACTTATCTTGCTGCCTGGATTGGTATACATATTCCTCTGCCTGAAAAATTGCTCAACACTTTTGAAAGGTTGTTTCTCACTGTTACACCCAGGCATTTCTGCTAACACCAGCTGAGTTGTAAGGGGCCCTCCAGGAGGCCTAGGTTGTTCCCCTTATCACATACATTATTGTCATTTATTAATTTACCCAGAACATCTAATGAAACACTATGGACACCAATAACATGAATACAAATATAGCTATAGACCCTAAAAAGTAAATTGATGTCTCTTGAAAGGCTGTCATGTCTTAGATGCTAAATTTGGAGTATGTGTTTCTAATAAATAAATAGCATGCTTTAATAATTCTGATTTATGATTGTAATATAGGGGAGCAGCTCTTATTTCGCCCTTAATCTTAAAAAACAATTAGCCAGGTGTGGTGGTGGGCACCTGTAGTCCCAGCTACTCAGGAGGCTGAAGCAGAAGGATGGTGTGCACCTGGGAGGTGGAGCTTGCCGTAAGCCAAAATTGTGCCACTGCACTCCAGCCTGAGTGACAGTGTGAGACTCTGTCTCAAAAAAAAAAAAAAAAAAAATCATACAAGGAGTAAATGATGATTTAGCATAAAACACAACTTTAGCCTAAAACACAGATCATAGGGCTCAAACTTTGTTATTTTATGGGATTATACTAACCAGTTATTATTCAAAATTTTCCATTTCAAAAGAAGAAATAATGGTCTGGGAAAATTGCAATTGCTTATACAGAAGAATGGAGGAAGCTTTTTGAGAACAACAGTTCTAATGATCTTCCTTATCACTGGTTCCAAAACCAAGCCCATGGAAGGCCTGCATGGGGATAATGTGGAGAACATGTAAAAGAAATACACATCACCAGCTCCTCAACTCAGAGCTCCAAGGGAATGGCTAAGGAAGCTGTATTTTCCTAAGAAATTTGAGACTGTTTTGACTTACAATAAATCCTGGTCAATCATATGTATGTATACACACACACCCACACACCCACACACACAGACGGTGTTGTCAGTGAAGCCTCTAACAATGCATCTTGACTGGACAGATTTGACAATTAAAATGGCTGGAAGAAAATAGGCTTCATAAGTGGCACTTACTATTCACATTACACATTAAAAGGACATCTCCTAAATTAAATCTTGTCTATGATAAAAGGGCAGAAAATCATGACCCAAGGCTCATTTATAATGGCAGAAATGTTCAAGGTAGACCAATGCTTGCTATGTTTAGGAACTGACAATAAAGTACAGGTCTTTATAATCTACCATTTTGCCTCATTTGACACCAGGTGACCTTCATAATGCAGGCAATAGAGAATTGCAAGATTTGTTAGAGATTTCAGGTCTTTGGAAAGCTATGCTCTTTCACAAGAACAGCCATGGAAACAGGAAGAAAGTCAATTCTCACTTAAGGTAATCAGAATTTACAAATATTCCTTTCTTCATTGAAATCTCAATAGGCACTTCAATATTATATTTAATTAATTCTTTTGTTACAATCATGCATCACATAACAACATTTTGGTCAAGGATAGTGCACATGTATGAGAGTGGTGCAATAAAATCATAACACTGTACTTTTACTGTACCTCTTGTATGTTTAGACATGTATAGATACACTTACTGTATAGATATTAGTAACTATAGATATACTTAACTGTTGTGTTACAATTGCCTACAGTATTCAGTACAGTAACATGCTGCACAGGTTTGTAGCCTAGGAGGAATAGGCTATACCACCTAACCTAGGCATATAATCAGCTATAGCATCTAGGTTTGTGTAAGTAAACTCTGTGATGTTCATACAATAATAAAATTGTCCAGCAATGCATTGCTCAGACACACCCCTGTCATTAAGTGACACATGACTGTATTAGTTAACACTATGGGAACATCATGGGAAATGGACACTGCAGCTCCACCATAAATAGAAACTGTTTACATCAAAAAACACATAAAAGCATAGTTTCAAGATTACAATTCCTTCCAGATATTTCATTTAGTATCTCCACAGATCACTCACTGCCTGAATAGCATTCTTGTGTCTCCACTGCCTCACATTTGATTTCAGGTCATTCCATCAATTGTCAAAGACGCATCTAACATTAACTTTCCAACTACTGGTTTGGATTCTGTCAACATTGTCATCCTGGGCCACAACAACACAAAAGGCTAACTCAGTGAGGTAACATAGACACTGATCAGTGAGATTTTGCTGATGGGTGGTACCATTTTTTACTAAGATCAAGGGTATTCATACCTTCAGGCATCTAGATAACATTGAAAAGGGCAGGTTCATAGATAAAAAGGGAAAGAGGAAGGGGTTTTGCAGTATACGTGAGCTACCGTGTCTCCTGTTTAACCTTCGTCTGAAAAGATTCAAAGTGCAGGTGCCATGAATGCCTCTTTAATAGTTGAAGGTCGATTGATTTTCTGGGCTACATTTCCCAGCATTCAAATTGCTAAATGCATATAAACTACTACTGAATATTTATTACCTGGATTTGTGCTTTTGAGTGACCTTATCTATAGTTATGTGCTTCAGTGATCCAACTTGGGGTGGACTCCAAACTTTGATAAATTAAAGACCCTGCTTATTCCTTGAGTAATGCTATACTGACAACTGATTTAGTGAATGCCACTGTGAAAATAATAAACCTCTTGGTGAATATATTTAGACATGTCTTGTAACCTGTACACATCTTAACCAGGGATGTTACTTGGTCTTTCTATGTTCAGGAGTGTGTGGAGATAGAAAAACATACAGGATTGTAATTGTTTCCTGTGAGACTAACAGAAAATTCAAGCTAGTGAAGTATGTTTATGCATGGCACACTTCTCACCAGCAATTTTAGGAAGTTCTACCCACAATCCATGTCTTTTGATATGTGTGTTACCTTGGAGAGAGAAAAAGAAACTCTGAACACAAGCACGAAATACTTTAGAATTTTATCTAGAGTTGGACTTGTCCAAAAGATTTTGTATAAACTTGCTTGATGAGCAACTGTTGTCCACTGGTACCTTCACTGTACAATCCATACACAACCAAACTTCACAACTGGACACCTAAATTTGCACTTTGTTTGGTAAAGTTGAATGAAAAATGTTGTCTTTTAAGCTTATGCTCTCTTATGAAAACTGTTATTAGATGAATTTTACTCCAAGATATGCCAGTTAAGAAATAACTTCCAATTCAATTTCACCAGCTGCCTGTGGGTGGACTAATTATTCATACATCACACTTACTCTGGTGGTGAAATGCCTCAAAAGAAGGTCTCCAGAGTGTTGCTCTACCTAGAAGGACAAGAATGAAGAGACGTAAAAATCATTCATTAAGAAGGAAGATTTTCCTTGCCTAGATTTTCACTTGTAGGATCCAATTAATTTTATCATTTAATATTTTTTCCTGTTGGGCATTCATTTTACAAATTTGTAAGGTCAGTATAAATGGAAACTTTTGGAAACCGAACTGTAAATATTCTGTAGACATTGACAGAAATAGCTATTTGGAGCTGTGCTTTTGCCAACTAGACACTCTGAGAAAATCTGTGAGAGGATATTTTCAGGAAGTCATTGAACCCCCTAAAAATCAAGTTTATTGCTTTTACCATAAATATAAGTAATTAATTTATTATCAACCACTTTCAATATTCCAATAAGTAACCTTTATTGTTTATTTCATTGACATGATCTACATAGACACACAATTTATCTTCTTTTGCGATACATTCAGAAAATTTGCTGCCTGGAAAAGACATGTTTTAAAATTACCACCTGTTTGATGACTTTTTTTTGTACTTTAAGTTTTAGGGCATATGTGCACAACGTGCAGTTTAGTTACATATGTATACATGTGCCATGTTGGTGTGCTGCACCCATTAACTCGTCATTTAGCATTAGGTATATGTCTTAATGCTATCCCTACCCCCTCCCCCACTCCACAACAGGCCCTGGTGTGTGATGTTCCCCTTCCTGTGTCCACGTGTTCTCACTGTTCAATTATCACCTATGAGTGAGAACATGCAGTGTTTCATTTCAACTTAAGTATCTATCTCTATTTGTCCTTTCTTTTCATTTCCATCCTAGCTCTATCCCTTGTCTCCTTCGTGTGTCTCAGTATAAGTGCCCTATAACATTTTATATTTCTGGAAACCCTTCAATATAAAGTTATTACATGTAAAAATAAAAAGTCTGTTTTAGTGAACTATTTCTTCACAAATTATATTTTCCTACTTCTCTATTAGACAATTTTTGTAGGCTCCATATGCTATTAATTTACATTCACTTTTAGAAGAATTTTCATCAAAAGCAAAAGTCTTAGGTAAATTAATTGTATGCTATTTATACTTCTATGTATATATACACACATAGCCACATACATATATGTAACTCCAGAGGCCTGCCTGGACTGTTTAATACCTGTATTGAACAACAGCAAGAAACAGCTATTCAAATTTCAAACAACAAATTGAACTGAAGACCTCACATCTTTGAATTAAATAGACACTAGTAGCCTTTAAAAATTAAACATTTCTACTGTTTTAAAAAATTATAGCCATCATAGTATGAGGAAAAAATGTAATAATCTTTTTTAATTCTTGCCATTTTATTAACCACGGACTCCTTATGCCCTAACTTCATTGGTACCTCTTTGAGATTAAACAGAACACTTAATTTAAAATTCTGATAAATAAATTAATTACACCACTTACTTGAGGTACTCTTTCACCTTTCAAGAAATATTTTGAGAATTCATTAGCTAAATATTGTTATAATGCAGGCTAGTAATAAATGGAAAGAATGAATTCATTGTAAAGTTTAAACTAATGATGGTATGATCTGGAATTTTTGTTAACTTAGAAGACATAATTAGCTTTAGAGGTGAAATGAAAGACAAAATCACTTCACATATTAGTAAAAAACAAATAATATAACTTTATAAGCTACTGCTGTTCTTTTGCTATTAAGAACCAATGACATCTGTAATTAGGGAAGATTATGGAAAGGTTAAAGATGAGAATACATGCAGTCTATCTACAGGAAACCTAAACTGTTTAGGTTAAGGAAATGTCTGAGAAAGTCATATTAATTAGCAGGTTCACAGGAAACTAACATTTATTGTATAAATTCCGTGGTAAAAGGTATTAGGTCTCCACGCACAAACTATGTGCCATCTACGTTACCACACAGTGCTTACTTCTTTCAGTCTTTATTCATTTCTCTCCCAATGGTCTGTATGGTATTATTACATAGTTCTAAAAACCTTCCATGAGGCAGAAATTTCATTTAATCATATAGCTTCAAAAATAACGAAAAACAGTAGAAACTTTCTATTTTTTTAGAAGCAGAATTGTTGAATTTTCAGTTTCATTTATTTAATATTACAAGATGACAAACATATTTCTTTAATTCCCTCTTGTTATTTTTGTCTAACATCAACCAAAGCCATTTCTTTCATTTGAAGGTGAAAACTGCTCATCAAAATCTAGTTTAAGCTGAGAAACAAAGAACTAAATTTTACATGAGAGATTATACACGGCATAAGTATAAAACAGGACAAGAAACAATGGTGGATTAGCAATTTTTAAAAAGACAAAAGCAGGTTATCATCAAATCAATTGTTACCAACACACCAATTCCACCTCTAGGCCAGAAAATTAGCCACTTACCCATGGGAAAACAATGATTGAAGACAAAGTTCACCAGTGAAAGTTGGTTATTTTTTGCCATCCTTGCATCAACTAAAATGATATCTACAGTTCCTCTTAACACTTTTCTGAGTTTCAACTATGTGGGTATGCTTCATTAGCTGAGGTCATTTTCCATATGTACATCTGTCTACAAAGGAAACTGGGAATGTGAGCCCTGGTCCTAATGTTTGTAGAGTATTTAGAAATTTGAGAATTCCCTCCAAATAAAGAGTTTTTTAAAACATTGTTAGACAAAAAGTTTGAATTACAGAATATGGTAGTAGCTCAGGTCTAACTCAAATGCAGGGAAAAAAACTATTAACTCTAAAAAAAATTAAATACACATTTGATGGCAATGAGAAACAGAAAACAGGCAGAAATAGTAGAATATTCAACCACTGATGAAGTATCTGACCACTGAATAAAGAAAATTGCAATGATTTAAATTTGCATCAACGCAACTTCACACCTGATGACCCTTCCCAGTCTGTGCAAAATTAGATGTCTACGAGTAAAGCGGTGAGTTTTACTAGCTTGAGGAATAAGAGCACAGAGTTCCAGGCTGACAGAAAAGAAGAACTGGGAAATTTGAATGACACGGGAGGAAATCTTACACAACTGAAAGTCACAGAGGAGAATGTCACAGAGTAAAAATCTAAAATCAGCACTTAAACTTCATTCAGATATATGATGGCTGCTACATTTCACATTGATAAAAAGAGACTCCATAGAATCCAGCAGAAAACAACAGCTAAATTGCTAGTACAGAGCAGAGATTTCAACCATTGCATATAGCTCAGGAGTGAAAGTTTGGTGTTTGACTACAGAAAAAAGACTAACGTTAGAAAAGAGTCACTCTTCAAAGGAAAATAGAAGAACTTATCTCTACAAAATATCATACACATAATCTAACATATAATTTAACCTGCCTAGACATAAAACCAGGAATATATGATGCATAACAAAAAAAGTAAACAATGGATTAAGACAGTGAAATGGCCCACATGCTGGGATTAGAAGATAAGAAATTTAAAATAAGATATTACAAGCATATTCAAGGATTTAAGGAATAGATGGTCATAAGAGGGAATATTTGGAGAATCTCAACAGAGAAGTAAAAACGATAAAGAGATAATAGGACAAATTTTAGAACTGAGAGACTGAATATCTTATATAAAAATGTCATTGTATGCACATACCAGTAAATTAAAGATGGCAGAAAAAACTATCAGTGCACTTAAAAACAGATCAAGAACAATTTCCCAATACAGTTAATACAAAGGAAGAAAAATAATAAAAATAGGGCCAGTCTAGCACTAATATAATTGGAGTCCTAGAAAGAGTAGAGAAGAAAATGAGACAGAAAAAGCTATTTGAAAAAGTAAAGACCAAAAGTTTTCCTAATTGTCAGCATATATCAACTTACAGGTTTAAGAAACTCAAAGAACAGAATAAAAATAAAGGGAATCAAATATAGACATATCATAGTTAAACCACTGGGCAAAAAAAGAGTAAATCTTGAAAGTAGCTAAAGGGAGAGAGAAAATAATTTACATACGTTGAAACAAATAGACAGATGACCTGTCATCAGAAATGACACTTTAAAAAGCAATGAAACTATATCTTCAAAATAAAAGAAAACTGTCAACTCCAAATTCTATCACTAGAAACAGTGATTCTTGAGAAAAGAAAGATTTAGTCAGATAAAAGAAAGCTTCAAACAATTGTTATTAGCAGACCTAGATACAAGAAATGCAAACGGAAATTTTTTAGGCTAAAGAAGGATAACAACAGATGGAAATTCTGACCTACAGGAAGCAAGGAGAAGCTCTAGGAATGGCATGTGCATAAACATGAAAAACTAAGGCTTTTTTCTTTTAGTTTTATAACAAACAACTGATGGTTTCAATAAAAAATTAAGTGTACTATTGATAATGTATGTAAAATATTCTAAATTAATAGCTCTGACAGGAGACTAAACGCAACAATTTTGCCGCAACTTTTCTTTATGTTACATGAAAACGCTGAATATTAACACTAAGTGGACTGCAATAAGCCCAGGATGTTTATTATAATCCCTAGAGAACCACCACATTATATGAAGATATTCTTCTAAAATGCCAATAAAGGAATTAAAATGGAACCCTGAATATTGTTCAGTTAATATAAAAAGGCATGAAAGAAAGAACAGAGGAGCAAAAAATGATGGAACAAATAGCACATAAGAGCAAAATAGGCTGGGTGCAGTGGCTCAGCCTCTAATCCCAGCACTTTGGGAGACCGAGGCGGGTGGATCACGAGGTCAGGAGATCGAGACTATCCTGGCTAACACGGTGAAACCCCGTCTCTACTAAAAATACAAAAATTAGCCAGGCATGGCGGCAGGCGCCTGCAGTACCAGCTACTCCAGATGCTGAGGCAGGAAAATGGTGTGAACCCGGGAGGCGGAGCTTGCAGTGAGCCGAGATCCCGCCACTGCACTCCAGCCTGGGTGACAGGACGAGACTCCGTCTCAAAAAAAAAAAAAGAAAGAAAAGCAAAAATAGTAGGCTTAAATCGAAACTTTTCAATAATTATTTCAAATGTAATTTAAATACTCCAAATAAAACACAGATTGTCCAACTGGATAATAAAAGTACCTATAAGAGATGCATGCCAAATATTATGGTATAGATAAGTTGAGAGTAAAATAATTTCCAAGTATACCAAGGAAACAACAAGCACAAGAAATCTTATGTGGCTATATTAATATAAGAAAAAGTAGACCTCCAAACAAGCAATATTACAACAGATAGCTATTTCATAATGATAAAATGTCAAGTAATTATGAAGACATAATGCTGTATTGCTGACAGAATAACTAAAGAAAATTAAGATAAAATAATTTTGACAACAGCTTGACCTAATCGATATTGACCAAGACAATAGAATATATGTTCTATTATGCTACACATGAAACATTTATCAATAGGCTATAGACTACAAAATATCTCTCAAGAAGTTTCAAAACACTGTAATCATAGAAAGTATGCTTTCTGACCATAATGAAAATGAGTTGAAATGGGTAAAAACAAGCTACCCAGGAAAGTCTACACTATTGGAAGATTTAAATACATCTTAAAATGCCCTTTAGCTCAAGGAAGAAATCATAAGAAACACGTTTAAATACATTGAACTGAATACAAATAAAAATATAATATATCAAAATGTATGGGATAAAGTTAAGCAGACCCAGAGTAAATTTTTCGTATAAATGCTTATTCTAAAAAAGAGAAGTTCAAAACAGTGAACTAATTTACTACCTTAAAAAGAAAATCTAAAACAAGAGAGCAAATTAAGTCCAAAACAAGTAGAAGAAAAGAAATAAAACAGAAATTAGAAATCAATGAGACAGAAAACAGAAACAGGAGAAAATCATCATGGCCAAAAGTTGTTCTGTGAGAAAGAAAGAAAACACAAATTATAAATATCAGGGATTAATGAGATTGTACAGTTGTAGACACAAGAGACATTAACAAGATAATGGAATATTGTGAAACATTTTTACTAATTTTCATTACTTGGATGGAAGGGTGAATTCCTTGAAAACAACTTATCAAAAAATTCACAAGATTAAATGGAACATATGAAGTAATTGACATTTCTTAAAGTAATTAAATTAATTGTCAAATACCTGCACATAAAAACATAAAACTAAAGAAATAAAAAATAAGTAAACTCCAGATCTAAAGAGTTTTGCTGGTGAATTCTTTCAAACGTTTAAAAAAATAAAATTTTTAAATTATTTCATAAATAAAGAAGGGGGAAATTCCAAACTTGTTTTATGAGTCAGAATCCTGATAGCAAAACTACAAAACCCAGGAATGCAAAATTGATTTCAACTTAAAGAGCTATCACCATTCTAATCTGTGATTCTAATGAATTTGGCTATCTTAGATACTTTATACAAATGGAATCATACAGTTTGTCCTTCTGTGACTGATTTACTTTACTTAGCATTAATGTCCTCTAGGTTCATCCATGTTGCATATTGGCGGGCTTTCTTGTTTTAAAGCTGAATAATATTCCGTTGTATGAATATACCACATTTTCTTTATCTATTCATCTGCCAATAGACATTAACCTCATTTCCACATTTTGATTAGTGTAAATAATGCTGCAATGAGCCTGAGAATCATCCCAATCTCAATTCTTTCAGATAAATAACCTGAAGTGGATTGCTAGATCATATGGTAGTTCTAGTTTCTTAATTTTTTTGAGGAACCACCGTACTGTTTTCCATAGAGGCTGCACAGTTTCACTTTTCCAGAAACACTGTACAAGTGTTCCAATTTCTCCCCATTGTTATCACTCGTTATCTTTTTCTTTTAATAAGACCATTCTAACAGGTTTGAGGCAATATCTCTTTGTGGTTTTGATTTGCATTTCCCTGATGATTAGTGATGCTGAGCATCTTTTTCATGTATCTGTTGGTCATTTGGATATTTTCTTTGGAGAAATATCTATTGCTGATTAAAAAAAAAAAACCTCTCAGCAAGCTAGAAAAAGAAATTTTCTCAAAGTGATGGAAAGCATCCACAACAAAACATATAAACAATATTACATTTAATGGTGAAAGCGTAAATGTTTAAACTACATAGATTAGGACAAGAAAGGAATGTGTGTGTTCATCACCTCTATTCAACATTGTACTGGTAATCCTAGATTCTGAGTATAAATATTTAGGGGACAGCTATTGTCACTGAAGCCCAAATCCTGGTCATCCTCAGAAAGAAAAAGAAAAGTTGATTAGATTGTATATAATCTAATTCTACTTGCTAATTTAATTTCTCTAAAATTACAGCTTGTATCAACTCTAGAATTTATTGGGCACCTCCTAGGACATAAACACTGGAATTTGGTGAGAGACATCAAATAGGAAAGAACCTGGCTCTGACATAAATTCAACACACGGATGGGGACACATGTTATGAGACTGACCTGGCCTCTCCATCTCATAAAGGGGGTTCTTGTTGCTGGTAACACAGATTAAAACTATTTCAATTACATTCAAGATAAAAAGATTAGCAATGGTATGCAAGATGAAAAAATCACCCTGCAGGAAGACAAAAGTCTCAAAAAAGTATATTTAAACTAGCCAACACTTTGAAATTCAGGCAGAGATCATGCTTTCTGGGTGAACTAAGGTAGCAAGAACAAAGTAGAGGCTCCAATTCTAGGAAAAATGGGCCCTAATAAGGTTTACAATCCAGAAACTCAAGAAATCCAGACAGAAGGATGCAGTCTCCGCTTTCAAGGCAGTAGCAGTACCTGGATTACTAAGCCAATCCCCAACACAATCATAAACACAAATTTGATTGAGGAAGAAGCTTGCCCACCAGAAGATTTAGGTTATTACAAGGTAGAATGTGATAGAGAAAACGAGCATGGGACTGGAAAGAAAAGGAGGTAGCCCCATGATCACAACTGGAATATATCTGTCAGAGATGGTGCAGAAATAAGACTGAAGAGAGAGATCCTTAAACCCCACGTGCCTTACATCAGGACTAATCCTGGACACAGGCTGGAAAGCATAGCCTACAGGTGGTGAGGGAGGAGGAGTAGGCTCAGCTGTGAGAAGGAGAAGGAAATATGGCTGAAAACCAGATATGGGTCTTGAAATCACACCGAGGATTTGGGCCTTTGCTGCTGTCTGCCAGCAGCTGCCAGTAGTTCTCACACTTTGGCTGGCATCAAAATAACCTGGGGCAGTGGTGGGGAAGTGGGGGGAGTGTTGTAAAACCACAAGTGACCAGGAAAAAATCACCTGTATGTTTTCCAATTCAGTAAGTACAGAAATATTAATTGGAAAAAGGTGGAGATCAGACATTGATAGTGCTGTGGACTGCTCCAGGGACATAAGCATGATCTTTAGAGAGGTGACTCCAATCAGTTGAGGGCAACCACTGGACAGAAAGAGGTCCAGACTAACTGTACACAGAGACATCATACAACTACACTTTAGCAACTTCTCCAAATAACATGTCTCTTACTGAAACTTGGGAGGTTGAAAGTTAAAAACATAAAATCCAGTGGCATTTATGTATCCTAGGCACTTACATTTGTCTGATTCTTCCAACTTGCCTTTGCTTGGTTAGAGTTTTGGGTAGATAAGAGGTGGATTTACATGTGCTAGTGTGAGAACTTTGATACACTCATTTAGACATTGACCTACTATCTTGATGTTTGAAAGCTAAAACCCAAATAAATTTGTCTTTTCAGATAAAACAAATTCAGCCCTTACCTTCCTTATCGATTACATCTTCCACTAGCAGTAATAAAAAAGTAACAATATGCGTAAGTCAAAGTATCTTCTTAAATCCTCTGTAGTGTTTTATTATTTAGTTGTGTTAATTAAAGAAACTGTCTCAAAATTTCAAGGAATGCCTGAGAATAAATTCATGTTCAAAGGCTGCCGTCTTGTGACAATGTGTTGTATGTTTTACTGTAAAAGTAATCTTATTTTACCTTATAACCTCTACAATCCAATTCATAACAGCATAAAAAGGAAATAAAACCTTACATAATTTTGAATTTTGAAAAGTACCTTGTTTATATGGTTCCTTTAGCTAATGAATAGACAATTTGGTAAATATTCCAGTGAGTTGAAGGTTTGAATCTATCTCACTTAACTAGCTTAATGGATATATTTCTAAACCTATACAACCCACTCCTCTGCTTTTAAAAAATTAAAGTTAGCTGTAGATTGAGATGTCAGTGACACAGTTTATAGAACATAACTTAGATTGTCATTTACATTACTGTAACTACAAATACCACCCTCAGATGGAAGAATCAGTTTTATCAGTGAACATCTCTAATTGAACTATAAATGGTGTATGTCTTCCGGCTTTTACAAGCTCTTGGTCTAACATGGGATATATGATGTAAAAATTACAAAGCAAGGCCATGCACGGTGGCTCATGCCTGTAATCCCAGCACTTTGGGAGGCCAAGGTGGGCGGATCACAAGGTCAGAAGATCGAGATCATCCTGGCTAACACGGTAAAACCCCATGTCTACTAAAAATACAAAAATTAGCTGGGTGTGGTGGCACATGTCGTAGTCCCAGCTACTCAGTAGGCTGCGGCAGGAGAATCATTTGAACCCAGGACGCGGAGGTTGCAGTGAGCTGAGATCGCACCACTGCACTCCAGCCTGGTGGCAGAACAAGACTCCATCTCAAAAATAAATAAATGAATAAATAAATAAATAAATAATAAAATAGCAATGACTATAATGTTTTGTGATGTTAAACTTTGAGAGCTTTTTTTTTCTTTCTTTTCCCAAGTCCCTTTCCCAGTTCCAGAAGCAGAGTTATTCTAAGCTCACTGATGTAAACGAATAGAAAGAAAAGGTTTGGTGGAAAAATTAATAACTTGCTATCCTTTCTGTCTTTTGTTTTTTAAAAGCTTGAGCATTTGGGAGAATTTGGAAAGATTGTAGAGTAAGTGCAAAGAAGGAATTTGCTAAAAAAATTATATAGGGTAAAATGAGTTTTTTTCCAGGTTAGAAAATATCCACTCCCTACACTCCTACATTCCTTTCCCATGGTTAAGAAGAGGAAAAAACGAAGGCCTCTTGGTGAGCAGTGGTGACTTCGGCAGTTTCTTAGAAATATTCTGGAAGGCATAGTCATCTTTTAAAAAAAATAGCTACAAGGATATGTCTAAGCAGAAGGGACCATGGGCCAAATTACGTGTAGATTTTTGCATTCCAAATATGGTAAAAAAGAAGCAGGAAGCTGGGGGGCCTAAACAAGCCACACAGAAATGGACAAGGAAGAGGCCAGCAGCAGCTTGTGGGGACAAGATGTCAAGCCCCAAATATTAAACCCACCATCCATCCTCCAAATTCTGGCTCTGTTTAACAAGGCTGTGGTCTGACACTAGATGCCGCCTCCGTGACTAAAGCATAATTCCCCTGCTCCTGGGAGTGTTGACAGCTGACTCCTGTCAACAATACTCACAGCACACTAAAGTTCCTTCATCCAAGTCCATGTCCCTTCTCAAGGCATCCCACATCCGAGAACTGCTTGGTACAGAAATATAATGGCCTTTTTTGCTTGCTCCAATTCGAGGTCATTAGGTAAACTCACCAAGATCCCTGTAGAGTGGACTGCGGCCATGATAGTGATTGCATTCCAGCCAACTTCCTGCTCCACCCAATCCTATTGCTTTAACTCTTCCACAGGTGTTGGGAGTATCATTTCAACCTCCTTGCATGCAAATCTCCAACTCGGAGTCGGCTTCCTAGGACACTTGACTGGTGACATCTCTATCACTATCACAGTACTTAGAAGGGAGCATCTTAAAATGATTTAAGGCTAACTGCCCTAACAGCACAGACAGATGGTGGCTTAAAATAGAATTTAAGTGGACTTAAAAAAACATGAAAAAAGTTGACATTGCACGCTCATATGAGCTTATGGATCAAACCATGTGTATGATTTTTAAGATCCCTCGTGCAGTATATATTTGCACTTTTTATAAATGACATCCCCTTAAATTGAATTCAGTGCAATTCAAAACAGTAATTTATGGGAAAAATTAGATATGCAGATAGCCTGGAATCTAGAGAGGCACACATCATTTGGAGAATAATAGTGAACCGGCTGGTCTATGAGGGAAGAAAACAGAGTGAATATAGACTATTATTGAACAAGGATATTTTCACATGTATATTCAAATTAAGGTGAATTTCTTTACAGAATTATGCCTTAGAAAGAAAAGGTATTTCTCTATATTTGAGTCCTCACAAGTTTTCCTACGATGAGTGCTTTTGTGATTATTTTGAATAACAAAGTAATATTTAAAGAAACTCTCTTGCCCTGAATGTACTTTAATTTATGTCAATTGATGTTGCATATAGAGATCATCAAAGTCAAGCTACAAGAAAAAGAGGAACATAACTTAACAAAGACTTAGTGGATTAGTCCTAATAGTGTGAAATCAAAATTTCAAGTGAGGGAATAAACACAGCTTTTAATGATTACTTAAATGAAGTTTAACTGTAGCAGGATCTACAAGAAATTGGCAACCTTTGGCTTCAGTAACAGAAACTCAGGATATATGCCCTTCAGTGCTTTTGGATTCTGCATCATATTGAGAGAGACTCCTTTAAACAGCAATAAGAAACTTCCTGTGACAACATAATAAATCCAAAAAGTTCTGTAACTCAGACAATTTAGATAGAAGTGAGAACTTTGGCCTATAAAGCCCTGTTCACCCAAAAGATGGATTAAACAATGAAAAAGATATTGATACCAAAAATTCAATCAGGAATTTGATTAAAGCATTTCATTAAATGTGATAATTTCTTAGTATATTATCTTACATATGCAATATTCATGTGTAACAAATTAAATACAAGTAAACATTTGACCATATTATCTGCAGCATAATTTACATATCAATTTACATATTCAGTTTTGCTCACATGAAAACTTGGATCTTCTCAATAAGAAAATTTGTGAAATCTTTAATTCCTCATCCCCAGGAATGTAAATAAATAAATATAAATACTGTAAGTCAGTGATTTTTTCCTAGGAAGACAGTAAAAGTACTTTACATGCCTTCTCATTGTAAACCTAAATAACAAACAGAGAAAGGCTCTCTAAAGGAAAAAACACATCTTAGGGAGGAGGGCACTGCAATGGGAATATACATGACAAAGCAAACTATATAGATTCAAATGGTAAAGGAAGACAAGGTCTTTAAAAGAAAAATGATCAACCTGGAAACCTGGAAGTATGGGGGACTAGAAAAAAATAAATAAAGGAAAAATGAAGAGGCTTCTATAATTGTTTTGATATAGTTACCTTCGACTATAAAGACCAACAACAAGGTCGATGTCAGTTGAAGTTTGAGCAGGTGGTTGCTGGATAGATGTCCTCACAGAAGTGTATTTTGTGTAAGCTTGCTATGGCCTTTGTGCAAGGTTGTGGAATTTGTGGTATTTTGTGATAGTTCATATCAGGCCTAGAAGCATGAGAACCCTCTCTTCAAGGCCTTCTCTGAATCTATTTGTCCAGGTTTTTTCTTTTCTTTTTAAGCATTAGTGACAGTTTTGATTCTGATAACTTTTATATCATGATCCCTAATTTGAAAAAAAAAATTAAACGTGTAACTTATTTATGATGTATTTGATAGGCTTGGATTTATGAATCACCTGTACTATCTATAGTGGTAGATATATCTGAGCCTGCTTACACAGCACTTCCATCAGATTCTCTCTTCAGTGGAATTGGAAGAGGGGGTGTTGGAGAAGGGGATGAAGGAATTGTGCTGCATCAGAGGTCCCCACCTAACAGCCACAGGGACTTTTTCTGTGCTCTTGCCAGGCCGTTGTATTAGGCTGATACAAAAGTAATTTTGGTTTTGTCATTGAAAGTAATGAGACCATCTGACTTACAATGTCTGTGCCGTAACCAGCTCCTAATAGCCTCCGAGGACAGCTTTGCCTTGACATACACTGTCCTGGAACCACGTCTGCTTTGTAACTCCTGAGGTAGCTGCCACCATGACCAATGCCTTCTCATCTTTACTCTACATTCAGGTAACAGTTATTATTATGTCTCTGTGTATTCACAGAACATTTAGTACATCTGGGACTTCTACAAAATTTCCCTAGCTAATTTTGGTGTTCTAGTGTCCTGGCAGCTCTAGCCATGAAGGGATGATGCTTTAATCAGCATTTCTGTTGAGTTTTTTGTTTTTTCTCAAAAACTGATTCCACTTTTCCCACATACGTTTGACAGTTCATATGAACTCATTTATTCTAAACCCATTATTTTTTGTCTATTATTTAATAGGGAGGGGGGCGAGGGATAAAAGATAACAAATAAGGTGCAGTGTACACTGTTCGGGTGATAGGTGCACCCAAATCTCACAAATAACCAGTAAAGAAGTTATTCATGGAACCAAATACCACAGTACCCCAATAACCTATGGGGAAAAAAATAAAAAATAAAATAAACAAGAGTCAGAAAAAAAGAAAATAATCACTGTACTTACCATGACACTTAGAAATGGTGGCTAGCATTATTTGTGTCACCTAATAATATTATTTTTTCTTTATGCTACAAACTAGCTCTGCTATTACAATCACTACTATTTGAGGTGTTACTAAATTAAATTAAATTTATTGTATCCTTCTGGACTCAGAAATGGGGTTAAATGCTAAGACAATTTCAGAATATTATCACATATTAAAAGCATATTATATGGGGAAAATGTGATTTTAAAAAAATAGAAATTGGTAGAGAAACAGTTTTTGGGTCTCTTTAATTTCCGCACATTTTGCAAGTATGGACGCTGACTTTCTTGTTCCAAATGATTGTTTTCAAGCATGTTTGTATAGAAAACAGCCTTGGAATAGAAAACCAGTACCTCCTTCTGGAACAAAGGAAAAGTTTATTTACTGTCTAGTATAATGCAGATAATTTCTCCCTCTTGGGAAGGGTACAGCCAAGTGAACTTCCCATAATACAAGTTGGGGTTTCTTGAGCTTGGGTTTTTCTTCCACAGTGTAATGTGCAGGTGCCACTTGGCTCTCTTTGTGTTATCCTGGGAAAGCTGATGGCTGTAGGTGCATGTTTATTTTGAGGTTCTCTATTCTGTTTCATTGGTCTTTGTGTCTGTTTTCATATAGCTACCATGCTATTTTGTCTATTGTGGCCTTAGGGTATAGTATGAAGTCAAGTAATGTGATGTCTCCAGCTTCATTCTTCTTGCTTAGGTTTCCTTTGGTTGTCTGGGCTCTTTAAAAATCCATATGAAATTTAGAATATATTTTTTTCTAATTCTGTGAAAAACGACATTGGTTGTTTCACAGGAATAGTGTTGAATGTGTAGATTGCTTTTGGCAGTATAGCCATTTTAAAAATATCGATCTTTCTAATACATGAGCATGGAATAGTTTTCCATTTCCTTTGTCATCTATGATTTCTTTCTGCAGTGTTTTGTAGTTCTCCTTTTAGATATCCTTTACCTCCTTGCTTAGATATATTCTTCTTTTCTTTTATTTTATTTTGGGGGTTGCTGTTGTAAACAGGATTGCACTCTTGATTTACCTCTCAGTTTAAACATTTTTGGTGTACAGAAATGATACTTCTTTCTATATGTTGATTTTTTTTAATCCTGAAAGTTTGCTGAAGGTTTTTTTTATCAGTTCTAGGAGCCTTTTGGCACAGTCTTTAGGGATTTCTAGGTGTAGAATCATATAATCAGTGAAGAGAGATAATTTGACTTCATTTCCTATTTGGATGCCTTTTATCACTTTCTCTTGCCTGATTGCTCTGGCTAGGACTTGTTAAACAGGAGTGGTGAGAACAAGCATCCCTATTTTATTCCTGTTCATAAGGGGAATGTGTTGGGAGAAAAGCTGAGTGTTGGAAGAGAAGCTGAGGCAGGGCCATATGTTTCTGATTCACTTGATACACCGTTTCCTTTCAACCCCTAAATCCTCACCAGCTGTTTGTTTGAGCACCAACAAATAGCGTGGGCTCCCAGAGCTTGGGGACTTTGCAGACTCCACACTCGTGATGGTCTCCTGGTCCCACTTTCTCTCTCAAACTGTCTTTTTCTCATTCCTTTGACTCTGCCGGACTTCATCACCCCCATGATCTAGTGTTGGGTCTGATCACTCCAACATTCCTGGCGCCCAACATGGGGTGACAAAGACCCGGTGAAGGAAGGCTGGAGCATGTGAAAGCAGAGGACACAACATCAAAAGACACCCGAGGACATACAAAGATGGGGAATGAAATTTAGTACTTAGAATTTGTTATCACTCTTTAGTACAGTAAAGCAGTTTTGCCCATGGTTTCCAGAACAAAGGACTATGAAGTTGGATGAATGGGAGAGAATTGGAAGATATTTTTTAAAAGGCATATAAAGATGGAGCAGAAATTCTAGTTTCTGTATGGTCAGTGTGGGCACTAATAAAGGCAGCCCTTGAGCCATTTCAAACAGATAATGAGGCAGACTCAGATGAGGAAGAGGAGGATGAGTGTAAAAAACTAACTTCAAATTCTGAGTGTGGGGAGCAGCTACCAGAGGAGATTAAAGAAAAGAAAGAAAAACTTTAAAAAGTATGTTTTACTAGCCCGTTGGCTCCACCTGCTGAATTAAGTGAATGGCCACCTCCTCTCTCTCCTCTAAATGGGTGAGAAAATAAATTAGCTGAAAAACTTACTGCTCCTGTAGT
Source organism: Homo sapiens (assembly GCF_000001405.40). Classification (NCBI taxonomy): domain Eukaryota; kingdom Metazoa; phylum Chordata; class Mammalia; order Primates; family Hominidae; genus Homo; species Homo sapiens. The sequence goes on along the minus strand of NC_000024.10, from coordinate 11,240,745 downwards.
TACAACATTAAAACCTGGAGCAATTGGTGGTGGTAGACAAAATTCTATTTAAAAAGCTAAAGCCAAGGGAGACCTTGAAACATGGCAATTTCCCGTTACTATAATCCAGCAAGTAGGACAGAATATAGCTAATTAGGCTGCTTTCTCTTTTAAGTTACTAAAGAATTTAAGCAAGCCATTAGTCAATATGGACTGAACTCTCTTTTTGTGCAAACTTTATTTAAAAATATGGCTCTTGATAATAGATTACTACCATATAATTAGGATACTTTGACAAAACCTGTTCTCACTCCATCTCAGTACTTGCAGTTTAAAACTTGGTAGGCTGATGAAGCTCAAACTCAGGCAAAAGAAAACACACAAGTGCAGCCACCTGTGCCTGTTTTCTTTGATCAGTTAATATGAGTTGGCCCTAATTGGGGTTGATTAGAGAATCAAGCACTAATGGAAGATGTTGCCATTGTTCAGCTGTGCTTCATGTGCTTACATGCATAGAAAAGGATAAATGTTACAGGGGAAAAGTATCCTTATTTCAGTTCTGTCTGACAAGGACCTAAAGAACCATATATTAATTTTATTGCTCAGCTCCAAGAGGCTGTGTATAAAGCCGTAAATGATCAAAACAGCTCAGGATGTTGTAATACAGCTTCTTGCATACAATAATGCTAATGCAGAGTGTCAAACTGCTATTAGATCCCAGACAGAGAGGGCCCATTTAACTAAATATATTAAGGCTTGCGATGGCATTGGAGATAACTTACATAAGGTTATTCTTTTAGCTCAAGCTGTGGCTAGATTAAGAGTAAGAAAAAATATGCTTCATTTCTCAGGCTCTTGCCTTAATTATGGGCAAATTGGACACAAGAAAGGAATGTAGAAAGGAATTCAAAAGACGAAAACTACTACCGTCAATCAACAGAAAAGTCCCAATGTACGTCCCTGGTGTAAGAAAGGCTATCACCGGGCAAGTCCGTGTCATTCTAAATTTAGCAAAGATGGACAACCTCTTTCAGGAAATAGGAAGAGGGACCCGCCTCAAGTCCCTCAACAAACTGAGGCATACCCAGCACAGCCACTGCCCTTACAAATGTACAGCAATTGTCCCCCGCCTCAGCAAGCAGTGCTGCTGTAGACCTCTACAGCACAATTCCCATCTCCTTACTTCCTGGGGAGCCACCAAAGAAGGTCCCCACAGGAGTTAGGGCACCCTTACCCTGAGGAACTGTTGGGAACAAGCCTCCTCAAATCCGGCCATAAACTGGCCCCAAAACTGGCCATAAACAAAATCTCTGCAGCACTGTGACATGTTCATGATGGCCATAACACCCACGCTGGAAAGTTGTGGGTTTACTGGAATGAGGACAAGGAATACCTGGCCCGTCCAGGGTGGAAAACTACTTAAAGGCATTCTTAAGCCACAAACAATAGCATGAGTGATCTGTGCCTTAAGAATAAGGGATACTTTTAGTTAATCTAATATCTATAGAAACAATGCTAATGACTGGCTTGCTGTTAATAAACACGTCGGTAAATCTCTGTTCAGGACTCTGCTCTGAAGGCTGTAAGACGCCCCCCCCCCCCCGATTTCCCACTTCACACCTCTATATTTCTGTGTGTGCGTCTTTAATTCCTCTAGTGCTGCTGGGTTAGGGTCTCTCCAACCGACCTGGTCTCAGCAAGTGGTGCCCATTCATGGGGGCTCGAATACAGGTCAAAGGATCGCTGGAGCAACGATTGGAGAAAGTGGAACTAGCTGGAGGACACCAGAGTACTATTAAAGCAATCCCCGTGGTGAGTAAGAAGGGGAGCTCGGAAGCATCAGGGTAGCAATAGGACAAGTGTGGGCTGTGGTTCGTTCTACCTTGGAACTTTTTCATACTGATGAGGAGGAAGGAGAGTATAACAAAGTAACAGTAGAGGTTACAGACCAGGTTTACTTGTCACCTAAAGCTAAAGCAGAAAAGGAGGGAGAGGTTCATCCCTATCCTTCTGCACACCCTCATTACTATTTTAAAGAAAACGACCCTCCAGATCTTTCTTTTCTGGAGGACACTGGGTGAAAAGTAGTTGCCCTGGTGACTGTTCGAGCAGCGCCTTGAGCGACTGCTCTTAGTTCTATTCAGGCAGGAATACAGCAAGCTAGACAAAAGTGGGATTTAGAGGCTTGGCAGTTCCCTGTTTGAATACACCCCCCAGATCAACAGGGAAATATTATAGCTACATTTGAGCCTTTTCCTTTTAAATTACTCAAAAAAATTAAACAAGCTATAAATCAGTATGGAACAGGTTCTCCTTTTGAAATGGGACTGTTAAAGAATGTTGCTGTTTCCAGTCGGATGATTCCTACTGACTGGGACACTTTTACTCTAGCTTGTCTAACTCCTGCTCAGTTATTACAATTTAAAACTTAGTAGGCAGATGAAGCTTCCATTCAGGCTGCTCGCAATGCCTGGGCCCAACCTCAAATTAATATAACTGCAGACCAACTTCTGGGGGTTGGTGGCTGGGCTGGTTTACATGCACAAGTGGTCATGCAGGATGATGCCATAGAACAGCTTAGAGGAGTGTGCATTAGAGCTTGGAATAAATCACTTCATGTGGAGAACAATACCCTTCCTTTAGTGCTATAAAACAGGGACCAAGAGAACCATATGTGGATTTTATAGCTTGGTTACAGGAGTCTCCTAAAAAGATGATTGCAGATTTGGCTGCTTAGGATATAGTGTTGCAGTTATTGGTTTTGACAATGCTAATACTTATGGCCAGGCTGCTCTGCGACCTATCAGAGGGAAAGCACATTTAGTTGATTATAACAAGGCCTGTGATGATATCAGAGATAATCTACATAAAGCTACTTTGTTGGCACAGGCAATGGCAAGACTGAGAGTGGATAAAGGAAATACTCTATTTCCTGGAGCTTGTTTTAACTGTGGGAAGCATGGTCATACTAAAAAGAATGTAAAAAAAAAAAATCACCGAGTCAGGCCACCAGATAGGGGAAAAAACAAAACTGCTGATCCTGAAATATGTCCAAAATGTAAAAAAGGAAAACTTTGGGCTAATCAGTGTCACTCTAAGTTTGATAAAGAAGGGAACCCGATTTTGGGAAACTCCCTGAGGGGTCCATCCCAGGCCCTGTTCTAAACCAGGGCATTTCCATCTCAGGCCATTCCCTCACCCCCATACGTTATCTGTCCCCCACCACAGCCCATAGTGCTGCAGTAGATCTATGCTGCACAAAAGCTGTGAGCCTTCTGCCTGGGGAACCCCCGCAAAAGGCCCCAACAGGAGTCTGTGGACCGTTGCGAGCAGGGACAATGGTATTACTTTTAGGAAGGTCTAGTTTAAGTTTAAAAGGGGTACAAATACACACTGGAGTCATTGATTCAGATTACAATGAAGAAATTCAAATTGTGATATCTACTTCTGTTCCCTGGAAAGCACAGCCAGGAGTGCTCATAGCACAGCTCCTGAATGTGCCATATGTGGGAATGGGAAAAAGTGAAATTAAATGAACCGGAGGATTTGGAAGCACAAACAAAAAAGGCAAGGCAGCTTATTGGTTAAATCAAATTACTGATAAACATCCTACCTGTGAAATAACTATCCAGGGAAAGAACTTTAAAGGTTTGGTAGATACTATTTTTTTTTTTGGTAGGAGTGGACATTTCAATTATTTCTCTACAGCACTGGCCGTCCATGTGGCCAATTCAGCCCACTCAATTTAACACAGTGGAAACTGTTAAAGCTCCAGAAGTGTATCAGAGTAGCTATACTTTGCATTGTGAAGGGCCCAATGGACAACCTGGGACTGTTCAACCAATTGCAACTTCTGTACCTATAAATTTATGGGGGAGAGATTTATTATGACAATGGGGAGCACAAGTTCTAATTCCATAACAATAATACAGCCCTCAAAGTCAACATATGATGCACGAAATGGGGCATGTCCCTGGTATAGGAGTAGAAAAAAAATTGCAAGTTTTGAAAGAACTGCTTCAAACGGAAAGACAAAGTTCCTGCCAAAGATTAGGATAACATTTTTGATGGTGGCCATAGTTAAGCCTCCAGAACCTATACCTTTAAAATGGTTAACAGATAAGCCAATTTGGATAGAATAATGGCTGCTAAGCAAAGAGATACTGGATGCTTTAGAGAAATTAGTTACTGAACAATTAGAAAATGGGCACATAGCTCCAACATTTTCCCCTTGGAATTCTCCAGTTTTCATAATTAAGAAAAAATCAGGTAAATGGAGAATGTTAACTGACTTAAGAGCCATCAATTCAGTTATACAACCTATGGAAATATAACAGCCAGGATTCCCTTCTCTACTATAATTCCAAAAAATTGGCCTTTAATAGTCACAGATTTAAAAGACTGTTTCTTTACTACCCTTTTAGCTGAGCAAGACTGTGAAAGGTTTGCATTTACAATTCCTGCAGTAAACAACCTGCAGCCTGCTAAGTGTTTTCATTGTTTCACAGATGGGTCTAGTGATGGTAAAGGTTCTTATTCTGGATCAAAAGCTAAAGTTTTCCAGACACCCTATACTTCAGCTCAAAAGGCAGAGCTTGTAGCTGTAATTGAGGTGTTGACTGCTTTTGATATGCCTGTTAATGTGATTTCTGATTCTTCATACATGGGTCATTCCACACAGTTAATTGAAAATGCTCAGTTAAGATTTCATACAGATGAACAACCGATAATAAAAACAAAAAAAGAGGGAGAAACAGGGATTATGGGATAGCCCATACACAATTGAATCTTGCATTATTAACTTTCAAATTTTTGAGACTGCCCAAAGGCCAGATGTTACCAGCAGCTGAACAGCATCTACAGAAACCAGCTGCAAAGACAGAAGCAGAACAACTGGTTTGGTGGAGAGATCCAATAACAAAAAGTTGGGAAATAGGTAAAATTATAACTTGGCATAGAGGTTATGCTTGTGTTTCTCCAGGACCAAATCAACAACTGATTTAGATACCATCAAGACACCTGAAATTTTATCATGAGCCAGATGCTGAGGAAGAGAGAAAAAGCACAATCATCATTGAAATTAGAGCTTCTGGCTGGGAGCGGTGGCTCACTCCTGTAATCCCAGCACTGTGGGAAGCCGAGGTGCGCGGATCACAAGGTCAGGAGATTGAGACCATCCTGGCTAACATGACGAAACCCCGTCTATACTAACAATACAAAAAATTAACTGGGTGAGGTGGCGGGCGCCTATAGTCCCAGCTACTCAGGAGGCTGAGGCAGGAGAATGGCGTGAACCCGGGAGGCAAAACTTCAGGTTTTGCCAAGAATGACACTGTAAATGTAACAAATCTTCTGTGCTTGTTAGTGAACACCAAATCAGCTACTCTCCTGTATTCGGAGATCAGGATTAAATGAAAAGGACAAGCAGGTCGGGCACGGTGGTTCATGCCTGTAATGCCAACACTTTGGGAGGCTTAGGTGTGCGGATCACCCGAGGTTGGGAATTTGAGACCAGCCTGACCAACATGGAGAAACCCCATCTCTACTAAAAATGCAAAATGAGCTGGGCGTGGTGGCACAAGCCTGTAATCCCAGCTTGGGAGGCTGAGGCAGGATAAGTGCTTAAATCTGAGAGGCGGAGGTTGCGGTGAGGCAATATTGCACCATTGCACTCCAGCCTGGGCAACAAGAGTGAAACTCCATCTCAAAAAAATAAAAAATAAAAAAAGACCCCCAACCTTGTCTAGACGGTGGGATTTCAGTTTCACCCCAGGGGGGTCCTGGCTGGGTTAGAACCCTGAATCTGGTTTGAGTTCATATCCTTAAAGAATAAAGGGAATAAAAGCTGTAGCCACTGAGCTACTCAATCTGGTCCGGTTCTGGCTTTTGTGTGTCTGTCTATATTTTTGGTCTAAATATTTGGCCCAACAGAGGTTAAAGGCTTTGATGTTCTCAGCAAAAGCCTTGTGAGATCTCTAGTTTATCTGTGTGCTCAACTGGAACAAAGAGACTCCATAAACTAGAAAAACCTAAAGAAAATGGCACGCGTGAAAAAATGAAAGCCAACTCCTGTTTGTTGTTCTGTCCACCTCCCTCTCTAACTCCTCCTTCTGCCTTTGCTGTGGTCCCATGGTGTTTCTGTCTTTCTGGGGAACTGAGATTCAGTGTAGGAGTGAAGTCCATGATTTTAAAGCCTTCATGTCTCTGCTTTTTAACTCTGCCTGCTTTGCTGAGCTCTTATAATGAGAAATAAACCATTCAGAACAGAAACAACAGGGCATCAGAAAACCAACTTCAGGCAGCGCTCTGGCAAGTACCTCCCTAGAGGGGAAGGGCCTACTAAAGGAGATTTAATCTTGAAAAGGCCAAAATGAGAAGCTCTAACCTTAAGCTTGCTAGGTTTTCTGGGACTCGAGCTGGCTATATATTATGGACCATTCTAGCCACACACATACACACACACACACACACACACACACATTTTTTTGAGACAGAATCTTGCTCTGTTGCCCATGCTGGAGTGCAGTGGTGTGATCTTGGCTCACTGCAACCTCCACTTCCCAGGTTCGAGCAATTCTCCTGTCTCAGCCTCCTGAGTAGCTGCGATTACAGGTGTGCGCCACCATACCCGGCTAATTTTTGTAGTTTTAGTAGAGATGAAGTTTCACCATGTTGGCCAGGCTGGTCTCAAACTCCTGATCTCAATTGATCCACCCGTCTTGGCCTCCCAAACTGCTGGGATTACAGGCATGAGCCACTGTGTCCAGCCTATACATATATATATATATATACTTTTTTTTTCCTTTTTCTTTTTGACACAGAGTCTTGCTCTGTTGCCCAGGATGGAGTATGGTGGTACAATCGTGGCTCACTGCAACCTCCGCCTCCCAGGTTTGAGTAATTATCCTGCCTCAGCCTCCTGAATAGCTGGGACTACAGGTGCACACTACCACACCCAGTTAACTTTTGTATTTTCAGTAGAGATGGGGTTTTGTCACGTTGGCCAGGCTGGTCTCAAACTCCTGGCCTCAAGTGATCCACCTGCCTCAGCCTCCGATAGTGTTTGGATTACACACATGAGCCACTGCACCTGACCTCTAGTGCACACTTTAAACCTGATGGCCAAATTACATGAAAGAAAATTCAGAACTCAAATAGTTACTATTTTAAAAAACCCTAAAGTGAAAAAGTCTCAGTTCTTTTGCCTATCTATTTTTTTTTCCCTGCCTACTTTGAATCTGCTGATCTGTCTACTGGTGTTGAGATAAGACTTACTGTCTGTGGTGTTACTAATTCAAGGTTACTTGGCTGAAGAAAAACAAAAGAATGAAACAATTCTTTATTTTTTTCTCTTTTTGAGACAAAGTCTCACTCTAAGGTCTCACTCTGTTCCCCAGACTGGAGTGCAGTAGTGGGATCATAGCTCACTGTTATCTCATCCTCCCAGGCTCAAGCAATCCTCCTGCCTCATCCTCTCTAGTAACTGGGACAAAAGGCATGCACCACCATGCCTGGCAATTTTTTATCTTATTCTTAGTAGAGATTGGGTCTCACTATGTTGCCCAGGCTGGTCTCAAACTCCTGAGCTCAAGTGATCCTCTTGCCTCAGCCTCTCAAAGTGCTGGGATACAGGCATGAGCCACTGTGCCCAGACAAAAGAGTTCTTTTATAAATACAAATAATTTAAAAAGTATTGATAAAATAAAAATAGAAATCTCTTCAGACTTGTCAGCATACATTTTTGACTGTGTTTTATATTTATATTTGCTAGATATTTTAAGGTGCTAGGGTTTGGCATGAAGGTTATAAAGCTATAAACACAGGAAAAAAAGAATATTTGTTTATGTGATTTTTTAAATACATAAGACCAATTTAATATGGTTTGTTGAACAAAAATAATGGAATTTTCTGAAATATTGGTAAAATACCCATGTATTTAACTTTGAAGTCCTCACTTACATGAACAGCTGATATTCACAGGCTATAACGTGGTTAACAAGAAAATAACCTAGAAATGATGAATACCTTTGTCCAATACCTCAGTTCTCACAAATACTCTAGATAAACTGTCAAAAATAAGTAAATGTAAATGGATAAATGTCTATACAAGACATCTTAATGTATTTTTGAAATTTTTTTGAGACAATGTCTCTGTCTGTCACCCAGGCTGAAGTGCAGTGGCATGATCACAGCTCACTGCAACCTTGACCTCCTGTGCTCAAGGTATCCTCCCACCTCAGCCTCCCATGTAGCTGTTAATTACAGGCATACACCACCATGGTCAGCTAACTTTTATTTTTTTTGTAGAGTCAGCATCTCACTATTTTGCTCAGGCTGGTTTCATGATACTCCTGCCTTGTCCTCCTAAAGTGTTGGGATTACAGGTGTGAGCCACCATGCCCAGCCTATTTTTGAAATTTTAGTTATGTTAAATTAAATAATAGATACTCATTAAATATCTGGGTTATTTACAATTTAAAACTTATGTTTTAGCCCAGGCACTGTGGCTCATGCCTGTAATCCCTGCACTTTGGGAGGCCAAGGTGGGTGGCTCACCCGAGATCAGGAGCTCAAGACCAGCCTGATCAACATGGTGAAACCCCATCTCTACTAAAAAATACAAAAAATTAGCCAGGTGTGGTGGTGGGTTCCTGAAATCCCAGCTACTCGGGAGGCTGAGGCAGGAGAATTACTTGAACCTGGGGGGCGGAGATTGCAGTGAGGTGAGATCACACCATTGCACTCCAGCCTGGGCAACAAGAGCCAAAATCCATCTTAAAAAATATGTTTTAGGAACACATAATTCAAAATTATGAAATTATTCTCATATGTAAGATATTGCTATATGACAATTCAAGATTTCTTGCTTCCTAGGTTTTTTCTTAAAATAAGGGTTACTAAGTGTTAATATCTTGCTAGATATGTGTGATTAAGACTACTAGATACAAGAGAAACAATTCTGTATGCAAAATGTATACCGGTTTTTGTTTCAGAGAAAGTAAATTCGCTTAGAGATTTTTAAGGATTATTTTAAATTGAAGGCATAAAAAAGATAGATAAAAGTGAATGTGTATAAAAAGTTGGGAAAGATGAAAAAATTATACAAGGTTATTAAAAGTTTATGTAAATCTTACATCTAGGTCAAAACTGATTGAGATCAGATAGATTGTTTATAAAGTTTATTTAAATTAGTTATAATATTAAAAACATAGTGATAAAAAACTAAAAATTTTGGTTAAAACAACAAGGTTTTCTTAATGTACTTATTTGCTCATAATAAGAGGTAATAAATATTGACTTTTAATCCTGAAATCTGTTACTATAAAAACTTTTCAGATTTGTATATCAGAAGTTCAACTTTTCCTGTACTTTCATGTTACACATGACTCACAGATCACATCACTGTCTCCTATTCCTTCTTGAGAAGGAATAAAAGGCTTGGGTTTCCTGCTTGGCTGGGATGATAACTCCTTCAGCTTTTTCATCAGGTCTAATTTTATATTCTTGGCTTTTAAATATGTCTTAATTACTTCATGTAACCAGGAAACTTTCTTGCTATCATTGTGAGTTATGGTTCCCCACTGCTCTATGCTCTGGTTTTCCTGTTGACATTCCTTTGTAATATTATGCTCACTCATGACCCTGGACACACTCTTTCTATGTCTAATTAAATTCAAGTCTGCTTGTCATCGGAATTGACTTCCAAGTGATTTAAATTAGCTTCCCGCAAGAAGACACAGTTATGCCACAGGAGTTTTACCCTTTAAATGACTGGCCTGTAATAAAAATTTTAGGTTTTATCAAGATAATCCATGTGTTGCCTTTTTTTTTTTTAATTCCTTGGGAAAACTGAGGGTTTTCAGTTATCACATCCATGTAACCTTCTACATTGCTTTTGATGTCTTTTGGTTGTCATGCTAATTAAATGAATGACTGTTATTTAAAAATGACATGTGGCTGTGTGCAGCGGCTCATGTCTGTAATTCCAGCCCTTTGGGAGGCCAAGGTGGGTGAATCACTTGAGCCCAGGAGTTCAAGTCCAGCCTGGGCAAAATGGCAAAACCGCATCTCTACTAAAAATACAAAAGCTAGCTATGTGTCGTAACAAGTGCTCATAGTCCTGGCTACTTGGGAGACTAAGGTGGAGGATCACCTGAGCCTGGGAGGTTGAGGCTGCAGTGAGCCATGATTTCACCACTGCACTCCAGCCTGGGCAACAGGGTGAGACCCTGTCTCAAAAAAATAATAAAATAAAAAACAATAAACTGTCATTCAGTTTCGGTCAAATGTTTTCAATTTTTTGACATCTTTGCTAAATCTTAGTTGATAACATTGTATGGGAAGCATTGCCAAAAGATAAGTAACACTAAATCTTTTTTTTTTCTCTGAGACAGAATCTTGCTTAGTCACCCAGGCTGGAGTGCAGTGGCGTGATCTAGGTCCATTGCAACCTCTGCCCCAAGGTTCAAGCGATTCTCCTGCCTCAACCTCCCAAGTAGCTGAGACTACAGATACATGCCACCACGCCCGGCTAATTTTGTATTTTTAGTAGAGACAAGATTTCTCCATGTTGGCCAGGCTCATGGATCTGTCCAACTTGGCCTCCCAAAGTGTTGGGATTACAGACATGAGCCACTGTGCCTGGCCTAAATCTTCTTTTGGTTACATTTATAGGTATATTATTAATATAAATATTTTAAATGTTATATAAATTATAAAAATCTAATATGGTATCAGTCATAATTTTGATGATGTTAAATATTCTCTAAAGTTGTATATGTATAGATATATTATTAATATAAATATTCTAAAGATTATATAAAATTTGTGGAAGTCTGATGGATCTGATGTGTTGCCGTCAGTCATGATTCTGGCTGTTATCTTAAAATGCTACATATAATAGAAATAACTAAATTTTCTCGCAGGTCGAGAACTTCTACTGGATTTTAACCAAAGGATATTCTAAGTTTTTGTCATCCACGGTGATAGTTTAAAGTTCTTCTCTAAAACGCTTTATAGGCCGGGCGTGCTGCTGGAGGCTGTGCAGGGCACGGTGCTGGGCGTGGTGCAGGGCATGGTGGCTCACACGTGTAAAAATCCCAGCACTTTACAAGGCCGAGGTGGGTGAATTGATTGAACTCAGAAGTTTGAAAGCATCCTGGGCAACATGGTAAAACCCTGTCTCTACAAAAATACAAAAATTAGCCAGCATGATGGTGCATGTCTATGGTCCCAACTACTTCGGAGGCTGAGGTAGGAGGATGGCTTGAGTTTGGGAGGGAGAGATTGTGGTGAGCCAAGATCATGCCACTGCACTCCATCCTGAGTGATAGAACCAGGCCATGTCTCAAAAAAAAAAAAAAGCCTTTACAATCAGCTATCATCTAAATTACTTTTAATGGAAAGGACTCTGACAAGTTCTCTTAAATATGGTTTCAGATAACTTTGGGGATCATACCATTGGACTAGGAAAATCTTCCAGGACTCTAAAAAGCTGAATGAGAATTTCCAATTGAAATCAAGCAAAACACAAAAAACTGAATGAGAATTGCTATTTGAAATCAAGCAGAACAAGATTTAGTTACATTGGACTGAACTTATAAAAGAAGGAAAAGATTTTATTCATGGCCCTTCCATTGGAAACATTGTTGATTCTCTTTATGTTTTGTTTTCCAAAGTCAAGAATTTTTTTCTTTTCAGCTATTTTTAACTTACCCTACGTTAGAAAAACTACATTTTGAACAAAAATTTAGCCATTTATCTGTCTCTCTAACTGATTTCTCCAGAATTCAGAAGCCATTCGTGAGCATTCCTAAATTATGGCAATATAATTACTTGCATAATTTCAATAAGAATCTGTTTTTGGTAACAGGATTCAATTGGAGACACTGTTTATTTTATAAAGGCTTTAACTCGAACGGCAGATACAACCAGACCACTTTAAGGAATTGAGGTTGACTTTATAGCACCAATGCAAAGCCCCTTAGAATGACTGGCTTGGTGTCTTGTCTACAAGGGTCCTTTACAAAGTTGCTGTCTTTGTGGTAAGAAGTAAAGAATGTCACTTTCTGACGGGCCCAGGAACCTCAAGTTATTTGGGGACCTTGAGAAGATAGGACTACACCCATTCATAAAAGTATTACAGGAGAGTTGGCAAGATGTCTGAATAGGAACAGCTCCGGTCTGCAGCACCCAGTGAGATCAACACAGAAGGCAGGTGGTTCATGCATTTCCAACTGAGCCTCCACTGGTGATACCCAGGCAAACAGGGTCTGGAGTGGACCTCCAGCAAACTCGAGCAAACCTGCAGCAGAGGGACCTGACTGGTAGAAGGAAAGCTAACAAACATAAAGGAATAGTATCAACATCACCAACATCAAAGACCAAAGGTAGATAAATCCACAAAGATGGGGAGAAACCAGTGCAAAAAGGCTGAAAACTCCAAAAGCCAGAATGCCTCTTCTCCTCCAGAAGACCACAACTCCCCACCAGCAAGGGAACAAAACTGGACAGACAATGAGTTTGATGGATTGACAGAAGTAGGCTTCAGAAGGAGGGTAATAACAAACTCCTCCAAGCTAAAGGAGCGTGTTTTAACCCAATGCAAGGAAGCTAAGAGCCTGAAAAAAAAAGGTAGGACGAATTGTTAACTAGAATAACCAGTTTAGAGAAGAATATAAATGACCTGATGGAGCTGAAAAACCCAGCACAAGAACTTCATGAAGCATACACAAGTATCAATAGCTGAATCAATCAAGCAGGAGAAAGAATATCAGAGATTGAAGATCATCTCAATGAAATAAAGCAAGAAGACAAGATTAGAGAAAAAAGAGTGAAAGAAATGAACAAAGCCTCCAAGAAATAGAGGAATATGTTAAAACACTGAATCTATGTTTGATTCGTGTACCTGAAAGTGAGAGAGAGAATGGAACCAAGTTGGAAAACACTCTCAAGGATATTATCCAGGAGAACTTCCCCAACCTAGCAAGACAGGCCAACATTCAAATTCAGGAAATACAGAGAACACCACTAAGATACTCCTCAAGAAGAGCAACCCCAAGACACAAAATCATCAGATTCACCAAGGTTGAAATGAAGGAAAAAATATAAAGGACAGCCAGAGAGAAAGGTTGAGTTACCCACAAACGGAAGCCCATCAGACTAACAGTGGATCTCTTGGCAGAAAGCCTACAAGCCAGAAGAGAGTGGGGGTCAATATACAACATTCCTAAAGAAAAGAATTTTCAAGCCAGAATTTCATATCCAGCCAAACTAAGCTTCATAATTGAAGTAGAAATAAAATCCTTTACAAGCAAATGCTGAGAGATATTTTCACCACCAGGCCTGACTTACAAGAGCTCCTGAAGGAAGCACTAAACATGGAAAGGAACAACTGGTAACAGCCACTGCAAAAACATACCAAATTATAAAGACCATTGACACTATGAAAAAACTGCATCAACTAATGAGCAAAATAACCAGCTAGTATCATAATGACAGGATCAAATTCATACATAACAATATTAACCTTAAATGTAAATGAGCTAAATGCCCCCAATTGAAAGACACAGACTGGCAAATTGGATAAAGAGTCAAGACACATCAATGTGCTGTACTCAGGAGACCCATCTCATACACATAGGCTCAAAATAAAGGGATGGAGGAACATTTACCAAGCAAGCGGAAAGCAACAAAAAGCAGAGGTTGCAATCCTAGTTTCTGATAAAACAAATCTTAAGCCAACAGAGATCAAAAGAGACAAAGAAGGGCATTACATAATGGTAAAGGGATCAATGCAACAAGAAGAGCTAACTATCCTAGACATATATGCACCCAATACAGGAGCACTCAGATTCATAAAGCAAGTTCTTAGAGACCTACAAAGAGACTTAGACTCCCACACAATAATAGTGGGAGACTTTAACACTCCATTGTCAATATTAGATCAATGAGACAGAAAATTAACAAGAATATCCAGGACTTGAACTCAGTTCTGGACCAAGTGGACCTAAAAGATATCTACAGAACTCTCCACCCCAAATCAACAGAATATACCTTCTTCTCAGCACCACATTGCACTTATTCTAAAATTGACCACATAATTGGAAGTAAAACATTCCTCTGCAAATGCAAAAGAATGGAAATCATAACAAACAGTCTCTCAGACCGCAATGCATTCAAATTAGTATGCAGGATTAAGAAACTCACTCAAAACCTCACAACTACATGGAAACTGGGTAACCTACTCCTGAGTGACTACTGGGTAAATAAAGAATTGAAGGCAGAAATAAAAATGTTCTTCGAAACCAATGAGAACAAAGACACAACGTCCCAGAATCTCTGGAACACATTTAAAGCAGTGTGTAGAGGGAAATTTATAGCACTAAATGTCCACAAGGGAAAGCAGGAAAGATCTAAAATTGACACCTTAACATCAAAATTAAAAGAACTAGAGAAGCAATAACAAACAAATTCAAAAGCTAGCAGAAGACAAGACACAAATAAGATCAGAGCAGAACTGAAGGAGATAGAGACACGAAAAACCCTTCAAAAAATCAATGAATCCAGGAACTGTTTTTTTGAAAAGATCAACAAATCAGACCACTAGCCAGACTAATAAAGAAGAAAAGAGAGAAGAATCAAATAGATGCAATAAAACATGATTAAGGGGATATCACCACTGATCCCACAGAAATACAAATTATCATCAGAGAATACTACCAAGACTGAACCAGGAAGAAGTGAAATTCCTGAATAGACCAATAACAAGTTCTGAAATTGAGGCATTAATTATAGCCTACCAACAAAAAAATTCCAAGACCAGATGGATTCACAGCCGAATTCTACGAGAGGTACAAAGAGGAGCTGGTACCATTCCTTCTGAAACTATTCCAAACAATAGAAAAAGAGAGAATCCTCCCTAACTCATTTTATGAGGTCAGCATCACCTTGACACCAAAACCTCGCAGGGACACAACAAAAAGAGAAAATTTTGGACCAATATCCCTGATGAACATTGATGCAGAAATCCTCAATAAAATACTGGAAAACTGAATCCAGCAGCACATCAAAAAGCTTGTCCACCATGATCAAGTCGGCTTCACCCCTGGGATGCAAGAGTGGTTCAACATATGCAAATCAATAAATGTAATCCATCACATAAAGGGAACCAATGACAAAAACTTCATGATTATCTCAATAGATGCAGAAAGGGCCTTTGACAAAATTCAACAACCTTTCATGCTAAAAACTCTCAATAAACTGGTATTGATGGAACGTATCTCAAAATAGTAAGTGCTATTTATGACAAACCCACAGCCAGTAACATACTGAATGTGCAAAAACTGGAAGCATTCCCTTTGAAAATCAGCACAAGACAAGGATACCCTCTCTCACTACTCCTATTCAACATAGTATTGGAAGTTCTGGCCAGGGCAATCAGGCAAGAGAAAGAAATAAAGGGTATTCAATTAGGAAAAGAGGAAGTCAAATGGTCTCTGTTTGCAGATGACATGATTGTATATTTAGAAAACCCCATCATCTCAGCCCAAAATCTCCTTAAGCTGATAAGCAACTTCGGCAAAGTTTCAGGATACAAAATCAATGTGCAAAAATCACAAGCATTCCTATACACCAATAACAGACAAACAGAGAGCCAAACTGTGAGTGAACTCCCATTCACCATTGCTATAAAAAGAATGAAATAACTAGGAATACAACTTACAAGGATGTGAAAGATGTCTTCAAGGAGAACTACAAACCACTCCTCAAGGAAATAAGAGAGGACACAAACAAATGGAAAATCATTCCATGCTCATAGATAAGAAGAATCAGTATCGTGAAAGTGACCAACTGCCCAAAGTAATTTATAGATTCACTGCTATCCCCATTAAACTGCCATTGACTTTCTCCACGAATTGGAAAAATATACTTTAAATTTCATATGGAATCAAAAAAGAGCCCGAATAGCCAAGACAATCCTAACCAAAAAGAACAAAGCTGGAAGCATCATGCCACCTGACTTCAAACTATACTACAAGCTACGGTAACCAAAACAGCATGGTACTGGTACGAAAACAGATATATAGATCAAAGGAACAGAACAGAGGCCTCAGAAATAACACCACACATCTACAACCATCTGATCTTTGACAAACCTGAGAAAAACGAGCACTGGGGAAAGGATTCCCTATTTAATAAATGGTGTTGGGAAAACTGGCTAGCCATAGGCAGAAAGCTGAAACTGGATCCTTTCCTTACACCTTATACAAAAATTAACTCAAGATGGGTTAAAGACTTAAACATAAGACCTAAAGCCATAAAAACCATAGAGGAAAACCTAGGCAATACCATTCAGGACATAGACATGGGCAAAGACTTCATGACCAAAACACCAAAAACAAAGGCAACAAAAGCCAAAATTGACAAATGGGACCTAATTAAACTAAAGAGTTTCTGGACAGCAAAAGAAACTATCAGAGTGAACGGGCAACCTACAAAATGCGAGAAAATTTTTGCAATCTATCCATCTGACAAAGGGCTAATATCCAGAATCTACAAAGAACTTAAACAAATTTGCAAGATAAAACAACCCCAATGAAAAGTGGGCAAAGGATGTGAACAGACACTTCTCAAAAGAGGACAATTATGCAACCAACAAACTTATAAAAAAAGCTCATCATCACTAGTCATTAGAGAAATGCAAATCAAAACCACAGTGAGATACCATCTCATGCCAGTTAGAATGGCGAAAATTAAAGAGTCAGGAAACAACAAATACTGGAGAGAGTGTGGAGAAATAGGAAGGCTTTTACACTGTTGGTGGGAGTGTAAATTAGTTCAACCATTGTGGAAGACAGTGTGGCTATTCCTCAAGGATCTAGAACTAGAAATACCGTTTGGCCCAGCAATCCCATTACTGGGTATATACCCAAAGGATTATAAATCATTCTACTATAAAGACACATGCACATGTATGTTTATTGCAGGACTGTTCACAATAACAAAGACTTGGAACCAACCCAAATGCCCATCAATGATAGATTGAATAAAGAAAATGTGGCACATATACACCATGGAATACTATGTAGCCATAAAAAACGATGAGTTCATGTCCTTTGCAGGGACATGGAAGAAGCTGGAAACCATCATTCTCAGCAAACTAACACAAGAACAGAAAATCAAACACCACATGTTCTCACTCATAAGTGGGAGTTGAACAATGAGAACACATGGACACAGGGAGGGGAACATCACACACTGGGGCATGTTGGGTGGTGGGGGCAGGGAGAGGGATAGCATTAGGAGAAATGCCTAATATAGGTGATGGGTTGATGGGTGCAGCAAACCACCCCAGAATATATATACCTATGTAACAAATCTGCACGTTCTGCACATGTACCCCAGAACTTAAAGTATAATTTTAAAAAGTAGGTTAAAAAAGTATTACAGACACAGCCTGATGCAAATCTTTGACTTGGCTAGCTTCAAGGCTCCTAAAAGTCTAAGATTCCTTATTAAAAATTTCCAACAAAGCCAATTTTAAGGAGCCTATATGGCCAATAAATATTCTTGCTGCTCTTTATGGAAATAATCAGACCCGGTATGATAAGACTAAAACTTATTTTGTATACAAAATTGGTCCTACTATGATTTGTCTTTGATAAAATGATGGATTAGAGAGAAAATTTATGTTCCAAAAGAAAACTATGACATATGCTATTAGATTCCAACCCTGATCATTGTTTTAGAGTTTTTATTATTTGCCTATAATTTGGGCTGAATTCTGAATTATTTCCTGGCTCCAAGTGTTCCCTAGTGAATCTGAATATAATATATTTTTAAAAACTTGTTTTATCCTGTCAGGAATGAGATGTATTTTTGAAGGACTACTTAAACTAGCAATTACAATTCGATTATTATGATTATAGAATCTCGGGATTTCTCTTCCTTCTTGTCAAGGTCTTTACCTGATGTTTGTCTCATTAAAAAAAAAAAATGAGACTGATTACACTCTCCTCAAGACTGAAGACATGTACTTTAACTTGTCTCTGTTACCAGTAAACTAAAGCCTTAACTTTCAGAGTCTGTCAGGGACCCTGTGTGGTCCCTGGATCAACCACCCATGGGCTTATGAATGTGTTGACCACTGGCATATGAGAAGTAATTGTCTATTAGGTTATGTGACTCTTCCTCTTTCTATTTATAACTCCAATGTTTCTGAACACTGAAGTAGTTCATCGAAATTACTTTCCAGGATTAGACAAACCATACCTGCAAACCAAGGAGGTGAATTTTGGCCAATGTTTGGCAGAAGTCACTTGCAATGGTGGGGAGTAACCTCTCATGAACGTATAATTAGAAATCTGTCAACCACTCTAGGTAAATTAGCGAATGAACTAGCTGAAGCCATAGCTACCAAACAAAGATCTTTAGACTCTTTAGCCAGGATAGTCATGGATGACGGAATAACTTTAGGCTGCATAGTGGTGAAACACGGAGAAATTCATATGGCAGCTAGCTAACACATTATGTTGTGTTTAGATCCATGCATCTTCTGAAGTTGAAACAAATGTAAAAAAATAAGACAATATGAGAATTAATTATGACAAATCCTAGGGAAGAGGCTGAAAGAGCTGTAACACAAACAGGGCTGAGTCATGCCCCTTACTTGCCACATTGTGGGCAAAGAGAAGGAAACAAGAGCTGTGACCCTTTGGGAAGCCCAGACCTGGGAGCTCCCCGAGCCAGGGCTGTGATTCCCTCTTTGGGGCCCCGTGGTTCCTGGTATCTCCAAGCTTCCGGGTGCCACTGTGTTCCCAGTGTGCCAGCTGCGGAAGCTGCTTGCGGTGCCCGTGGTCCAGCCACAGACTTGTGGAGAGCTGGCACCCATGTTGGCACCTGGAGCTACCTGCCCCACTGCAGCAGCCAGGAAGTCTGACGGCACAGTGGCCAGACCCCATGCTTGCTCACACACCCCTTGCCACTCCACGCAGTCTCCCTTGGCAAACATGGGATCCAACCTGGTAGCATGAGCTGAGCACAGCCTGCCAGGCTGAGTGGGCGGGGCCCAAGCAAAACTCAGGTAAAGGTGCCACCAGCCATAGAGGTTTCTGTCCAGAAAAGTGACACTCCAAAGATCCCATAACACCGCTACTCTTCCCAGCCTCTGGAAACTCTCAGTCTACTCTCCATCTTGATGAGTTCAATTGTTTTAATTTTTAGCTCCCACAAATGTGTGAGAACATGCAAAGTCTTTCTGTGTCTGGCTCATTGTACTTAACATAATGTTCCCTAGTTCCATCCACGTTGTTGCAAGTGACAGAATCTTATTCTTTTTCATGGCCAAAGAGTACTCCATTGTGTACATGTACTACATTTTCTTTATCCCTTTATCTGTTGATGCACACTTAGGTTGCTTCCAAATCTTGGCTATTATGAATAGTGCTGAAATAAATATGGGAATGCAGATATCTCTTTGATATACTAATTTTCCCTCCCTTGGGTATATACCCAGCAGTGAGGTTGCTGTGTCATATGATAGTTCTATTTTTAATTTTTTGAGGGACCTCCATATTTTTCTCCATAGTGAATGTAATAATTTACATTCCCACCAACAGAGTAAGAGGGTTCTCTTTTCCCTACATTCTTGCAAGCATTTGTTATTGCCTGTCTTTTGCATAAAAGCCATTTTAATGGGGGTAAGATGATATCTTATTGTAGTTTTGATTTGAATTTCTCTGATGATCAGTGATATTGAGCATCTTTTCAAATACCTATTTGACATTTATATATCTTCTTTTTTGTTTTTGTTCATTTTTTGAGACAGTGTCTCACTCTGTCACCCAGGCTGGAGTGCAGTGGTATAATGATGGCTTACTGTAGTTATGACTACCAGGGTTCAAGCAATCCTCCCACCTCAGCCTCCTGAGTAGCTGGTACCACAGGCATGCATCACCATGCCCAGGTAGGTTTTAAAATTATTTGCTATGTTTTTCAGGTTGGTCTTGAACTCCTGGGCTCAAGTGGTCCAACTGTCTTGGCTCCCCAAAATGCTGGAATTACAGGTGTGAGCCACTGGGCCTGATCTGCGTGCCTTCTTTTGAGAAATGTCTGTTCAGATTTTTTGCCCATTTAAATAATTGGATTATTAGTTTTTTTCTTATAGAGTTGTTTGAACTCCTTATATATTCTGGTTATTAATCCCTTGTCAGATATATAGTTTGCAAATATTTTCTTCCATTCTGTGGATTGCCTTTTCACTTTGTCCATTGTTTTCTTTACTATGCAGAAACTTTTGAACTTCATGTGATACCATTTGTTCATTTTTGCTTTGGTTGCCTGAGCTTTTGGAGTATTACTCAAGAAATCTGTGCCCAGACCAATTTCCTGGAGAGTTTCCCTAATGTTTTCTTTCAGTAGTTTCTTGTCCTTGATTTAAGTCTTTAATCCATTTGGATTTGATTTTTGTATATAGCACAAGAGAGGGTTCTAGTTTAATTATTCTGCCAATGACTTTGGGAGGCTGAGGTGGGCAGATCATGAAGGCAGGATATCAAGAATACCCTGGCTAACACGGTGAAACTCCGTCTCTAATAAAAATACAAAAAAAAAAAATAGCTGGGCGTGGTGGGGGCACTTGTACTCCCAGCTACTTGGGAGGCTGAGGAGGAGAATGGTGTGAACCCGGGAGGTGGAGCTTGCAGTGAGCCCAGATCGCACCACTGCACTGCAGCCTGAGCAACAGAGCTAGACTCCATCTCAAAAAAAAAAAATTCTGCCAATGAATATCTAGTTTTCCCAGCACAATTTGGTGAAGAGACTGTCCTCTCCCCCATGTATATTCTTGGCACCTTCATTGAAAATGAGTTAGTTGTAAATGTAAGGATTTATTTCTGGGTTCTCTATTCTGTTCCATTGGTCTATGTGTCTGTTTTATGCCAGTACCATGCTGTTTAGCTTACAATTGCTCTGTAGTATAATTTAACGTCAGGTGATGTGATTCTTCCAGTTTTGTTCTTTTTGCTACGGATGGCTTTGGGTATTCTGGGTCTTTTATGATTTCATATAAATTTTAGGATTTTTTTTCTGTTTTTCTGTGAAGAATGTTATTCGTATTTCAATAGGGATTGCGTTGGATCTGTAGATTGCTTTGTGAAGTATGTGTATTTTAACAATATTTACTCTTCCAATCAATGAACATGGACTATCTTTCCATTTTTTTTGGTGTCTTATTTAATTTTTTTGCATTGGTGTTCTATAGTTTTCATCGTAGAGATCTTTCACTTCTTTTGTTACATTTATTCCTAGATATTTTATTTTATTTGTAGCTATTGTAAATGGGATTACGTTCTTGATTTTCTTCTTTAGATTCTTCAGTTTTGGCATTTAGAAATGTTACTGATTTTTGTATTTTGATTTTGTATCGTGTGACTCTGAATTTGTTGATCAGTTCGGATAGTTTTTTGGTGGAGTTCTTAGGTTTTTCCAAATATAAGATTAAATCACCTGCAAACAAGAAAACAATAATAATTTTACTTCTTTCAATTTGGATGCCCTTAACTGTTTTTCAATTTTCTTGATTGCTCTAGCTAGGACTTCCAGTACTATCTTGAGTAACATTGTTGGAAGTGGACATTCTTGCCTTGTTCCAGATCTTAGAAGAAAGGATTTCAGGTTATCTCTGTTCAGGATGATACTGGCTGAGGGTCTGTTGCATATGGTTTTTATTGTGTTGTGGTATGTTCCTTCTAAATCTAGTTTTTTGGGGGGTTTCTTTTTATCACAGGGATGTTGGATTTTATTAAATGCTTTTCAGCATGAATTGAAATTACCATATGGTTTTTGTCCTTCATTCTGTTGATATGATGTGTCACATTGATTGATTTGCATATGTTGAACCATGTTGGCATCCTTGGGATGAATCCCACTTAGACATGATGAATGGTCTTTTTCATAGAATGATTTTGGAAATATTACAGACTTCTCTGTTTTTTGGAATAGTTTGAGTAGGATTGATAGTAATTCTTCCTTCAATGTTTGGTAAAATTAATCAGTGAAGCCATTGGATCCAGACGTTTCTTTGCTAGGAGATGTTTTATTATGGGTTCAATCTCATTTATCCAGTTCTTCTAGGTTTGTGGTTTGGTTGTGTTTTTTTTTTTTTCTTTTTCTTTTTTTTGAGATGGAGTCTTGCTCTGTCACCCAGGATGGAGCTTGGTACAATCTCAGCTCACTGCAACTTCTGCCTCCCAGGTTCAAGCGATTCTCCTGCCTCAGCCTCTGGAGTAGCTGGGAGTACAGGTGCACGCCACCATGCCTGGCTAATTTTTGTATTTTTAGTAGAGATGGGGTTTCACGATGTTGGCCATTCTGGTCTTGAACTCCTGATCTCAGGTGATCACCTGCCTTGGCTTCCCAAAGTGTTGGGATTACAGGCATGAGCCACGGTGCCTGGCCATTACTTGCAGGTTTTTCAATTTATTGGAATATAGTTGGTCATAATAGTTTCCAATGATTACTTGAATTTCTGCAGTATCATTTGCAGTGTCTCCTTTTTAATCTCTGGTTTTATGTATTTGAGTCTTCTCTCTTTTCTCTTAGTCTGGCTAAATGTTTGTTGATTTTGTTGATCTTTTAAAAAATATTAACTTTTCATTTCATTGATATTTTATATTTTTAAGTTTCAATTTCATTTATTTCTGCTCTGATCTTTGTTATGTTTCCTTCTACTAATTTTGGTTTTGGTTTGCTCTTGCTTTTCTAACTATTTAAGATGCATTATTAGGTTGTTTATTTGAAGTTTTTCTACTTTTTTTGATGTAGGTGCTTTTTGCTATAAACTTACTCCTTAGTACTGTTTTTACTGTATCCCATAGGTTTGTTTTTTTTGTTTTTTTGTTTTTATTTTTGGAGATGGAGTCTCTCTCTGTTGCCCAGGCTGGAGTGCAGTGGTGCAATCTTGGCTTACTACAAGCTCTGCCTTCTGGGTTCATGCCATTCTCCCACCTCAGCTGAGTAGCTGGGACTACAGGTGCCCACCACCATATCCAGCTAATTTTTGTTTTTTGTATTTTTAGTAGAGACGGGGTTTCACCATGTTAGCCAGGATGGTCTCGATCTCCTGACCTCGTGATCCACCTGACTCGGCCTCCCAAAGTGCTGGGATTACAGGCATGAGCCACTGCGCCTGGCCTGTATCCCATAGGTTTTGGTTTGGCTTTAAAGTTTTTCTCTTCTCAAAAACTCAGTGTCATGTTACTGGCTTCTAGTGCTTTGGGCAGCGAGACCCTTTTACTTCATAACAGTGGTAGCTGGCACAACTTGGCAATGTAAATAAATAAACGGCATCTAGATTGGAAAGGAAGAAGTACAGTTATCTTTATGTACAGATGACATGATCTTGCATTTAGAAAATCATAAGAAATTTACTAAAAAGTGTTAGGACTCATGAACAAATTTAGGAATGTAACACTATATAAGATTGGTATACAAAAATAACTGTATTTCTTTACCAAGAAATCAAGAATCCAAAAATGGAATTACAAAAATAAATCTTGTTATAATAGAATTAAAGCTGGGGTAACTTTAACATAAGAAGCTTAAACTTGAACACTAAAAACTACAATGCATGGTTAGTGTTGGAAACACCCAGGTACCATCCCTGAGCCTTCTCTCCTGGGCTCTGAGGATTTTACCTTCACGGGGTGAGGAAAGGGTTTACATTCTTGGCTTTTACATTATATTAGGTGGGTTCGGGGTGAGGTATCTGCAAGTCAAATGAGTATTACAATCTCTACTTTTATGTATAGGAGACTGGGGCCCACAAAGAGAGGGAATGAAAATCCATATCCTGGAAGGCGAATTGTCAGGCACTGATTTCCCCTATGTAACCCCTGCCAATCATCGTGTATTTAAAGGATCTCCAGATACCTTACCAATAGGTGTTCAAGAGAGAGGCCTGTAATCTAGGTGTCTGAGAAAACAAGGCTAGAGATTCCAATATTGGAGACAACAGTGCTCTGGGAAGATTAAGGTTGAGTTTTCTGGATCTGCAGAATAGAGTCACTGAGGAGCAATTGAAAGTTCAGAGGAGATGAAAGAACAACTCAGGGCATGCTTAGGAAAAGAGAAAACCAGGGATAGGTTTTAGGCAAGAGTCACACTGAGGAAGGGCAGGTTCTTGGCGTCGCTCAGGAAGGAATCCAAAAGCAAGCCTGTGGTGGAATAAAGCAGCTCTATGGAGGCATTGGCGGTGTTACAGCCCTGCGTCCGCTCCTGCAGGGCAGGGAGCCCTCCGTGGGTTGTGCTCCCAGAGTAGCAGCCTAGGGGTGGCTTGTAGTCATTTTTATAATTCACTTTTAATGACATGCTAATTAAGGGGCGGGTTACTCAGAAATAGCTAGAAATGGGCAGTAACTTCCAGCTGTTTCCATGGCAAGGGGTGGGGACTTCCTGTGCTGCCATGGCACTGGCAAACTGTCACAGCACTGGTGGGAACATCTTCTGGTGATCTGAGGTGTGAAGTGCTTTCGCTGCCTCTCCCAGTTTCCTCTGTGCCTCTTACCTGAAAGCCCTTCACACCCCCATCTACCCACCTACAAAGTTCACTGCCCTTTCACCCCACACCCATTTCACACGCACTCCCACATCAACTCCAAACATTCAAGCTGGCAATTTCCCTGTTAGGAACCTCGGTGGTAGCCGGAGCTCTGAAAAACCCCTAGGCAGAACTCCTTGCCTAGTTTGTGGCAGAAATCAGGGAAGGAAAGGCAAAGTTCAGGTATTTTGCACAATAAATAAATAAAGATAGGTAGATTTGATTGATGGATGGATGGAGGAAACCTGGGAGTTTATGGGTAAATGTTCATCGGACACTGGAAGTGTAAGTTGTCACAAAGATTATGGAGTGCACTTGTCTTATGACCCTGTTATTTTATCCTAGTATATACACTAGAGCATTTTTTTCTAACTGTGTAAATTGAAAGCTCACATATTAGTTTAGTGAGAGAAAAGATAGCAGATTGGAAGAGAATTACCATATTCATTAGTTGTGTTTTTAAAAATTTAAAGTAAAATAGAGACATGATTTTTTTCATGCTTTCGAATGCATCTATAAAAAATAGACTTGAGGGCTGGGAGCGGTGGCTCACGCCTGTAATCCCAGCACTTTGGGAGGCCTAGGAGGGCGGATCACGAGGTTAGGAGTTAGAGACCAGCCTGATCAACATGGTGAAACCCCGTTTCTACTAAAAATACAAAAATTAGGCGAGTGTGGTGGCGCCCGCCTGTAATCCCAGATACTCAGGAGGCTGGGGCAGGAGAATCTCTTGAACCTGGGAGGCAGAGTTTGCAGTGAGCCAAGATCGCACCATTGCACTCCAGCCTGGGTGACAGAGCGAGACTCCATCTCAAAAGAAAAAAAGTTACTCATTAACAGCATAGACCAATTGGTTTCTATTGGAATTTCTCCATTATTTTCACAATGTCCCAGGCTGTGAAACCAGGATTTAATAACGAACCAGAATGCCACATCTGTGTCACGTGGGTAGGGACCAGTCCTGATCCATCAAGTCCGGGTCTCCGGGTAACTGGACTCACTGCTGGGCAAAACAGAATGTCCGGCGTGCGTTCCTAACGGGGGACCACAGAGCCTCATAGGAAATGTAGTGTCACCTTCCAATGATGTTACCATGAAGGACCTTGGGAACCAGCTTTTCTCTCTGCGCATGCGCCGCCCCGCCCACTTCGCCATTTTCCTCCGGAAGTGCGGATCCCAGCGGCCGTCCTGTAGCTGAGCAGGCCTGGGGCTTGGTTCTATGTCCCTGTGGGTAGGTGTGAGGGCGAAGAGGAACCTGTGGGCCTCGGGGGATCCTGGGGGGCCAGACCAGTGTTCCCCATTTGTGGGGGCAGACGCGTGAGCGCATCGCGGGCAGGAGGGGCCTGACGTGCATTTGCGGGCCGTGGACCCTGGCGGGGGCTGGGAGGACAGGCGTGGGGTCCCAGCAGTGAAGCGGGTTCCAGAGGCGCAGGAGTGGGTAGGCGAGGGTGGTGGCCCTGGGCCCGGAGTCTGCAGGCCGCGCTCCTGTCCTGCCGCTGAGAGACCCGGTTACCAACCCTCATGTAGCTCAGTTTGCCCATCTGTCCCGGTGCTAACACACAGTTCTCGGGAGACGTTCCCCATTCCCAGAGGAGTAGTGCGAAATGCGTGTGCCTCTAGTCTTAAGCTGGGCGTTTGTATTAGTTGGGTTTCCTGGTGTCTATTTGGCAAGTGAAGCTTCTGGTTCCCTCCTTCACTGTGTGACCTGCCTAGTCCTCCTGGATTGCATTTATGGAAGTTTATACGAGACCTAGTTTCCATGGAGGAACTCACTGATTCCGCGAGGGAGATGGGGTACTGGATGATGGTCTTCAGCCTTAAGGGTACTTCAGTCTTAACTGTGTGTTATAAAGTTCGAAAGGGAGGGTTCCCTATGAATAAGAAGCACACTTGAAAGAACAGCCCTCTGGTCTAACCTCTCACTAGTGCTTCAGAGGAGGATAAAAGGTCACAGGTGAAGATCCCAGTTTTCCTCGCTCAGGAAATATTAATTCTACTCCCTAGAATGCACAAGATTTGCAAAGACTAGGTGATAGTGGAAGGTTTGGAAGAACTTTCAGAAGGTTGAGGTGAATTCAGCTGAGAAGAACAGGCAAGGAGCTAGGAAATATTCCTTATTTGAAGGGGCCTGAAAGTGTGGTCTGGGGTGCAGGAGTGACCTGTCATACTTGAAAAGATTGAAATACTCTCCAAATACAGTCCCTTTCCTTCAACCTTAGCTTGTTGTTTCCAGTGTCTGAGATATATTAAACCTAGTCCATCACCAAATTTAGCATAGATTGTGAAGTTCTATTGATTGCATTTCATTTGTAATTTAAGACTTTCTCCCCCTACATAATTTCGTTAAAAACATATTGAATTCTATTCACTTAGGTGTAACAGTTAATATTTGCTGTTCAAGGAACTAATTAAACCTTACTGGCTTATAAAAAACAACCACCATTTTATTTGTTTGAAGTTCTGTGGATCTGCATTTTGGTGTGGTGGGTTCAGCTGGGTAGTTGATATATTTGTGTTGCCTGGATCACAAAACAGGCCTTAGTCGCCTGGTGCCTTGACTGAGCCTGGTTGGTTTAAGATAGTTTCCTTCACAATCTGGCGGTTTGTGGTGACTCTTGGCTAGGCAATGTGTCTCCAACAGGGTAGCTCCAGACCTCTTCACAATATGACTGTGTCCAAAAAGGCAAGAACCAATGGATATTTGCATCACATTTTCCATTGTCCATTCTCTGGACAAGTCAGATGGAAAAGCCCAATTTATTGTCAGAGCATAATATGAGGGCTTGGATACAGGGAAAGGTGTTATTGGGAAACATGTGTAGAATGGTGTACTGCCGGAAATACATATTATGTACATTTTAAAAAACGTAGGCCAAAATTGCTGGGTTGCAAGATGTACTTTCCATGATGTTGAGGTATAGAAAAGCAAGATGTACTGTCATGGGAATACTCATATGAAGTTATTTGTGGAATCCACATATTAATAGGAAAATAGTTAATACAGCCCAGTATATTTCTATAACATTTATTTTAGTGAACTTATAATGTTTCTTTGTATTAAATTATTAGATTATATCTTTAGGTAATATTGTTACTAAATTAGTAGGTAATACATATTTTTATTCAAAAATAAATTGTACATCTAATGCCTACCAATTAATGTACTTGTAGATGTATCTTATCTTAACTTGAGTCTTTGCTGCCCCTAATGAGGTGTGAAGGACTCTTCTCCCATGGGGAAGTTTTTCTTTTTCCGGAGGGAGGAGGGCTTTTCCAGGTAATGTGTCTAGAGTGTTGGGCAGAAGAATCTGGGACCACACCTCACCAGTTCTCTCCTTAATCGATGTCATTTGCCTTCTCTTCCAGCTATGTTTCCAGTGTCCTCTGGGTGTTTCCAAGAGCAACAAGAAACGAATAAATCTCTGGTGAGTTGTTTATTTGTTCTTCACTTTGTTTTACACTGTATTTTCTGAGTTTATGGGTGTCTGTGAATTAAAAAGCAAAAGTGGAAATAAGTAAAACTCAGGTTGAAGGAAATATACATAAATAAGATAAAGCTGACCTGTAGATATAGACAGGTTATAAAAGCTTAGAGTTGTCTAAGTTGAGTGCAAAGTTTCCTCTGATCTTTCTGATGCCAAAACAAAAAAGGCAGTCATGTTTGTTACGTGATTGGAATGGAACCCGAAAAGAGAGCATGCTGTGTTCTTGTGGGACAGGAAAGCTTGTGTGCACCAAGGCTTAACCACCACCTTCACTGGTGACATAGATTATGTGCTGGAACATATTTCACACTGGTCTGGCAGTAAGCACTTGTAGTGTTGTGCAGTGGAAACAGTCATCTTCCGCTAAGGCATGTCATGTTGTGCAGTGGAAATGGTCATCTGACGCTAAAGCACAGCGTGTTGTACAGTGGAAATGGTCATTGTCTGCTAAAGCACGGCGTGTTGTGCAGTGGAAATGGTCATCTACTGCTAAAGCACAGCTTCCATCATAAGGTATGCTCCTTACTCAAAGAGTGTGGTCCCAAACAGCTTTTGGGAGGTCCTCCTTGACTCATGGATGAAACCTGGAATGTCTTGAGGACTGAGTTAACCACAGGTCCTTAAATAACTCTCCACACATTTTTCTTAGTTTATCTCTACATGCAGGGTGTGCAGCAGCCTGTTCAAAGTCATATTTTCTGGGAAATATTTTCAGTGTTTATTTGCAATTTAGCCCACTCTGTGTAGTCTTAACTTATTTCTTCTAAACTCACCATTAACCCAAATAATAGTCAAATTTAGGGGAGCTGTATTTGTCTTACTCGAGTCTTCTACCATAGTTGAAACTGTCGTACCCAAGCGAGTTAGAGAGAAATGCCACACTTTGAGACGAATTCAGGAGTCCGTTATTAGCTGGTGACTGAGAGATGGCTAACACAGGAAATACTCTCGGCCCTAAAGAATGGGCTAGATTTTCTTTTATACATTGGTTTAGAGAGGGGAGGGGGGATTCCAGCTGCAATAAACTTACAGAAGAAAAAACAGACAAAAAACTTAAAAAGACAGATGGTTACAGGAAAACAAACTGTTCCAGGTGCAGAGGCTTTAAATTCACCACAAAGTGATGTGTGAGGGGGCTCTGGACATTATCTGCCAGACAAATGTGGGGGCTTTATGATATTATCTCTGAGTAATTTGCTGGGAACTGCGGATATCACTTGCCTCAGCACTTTATCAGTTAATTGCACTCTTTGATATGTTGAAAATCAGCTTGCACAAGTTAAAGTCCTTGAGGAAAGGGGGTGGGTAAGGAGCCCTTGATATCTTGTAAATGAAGGAGCCAAATGGAGTTTGTCTGGTTTTCTCAGCTAAGGGAGAGTCTATTCATCTTAAAAACAAGGTTAGCTATCTAAGGAAGAGCCTATTCATGTTAATACAACGTTGGGTATTACAAAACGTCTGTTCATGATCTGGAAATTCTTCCGTGTTAGTTCTGTTAAAAGAAAAACTTTAAAGGAGTTTAATTGAGCAATAAACAATTCACGAATCGGAAAGTCCCCAGAATCACAGCAGATTCACAGAGACTCCAGCATAGTCATGTGGTGGAAGAAGATTTATAGACAAAAGGGAAGTGGCATACCGAAATCGGAAGTGAAGTACAGAAACAACTCAGCATTTGCCTTGTTTGAGCACAGTTTGAACATTTGGCAGTGCCTGAGTGGTTGAAGTTTGGCCATTGGGATTGGCCAAGATGTAGCTGTTGTTTGAGGTGCATACACTCAAGTTAGGTTTTCATTCTTGTTTACCTATCAAGGTAGGTTGCAGGTCATCCACAAGGACTCATATATATAATTATGGAGTCCTTCTCAGGACATACTTAGTTCACTTTAACAATGCCTTCCCTTTGGTTATTTTCTCAATTTTGAGAGATTGGCCAAAACTTCAGTCACTGGTGTCACTATTACCATTGCAAATGTACTTATTTGGTTTAGAAGCCCACTGGGAAATAGAACAGTGAGATTTGAAAAGGTGGAACAAGGACTTGAGTAGAAGGTGTCTTCTTATGCTGGAACATCCTGTTTACAGGAGAAAAACAAAACCTGGTTTGTTCTAGGATTTATGTGTTTCCTTAAAGTCTTAATTTGATTATGTTCCATTTAGCATGAGTGACTCCATTTTGGTTTGGTTTGTTCTGTTGGGACCTATTGCATGAGCTTAGTTCAAAACAATGGCCTCCCATAATTTTGCTTAAAAATTCCTCCTTTTGGCTGGGCGCGGTGGCTCATGCCTGTAATCCCAGCACTTTGGGAGGCTGAGGTGGGCAGATCACGAGATCAGGAGATTGAGACCATCCTTGCTAATACGGTGAAACCTCATCTCTACTAAATACACAAAAAAATAGCCAAGCATGCTGGCGGGTGCCTGTAGTCCCAGCTACTCAGGAGGCTGAGGCAGGAGAATGGCCTGAACCCAGGAGGCAGAGCTTGCAGTGAGCCGAGATCATGCCACTGCACTCCACTCTGGGGGACAGAGCAAGACTCTGTCTCAGAAAAAAAAAAAAAAAATCCTCCTTTTTAGTCAAGTTGTCACTTAGTTGAGAGTGTGACCAAAATGTAGGGCCTTAGCCTCACTCTTAGTTACCATTGTTTTGCGTTTCCAGTTTAGCACATCACTCCCATTGTTTGGGTTCTGGTTTTAGCATGTTACTCCCATTGTTTTGGGTTTCTGGTTTAGCACGTCACTCCCATTGTTTTGGGTTCTGGTTTTAGTACATCACTCCCATTGCTTTGGGTTCCGGTTTTAGTACATCAGTCCCATTGTTTTGGGTTTCTGGTTTAGCATGTCACTCCCATTGTTTTGGGTTTCCAGTTTAGCATGTCACTCATAGGTTATGGTGTCCTTATGGTTGCACATTTTTTTTAATCTGTTGTCATTCCAGTTGAAGAGATACCAATTGACATTTTAGAGATGGCTGCATGCAAACTCTTAAAACATTTGAGTAAGTACAGTGCACCAGGGAGACTCTTATGACTATTTGGATAACACCAAGAATTTGGTGTATGCTCCTTACTCAGGGTCCCCATAAATCAAACCATCTAAAATCAAATAGATTAAAGAATGAATTAGATAAAGAGTTTACTTGCTTAACTAAGTGGGATTTTTTGTTAATTCCTTACAACAAAATCTTTATAATACCCAATGTTTTCTCCATATGCCATGTTAGCAGCTGCACAGATACTTAAGATAAGAGTCTCATGAGAGTAGAGAAGTCTTGATCTGTGATCTTGGGAAAAGCTGTTCACATTAAGGATGCCATCTTCTTCTGGGGGGGAACTGTCCTTGTTAGCTTTACCTTAAGGGTTCCAGAGGGTGTATGGTTCCGAGTGTGGAGGGACCCTTCTGAGTTGTAAGACTATGAACCCAAAGTTTAAGGTTTTGAAGTTTTGCTGTCACGTGGATGGCAAGGGCAGTCCTCTGATGTTCTCAGAAAATCCAGTCATCAGATTCTAGATTGTGAAGGGGTTGGCTGTCCTCTGTGAACCATAAAAGGCTTTCTTTAGCTGGTGAAAATACAATTCAGCATAATAATCTACTGTTTTAACATCAACCCTCTTGCATGGAAGAGCTTTTATACAATCAGAAAACATGCACTGAAAATTACAACTGAATGAAATCCCTTTATAAAATGTTTAAATGGCCCATCAGGTAACCAAATGTACCTGAAGTTTTGATTGTTTTCCTAGGAATATAGGTTCGACAAACCAAACATTGATTATAAACTATTCTAGCAATTTAGAGATCACCACAGCAATATATTTAATTTGGATCATTTTCTCTTTCCATGATGAGTTATGGAATGCAGAACTTTTAATAACAAAAGTTTTAAGGACTTAAGATGGACAAGGTGGCCATCCTGGTCCTTCATAAGTCCATGCTTAATTAACATTAGACTTACATCCTCTTGAATACCAGCTGTTTCTTCAAATTAGGTGCATGGCACTGGTAACTGATGAGTTATAGGTAATTTGGCTTAGACCATGGAGTTTATTTAAATTATATATCTAAACAATTTCAATATTGGTGATTTAGCATGCAAATCTGGCAAAATATTTCCTTGATATTCAATTTTTGTTTTACTTGGGTTAGCAGTTTTATAAACCAGTTGGTCTTCTTATTAAACTTTAGGATTTTTTTTTTTTTTTTTTTTTTTTTTGAGACAGAGTCTCACTCTGTTACCTAGGTTGGAGTGCAGTGGCACAATCTTGGCTCACCGCAACCTCCGCCTCCTGGGTTCAAGTGATTCTCCTGCCTCAGCCTCCCGAGTAGCTGGGATTACAGATGCATATCACCACACCCGGCTAATTTTTGTAGTTTTAGTAGAGGCGGGGTTTCACCATTGGCCAGGCTGGTCTCAAACTCCTGACCTCAAGTGATCCACCGGCCTCAGCCTCCCAAAGTGCTGGGATTGCCAACATGAGCCACTGCACCCAGCCTAACTTTTGTGAATTCTTAACCAGTCCAATTATTGGGGGATCGGGGAACTTATGGGGAATTTTTACCCATGATATTAAAGTTATTAGAAACCTGTGTTCCCGAGTGTTTTTCATGGTCCTTTTCATTCTTTCATGAATCTTCTATTCTAGAATTTTGCATGCTTGTGAAGTTTTTAGAAACTGCATCACCTTTAAGCAATTAACTGTGGGAATGACTTTAAATAGTTATAGTTAAAGACAATTGATAAGGAAATTTGGTTATTTCTGTGGTCTACAATAACTTAATAACCATAATTAGGGTGGATGTGGTGGCTCATTATTGTAATCCCAGCTCTTTGAGAGGCCAAGTTAGGTGGATCACCTGAGGTCAGGAGTTTGAGACCAGCCTGGCCAACATGGTAAATCCCTGTCTCTACTAAAAATAAAAAAATTAGCTGGATGTGGTGGCAGTTGTCTGTAATCCCAGCTACTTGGGAGGCTGAGGCAGGAGAAATGCTTGAACCCAGGAGGTGGAGGCTTCAGTGAGCCTAGATCACACCATTGCACTCCAGCCTAGGTGACAAGAGTGAAACTCTGTCTCAAAGCAAACAAAACAGGTAATTATGATAGATAGCATATAGGCATATTAGAATTTTAGAATCCTGGCCGGGTGCAGTGGCTCAGGCCTGTAATCCCAGCACTTTGGGAGGCCGAGGTGGAAGGATCACGAGGTCAGGAGATGAGAACATCCTGGCTAACACGGTGAAACCCCGTCTCTACTAAAAATACAAAAATTAGCTTGGCATGGTGGTGGATGCCTGTAGTCCCAGCTACTCGGGAGGCTGAAGCAGGAGAATGGCATGAACCCAGGAGGCGGAGGTTGCAGTGAGCCGAGATTGTGCCACTGTACTCCAGCCTGGGTGACAGAGCAAGACTCCGTCTCGGGGGAAAAAAAAAAAAGAATTTTAGAAATCCTATACAATTTTAGAACGGGTTGATGACATAAACTAAATATAACCTGAAGAAGGTTCAACATTATGTTTTATTTTGACAGTGCTACCCATGTGACTTAACATGTTAAATAGTCTTGTTTACCTCTCTTTTGTGTGCTTCAAGGGCCTCTGTAGTATCCCAAAGTTAGAGGTCGGAAAAGACAATTTTGAAGTTGAAATTTGATTTTGGGAAGCCTATTAAATATATTAAAAGTTTAAACACTTGATGTTATGAAATAGAATTCCAGGTCACCGTAAGTCATTCATTTACTTAAAATCATGACTTAAAAAAAGTTTTAAAGGGCAAAAATCTTTACTCATTGATAGAGGGAAGACTTATCTTCACAAACGATCTGCCTCTTGTTTTTCCTTTTTTTTTTTGTTTGGTAGTTTATTTAAAAGGCAAACAAATTTTTCATTATTTTTTAATATTACCTGAACATCTTCTTTAAAGAGAGAAAGCCAAATGTCACCCACTTTTTCATAAAACCTTATAGACAAATCTATTATTCTTTCTTTTTTTTTTTTTTTTTTTGAGATGGATTTTCCCTCTTGTTGCCCAGGCTGGAGTGCAATGGTGTGATCTCGGTTCACTGCAACCCCCTGCCTCCCGGGTTCAAGCAATTCTCCTGCCCCAGCCTCCTGAGTAGCTGGGATTAGAGGCATGTGCCACCGTGCCCAGCTAATTTTGTGTTTTTAGAAGAGACGGGGTTTTTCCTTGTTTGTCAGGCTGGCCCTGAACTCCTGACCTCAGGTGATCCACCTGCCTCAGCCTCCCCAAGTGTTGGGATTACAGGCACGAGCCACTGCACCTGGCCATTTTTTTTTTTTTTAAAGATTGTGTCTTGCTCTGTCACTCTCCTCACCACATTATAGCTCTGGGGCCAAGCTGCATCACAATGGAAAATCATGGAATCACAGGAAGAATCCACTCAGCTTTGCAAGATGCTGCCCAAGGGGTTGCTTGGAGTAACCAAATTAACATTTTTCATTCTGCCCAGAGCAAAATACATGTGACAAAACATAGACACGTGCCACTTTGCTCAGCACCCAGTATCAAACTGGTAAGACTCAAACTTGCTCCCAGATGGGCCGAGCCATCTCTAAATCTTTTTAGAAGCTTCTGCATATTAATAGGCATCCCTAGATAAGACTAATTTGGGAGCCCTCATTTTTAAATGCACTTCAGGGCATTATTCATTTGGAATGTTCCACTGTAAGTTATCTTAATAAGATTTTGCCATTTCTGTAAGACTTTGCTGCTTCCCAGGCCTAATATATTAGCCAGAAGGAGCTTAGTTTTCCAGAAATTAAGGATCCTATTGTTACCTAAAATATTGGCTTTACTCCCCGGTTCCCTTCATTAACTTAGCCAATGATTTTTTTTTCTTGCCTAAGCGTGTGAGAAAATGAAACAAAGGGGTAGAACACAAAAATCCCTGTGAATTTTCAAAAGCCAAATGTTACAACCTTCCAATATTATCATTTACTACCACTTTCCTTCTGACCCAGTCAGATGTAGGAGGCCTCTAACTCGAACTGGATTCAAGCCAGTTAACTACTGGATCAAATCTGATCCTGGACCCGGTCTCTTTTCTGCCATAACGTCTAAAACATCCAGCCAGTCATGGCTGGATAGCAGTTTGGAACAGAAATTTGCTCAAAGAAACTCAGAGCTCAAAACACAAATCCATGGAGCTCTGAAATCCGAGAGAAAATTTACCATGATCCCTAGCTGCTGCAAGAGATCAAAGGACACAAGTGTTAGAGAATCCTGAGGTGTCACTTTTCTGCCTGAAACCTCTGGCTGGTGGAGCCTTTACCTGTGCTTTGTTCGGGCCCACTGGGTTAGTTCTGTCCACTCAGCCCATGCTAGTGGTCTGGATCCCACACCTGCCAAGGGCGAGCTGGGTACAGAGCAGTGAGGGGTGTGTGAGCAAGCGAGCATGGGATCTGGCCACTTCACTCAGCCAAGCATGCCAGCTGCAGTGGGGTGGGCAGCTCCAGGCACAGGTGCCATCTCCCTGTGAGGCTGCAGCTGGACCAGGCCAACTGCAAACAGCTTCCACTGTGGGTATCAGGGAATGCAGTGGCACCCAGAAGCTTGGAGATGCAGGACCTGCAGAGCCCCAAAGAAGGTGTCACAGCCCTGGCTGGGGGAGCTCCTAGGTCTGTGTTCCCTGAAGGGACACAGCTCTTCTCTCCTTCTCTCTTCTCTTCTTCTTGCCTGCAATTTGGCAAGCAAGGAGTGCGTTTCAGCCCTGTTTATGTTACACCTCTTTCAGCCCTGCTAGTTGGCAGGTCCCGAGTTCTTGTCCTGAGTCCAGGAAAAATGAGGTGTGTGGACAAGTAGAAGGTGAGCAAGGTGAAGAGGTGCTTTATTGAGCCACAGTGCAGCTCAGAGGAGACCTGCAGTGGGTAGCTCCTTTCTGCAGGCAGGTCATCCCAACGTCTGTTCAGCTCTCAGCAGCTGAGAGGAGACGCACTGTGGGTAGCTGTGCCCATAGTGCCCAGGCGTTCAAGCTGAGGAGGGCCTTTCTGCCACTGCTGAGCCACTCTTAGCCCCACCTCAGCCTCCCTCCTGTGCTTGCCAGTGCCCAAAGTCTGGAGGGGGCCGAGGTGGCAGGGGACTGGCATGTCAGCACTGCCCTGAGCTTGCACAAACTGGGCCGGGTTGTGACTGTGCCCGGGTTTGGCCTCAACTTGGATCCGAATTTGGAGTGGGCTCTGGAAGCAGAGAGACGCCAGGTGGCAGGACCAGGTACAACTGAGCCTGCCGGTCAGGGGAGCTTGCTGGGCCTCTGAGAGTGCAGAGATGCCCAGGTTTGCAGTCATGGCTGGATGGCTGCAGCTGTGCCTGGGAGGGTGGGGCTCCTGCCTGATAATTTAGAAGGGGCAGGTCTCCCATCCATTCCTGGCTCCCACCAGCTTTGAGGAGCGCACAGCCCCAGCCACTCCTCCCCACTGCAGCCAGTGTCTCCATAGCAACTGCTCCACGTGGGCCACTGCTGCCATCAC
Organism: Homo sapiens; assembly: GCF_000001405.40. NCBI lineage: Eukaryota > Metazoa > Chordata > Mammalia > Primates > Hominidae > Homo > Homo sapiens. Next base: position 11,204,201 of record NC_000024.10, on the reverse strand, counting down.
AAACGGGTCCTTTCAGGTTCCTTCCTTGTACCTCAGCACTCTGGGGGTCATTAGAAGCCTTAGCAACACTGCCCACCACAGTATAGCTCCAGAGGCCCTAGCAGTCCTGCTCCCACAGATCCCACCTCTGACACCATCTATTAAAAGAAAATCTTCAGCTGAATTAAATTTAAAGGAACTTAATTGAGCAATGAATGATTCACGAATCAGGCAGCCCCCAGAATCACAGCAGATTCAGTAAGACTCCAGCACAGACACATGGTGGAAGATTTATAGACAATAAAGGGAACATGATGTACAAAAATCTGAAGTGAGGAGTGAGGTCTAGAAGCAACTGGGTCCATTACAGTTCTCAGCATTGAGGTCCAGAAACAACTGGACAGGTTACAGTGCTCAGCATTTGCCTTATTTGAACACAGCTGAACATTCAGCAGTGTGTGAGTGGCAGAAGTTTGGCTGTTGGGATTGGCCAGGACTCAGCTACTGTTTTAGGTACATACTCCTAAGTTAGGTTTTCAGTCTTTCTACCTATTAAGTTAGGTTGCAGTTTGTCCACAGGGACTCAAATCTAGAAGTACAGAGTCCTTCCCAGGCCATATTTAGTTCACTGTAACAGTTCCTATTATGACCTCACTGACAGTTCTTTTTCTCTGAATTCTCCTTTCTTCTCAACAGCTTATCCAAATGTTCCATTGGTCCCTGTTCATCTTGCCCTGCAGTTCTCCTTGACTGATTCAGCCCTTTGTGGTTTGCAGTCCTGTTTCTCTACAGCTTGGACCTCTTCAGTCTTTCCATCATAGGTTTAACTCTCTGTTGAATGCTTCTTTGTAGCTATCCAAATTTACCTTAAGCTCAAAAAATTCGAAGTGAAAGCCACATCCTCTTCTCTTCCTTTATGTGTATGGCATTACAACCATGCAGCCAGTGACCCAAAATGGGATTTCTTCTGGGCTTTTCTTGCTTATATTCAGGCTCATCTGGTGTCAAGCCTTGTTACTTTTGTTTCCTTGTTCCTTTATTTTTATTTTTTTTCCTTTTGAGACAGAGTTTCACTCTTGTTGCCCAGGCTAGAGCGCAGTGGTGTGATCTCAGCTCACTGCAGCCTCCACCTCCTGGGTTCAAGCAATTCTCCTGCCTCAGCTCCTGAGTAGCTGGTATTACAGGCATGTGCCACCATGCCCGGCTAATTTTGTATTTTTAGTAGAGATGGGGTTTCTCTGTTTTGATCAGGGTGGTCTCAAACTCCCGACCTCAGGTGATCCACCCGCCTCGGCCTCCCAAAGTGCTGGGATTACAGGTGTGAGCCACCGTGCCTGGCCTGCTTGTTGTTTTCATCTCATCCTGATTTCCGAATACAGGAGAGAAGCTGAGTTCGTGTTCACTAACAAGCACAGAAGCTTTGTTATATTTACAGTGTCATTCTTGGCAAAACCTGAAGTGTGTGTTTGTGGGATTATGAGGTTCAGTCACCTGTGACCTGTGCATCTGGCCAGCACTGTGGTGACATCCTTAGGAATCCAAGGGGAGAGAGAAAGCATTCAGGAGTTAGTGGATCACGTTTGACAAGGGCCAATAAAGAAATATGCAAAGACAAAAAAACAAGAAGAACATTGTCATATTTTCTACCTTTTTTGTATATAAATTTATGTCAATGATTTTAGCTTATGTTAATATGCAATGTATATAATATGCTAACATTTACAATATATGTTTATAGTTTAAACATTTCTGTCATGTTTTCAGATTCTTTAAAGATTATATTACCCTTCCTATTTCAGATAGCTGCTTAAAATTAGTAAGGAAAAACGGATGTGTGCATCAGTTCCAACTGTTTATGTACTAAAACTAGTTGATTTCTTGGTTAAGAACAAAAAGTGAAAACCTAATTAACTGAAAAATTTTAAGTGGGCAATTATAGTTTTAGCTTTAACGTAAAATATTAACTATGCTCCATTCTTGTATTTTTAACCTAATACTCAATATAAATCGCCACATGCCATGTTTCAGATCAAGGTTTTACTTGGGATCTCTCATGAGTTTTTCAGGGTTTTAATTATCTGAGATGTAACAATGTACCAGTAACCTTACTGGCTTAAACCAGGAATTTATTCTTTTTACATGTCACAATTTTCTGGGTCAAGACACTGGACAGGGCAGTGTGGGTTAGCTGCTTCATGATGTCCCTGGTCTCATCTGGAAGGACTCTAATGGTGGGGGACTTGAAGCAGGCACCCAGAAGGACTCTAGTGGCTGGGGACATGGAGCAGGCACCGAGCCCTCTCTTTGTGGCCAGCACGGACTTCCTCCCAGTCTGGCAGTGTCAGGTAGTCAGGTTTGTCTGACTTCTCCCAGGGTGTGTGTCCACGAGGCCCAGGCAGAAGCTGTAAGGTCTCTCATGATCATCCCTCAGAAGTCCCAGAGCATCTCTGCTGCCACACTGTCCAGTCGTACTCATCACTGAGACCAGCCATGATTCAAGGGGGAAAGGTGATTAGATTCCACCTCTTGATGAGAAGCATAGTAGGAACCTGCAGCAGTCTTTAATAAGCCACAGCTTGTCCTCTGGCCACAAACTATTAACGCTTCTCCCACATGCAAATTATTCTTTGCCCCTCTCAAGAGTCCCAGAATGGTTTTCCTTATGGCACTGGCTGGTAGCCCAACTGAATCCTGAATCAGGTTGTGGTGGCCTGTCACCTGCACCCACACACACTCAGCCGCAGTGAGGACTGAATCAAGTTGTGGTGGCCTGTCATCTGCCCCCACACACACAGCCACAGTGAGGACTGAATCAGGTTGTGGTGGCCTGTCGTCTGCCCCTGACACATTCAGCCACAGTGAGGACTGAATCAGGTTTTTGTGACCTATCATCTGTGCCCACACACTCAGCCACAGTGAGGGGACTGGTGTGAAAACAGTCAGCATTTCCGTTTAGAAGCTGTTGGTGGGAGGCAGGAGGGAGGTGCTGCCCTGCAGGCCCCATCTAACAGTTGGTCATTCCCATGGGGCGCCTGTTACAGTTCTGTGATTAGTGCCCAGTCCAGGTCCCTGAGAACGGCGCCTAGTCCTTGTCCCTGAGAACGGCGTTTGTGTCCTTTTACTCCTCCCTCTCGGCTTTTGTCATTCTCCATGTTCTTTTTCCTTCAGTGCCTGGGTTGCCGTTGACCAACTTTCTCTGCCTTTTTCTTATGGTCAATAGGGTATTCAATGGCTTCTTTTTAGTTTTTTTTCCTTTTCTTTTTTTTTTTCCTTTGGCCTTTTGAGACAAGAAATTATTTCTTTTTATTTTCTCTAAATTTTGTTTGAAAACTGAACTTCCTTCTTTAGATCATGTCCCTCTCCTGTCATATTTATTCAGTGACAGTTAGGGGAGGCTGGTAGCACTTTCCATGTTCTTCCCAGATGTCTCCTTAGGCAGACCCCTGAGATGGTGCAGTGCCCTTTCAGTTTCCATGTTGTGGCCATAGTTTTCTCACAGTCCCTCAGCACATAACTCTCAGGCCTTTTCCCCAGTTTCCAATGACATTTTCTCACCGTCCTTCAGGCCCTGACCAAGAGTCTTGATGCCCTTCCAGGTTGCATGAATGGTCTCCTTGAGGCCCAGTTACAGGTCAGCCTCACAGTCGTGGCACATATTGTAACTTCTGATTACCACAGCGGCTCATTTCCAGCTACCATATTCTGTTCCAGTTATCTATTCTGAAGAAACCATCCCCAAAACTTGGCAGCTTAAAACAACTCACTATTACTTGTTTTTTGGCTTAGAGAGTCTTGGTGGCCAGCTCATCTCACACACAGTTGCAGCCAAGCTGGATTGTGTGAAAGCACAGTGGGGTGGTGTGCAGGGTGGCTCACTAGTGGTAGGGAGTGGATGTTGCTGAAGGCTCACTAGTGGTTGGGAGTCGGTGTTGCTGGAGGGTCAGTGGGGGATGTCAATGCGTGTAGCTAGTCATGGACTGCCCGTGTGGTTTCCATCATGGGGTCTCAGGGGAGTGGGATTTCCTGCTTGGTGACTGGCTTTCTCCTGGATAAGTGTTCTGTTTTCTCAGCCTGGCTTCTGAAGTCCCCAAATACCACCTTTGTCACCTTTTGTTGGCCAAGCAAGTCAGTAGTCTGGACAAGGTTTAAGGGGAATTGGTTCTCACAGAGAGAGGAGCAGGAAAGAAGTTGTCACCTTTAGTCTACCAGAAATATGATTTTTATAACAAGTTTGTTCCAAATACATTCCAGTTCCCCTTGTGAATACTTTTTTGACTCACAGGGTATTTCAAAGTTTATTACTTGGTTTTCAGACATTTGAGGCTTTTCTGGATATCAATTTGTTGTTGGTTTCTAATTTAATTTCAGGTGTTCAGGCAACATACTTTGTATACTATTTCATGCTTGAACATTTTCTCAATTGATCGACATACAGTCTATCTTGGTACTGCCAAGTACCCTTTGGGTCCGGATTGTGTCATTTAGATCCGTATTTTTCCTATATCTTTAACTGGTTGTTCCATCAGTTACTGAGAGAGCAGTATAAATTCACCAGCTATAATTTTGGATTGTCAATTTCCTGCTTTTGTTCTGTGTTTTTGATTCACATAATTTGAGACTCTGTGTGTGTGTGTACTTTGTGTGCACTTTGAGGCACAATTTATAATTGTAACATCATCCTCTCTGATTCTTTTATTTTTATGAAATTACTTTGTTTATTTCTGGTGATATATTTTGTTCTGGAGCCTCTTTCATCTAGTGTTAACGTCTCCTTTGAAGCTTTTTATGATTAGTGTCTGGATAGCATATTTTTATTATTAGTGTCTGCATAGCATATTTTTTCTCATACTTTGTGTCTTTGTATTTAAATTGTGTCTCTGTGGAAGCCATATTGTTGGGTCTTGCTTTCCTCTCAGGTCTGGCAGTCTCTTTCTTAAGTAGAGTATTTGTCAAGTTACATTGTAACTAATCATTGCTAAGGTTGGATTTAGGTCTGCCATTTTTCTACTTATTTTCTATTTGTTTGTTTTTTTTTTTTTTAAGACAGGGTCTTGCTCTGTCACCGAGACTGTAGTGCAATGGTGCAATGTTGGCTCACTGCAACCTCTGCCTCCCAGGCCCAACCAATCCTCACTTGAGCCCACTGAGTAGCTGGGACTACAGGCGCATAGAAACACACCTGACTAATTTTTATATTTTTTGTAGAGATAGGGTTTTGCCATGTTGCACAGGCTGGTCTTGAACTCCTGAGCTCAAGCAATCTACCCACCTTGGCCTCCCAAAGTGTTCGGATTACAGGCATGAGCCACCATGTCTGGCCTTCGTCTGTGTTTTGATCTTCTATATATTTTTTCCTAACTTCTTTTGGGTTAAATATTTCTAAATATTCCAGTTTGATTAATATTTTGGCTTTTTGAAATAATTTTTTATAGGCTGGGCATGGTGGCTTATGCTCATAATCTCAGCTCTGTGGGAGGCCAAGGGAGGTGGACTGCTTGAGCCCAGGAGTTTGAGACCAGTCTGGGCATCATGGCAAAACCCTCTCTACAAAAAAACCAAATCAAAATTTAGCCTGACATCTTGGTGTGCCCCTGTAGTCCCAACTATTCGGGAGGCTGAGGTGGGAGGGTTGCTTGAGCCTGGGAGGTTGAGGCTGCAATGAGCTGTGATCATGCCATTGCACTCCTGCCAGGGCAACAGAGTAAGACCCTGTGTCAAAAAAGATCATTTTTTAGAAATAATTTATTATTTAGGATTTTGGTAACAAACACATACCTTAAAATTTACCGTCATAACCAGTTGTAAGTATACAGTTTTGTAGAGTTAAGAATATTTACGGTGTTGTGTAGCAGATTTCTAGATTTTTTTTTATCTTGGAAAACTCTATACCCATTCAACAACTATTAATTTCCCCCTCCTTCCACCTCCTGGCAAGTACTATTCTACTTTGTGTTTCTAAAAATTTGGCTTATATACCTAGGGTTATATAATATTTGTTGTTTTGTAAGTAGGTTCCATGTTATGTGTCAGATGTGTCACGATTTTCTTCCTTTCTATGGCTGAATAATATTTCTTCATATATATATTATATATATATTACATATATATTATATACATACATTATATATATTATATATATATAATATATATCATATATATATATGCTTTTGTTTATCCACCTATTCCTGGATGGACGTTTTGGTTTTTTCCACCTTGTGGCTGTGTAATGCTGCTGTGAACTTAGGTGTGCACATATCTGTTTGAGGTCCTGCTACTAGTTATTCTGTCTCTGTAGTAGTTGGATGGCTGGATCATATGGTCATTTTATTTTATTTTTTTTGAGGAGCCAGTTCATATTTCCACCAACAGTATTCAAGGGTTTCAGTTTCACCTGCGCTTGTTACTTTCTGTTGGGTTTGAAGTGATGTCCCATTGTGGTTTCTTTTTGCATTTCTCTAATGACTAGTGATGTTACACATCTTCTCATATATCTCATGTATCTTTTGGCTATTGTATATCATCTTTGCATCTTTGGATAAATGTTGTTTGTCCATTTTTTAATCACTTTATTTTGTTGTTGGGTTGTAGCGGGGTTTTTTGTCATGATCATTCATTTATCTCACAGTTCATTCTCATTACTTGGGCCAGGGTCATGATGATTCATTATCTCTCAGTTCATCCTCATTACGTTGGGCAAACAGTCATGCTGCAGGGTATAGATTATGTTATTCTGTTACTTTCAGGTAGAATTGGGGTCTAGGTTATAATTGTTTCTAAGTTTAGATTCTGACTGAGAATCAGCAGAGGTAGACCACCGCTGCTGGTGCCTGGGGATTGCTGGGAAAAAGGCAGGAAACAAATACAGACCTGACCATGGAGGGTTTGTGTTTCATGGCTCCCATCTGGGTACCCAAGGAACCTACATGTAGCTCGTGTGTGGAGAGCCTATATTGCCCACTCAAAGCAATTGAGGATGGAACAGTCTTGGGGCTGGAGCTCATTATTTGGAATGATAACCACATCTGCACAGAGAGGACCTGATAAGATGTTGTCCTTCCATGTATATCTGGGAATCCTGTGTAGGGTCTCTCTGTAAGGACAGGGGCAGTGTTGGCTCCTTGGCCTCTAGTTAGCCTCACGAGTAGTCTAGTAAAGGCTTTGCCAACTTATCACCATCTGTGGATATTCTGGCCAGCTCTTGTTTTCACCCTATTGACTTCTTCAGACACTAGGCTTTTGCTTTAGACCATTCATGGTTTTTCTTCCTCTTCATATCAGTAATCAATAAATCCTCTTCAAATCAATAAATTTCCACTCCTTTAGGAAACTCTGATCTTCTGGTCATGCCAAGGTTTAATTAACTGGTTTAATTGTTTTTCTGTTTTCTTGGTTTCTTTTTCCTTCTTCCTGAGGGTTTCTAGTAATTTTAGTTTGATGTCTCACTTTCTCCATTTTTTATTTCTTAGTTTTCGTCTGTGATTATTTTCACTGCAGCTCCAGGGCCTAATCCTGGGTTGGCAGAGAACTAGCACTTACTCTGCCCTAATTGGAATCCAGGAGAGATAGGAGGTGCCCTAGTGTGAAAATGTGTTTGCTCCTCTCTGCTTCTGGTAGTCTCTCTGTAGGAGTACTTTACGTATTCTGAATGTTCACTTATGAGATACATGATGTGCAACTATAGGTTGAATGTCTCTGATCCAAAAATCTGAAATCCGAAATGCTCCAAAGTCTGAAACTTTTTGAGTGCCAACATGACACTCAAAGGAAATGCTTATTGGAGCATCGCAGACTCAGGTGTTTGAATTCGAGATGCTCAACCAGTAAGAATAATGCAAATATTACAAAATCTGAAATACATCCCAAGCATTTCAAATAAGGGACACTCAACTGGTATTTTCTTTTATTCTACAGTTTGCCTTTTACCCTGTTGGTTGTGACCTTTGTGGTACAGAAGTTTTTAGGTTTGATATATTTTTGCTTTTACTGCCTGAGCTTTTAATGTCATATCCTAAAAATTATTGACAAATTCATCGTCATAAAGCATTTTCCAAATTTGTTTTCCCTAGGAGTTTGATAGTTCTAGTTTTACATTTAGGTTTATAATTCACTTTGAATTAATTTTAACGTGGTGTAAGGTAAGAGTCCAACTTCATTGTTTTGCATGTAGATATACAATTTTCCCAACACCATTTGTTGAAGAAACTGTCCTTCGCCATTAAGTGGTCTTGGCATCCTTGTGGAAGATCATCAGACCATATATGCCAGGGTTGGTTTCTGAGGTCTCTGTTGTGTTGGTCCATAAGTGTGTCAAGTATGTCTTATGCCATGACCACATTTTTTTTGGCTTATTGCAGTTATGTAATTGTTTTGAGACCTTTAATTTTGTTCTGCTTCAAGATTGATTTGCCTATTCATGGGCCCTGGCGATTCCATATGAATTTTAGGATAGGTTTTTCTGTTTATCAAAAATGTCATTGGAATCTTTATAAGGATTGTATTGAATCTAGGTCACTTCGAGTAGTGTTGACATCATTCCAAGATGAAATCATCTAATCTGCAAACCCAGCTTTTCTTTTCATTTATTTGTGTTTAATTTCTTTCAACAGTGTTTTGTAGTTTTCTGTGTTCAAATCTTTTGCCCTTTTGGTTAAGCTTATTTTTAATTTTTATAATGCTGTTGTAAATGTAATACTTTTTTTTTTTTTTTTTTTTGAGATGGAGTCTTGCTCTGTCTCCCAGGCTGGAGTGCAGTGGCACTATCTCAGCTCACTGCAACCTGCGCCATCTTTATTCAAGCGATTCTCCAACCTCAGCCTCTCAAGTACCTGGGATCACAGGTGCGCACCAGCAAGCCCAGCTAATTTTTTGGTATTTTTAGTAGAGACAGGGTTTCTCCATGTTGACCAGGCAAGTCTTGAACTTGTGACCTCAGGTGATCTGCCCGCCTCGGCCTCCCAAACTGCTGGGATTGAAGGCGTGAACCACTGCACCTGGCCAAATGTCATTCTTTTTAAAAATTTCTTTTCTTTTGTTTTATCTTTCTTTTCTTTTCTTTCTCTCTCTCTCTTTCCTTTCTTTCTTTTCTTTGAGATGGCGTCTCACTCAGTTTCCTAAGCTGGAGCGCAGTGGCACAATCTCAGCTGACTGCAACCTCCACCTTCCAAGTTCAAGCAATTCTCCTGCCTCAGCCTCCCAAGTAGCTGGGACTACAGGTGTCTGCCGCTACGCCCAGCTAATTTTTGTATTTTTAATAGAGACAGAGTTTTACTATTTATTTTAGAGATGGGTTTGGCCCAGCTGGTCACGAACTCCTGACCTCAGGTGGTCTACCCGCCTTGGCCTCCCAAAGTGCTGGGATTATAAGTGTGAGCCACTGCACCTGGCCTCTCTTTTTAAAATTTTATTTGCAGATTGTTCATTGTTAGTTTATGGAAATGCAACTGACTTGTGTGTGTTACTGTATCCTGAAATTTTGTTGAATTTCATTATTTTACCAGTATTTTGGGAATTTCAGGATTTTTACCCATTACATCCTGTTGTCTGTGAACAAAATTTTGTACTTTTTCCTTCCCAATTTGCATCCTTTTTATTACTTTCTTTTGACTAACTATTCTGAGTAGAAATTCCAGTACTGTGATGAATAGAAGTGGCAGGAAGAGATGTTGCTATCTTATTCCTGATCCTAGAGGAAAAGATTTTAGTCTTTCACCATTGAGTATGATGTTAGCTGTGAGCTTTTCACGTATAATCTTTATTTACTGAGGAGTTTCCATATATTACTAATTCTTTGAGTGTTTTTATTACAAAAGGTGTTCATCTGGCTCTGGAACCAGATAAATGTTGACCTGATAGAATGGATTGGAATGTCCCCTTCTGGTTTTTGAACATTTTTGGAATATTTTGCAGAGGACTGGCATTAATTCTTCTTGAAATGTTTGGTAAAATTTTCCAGTGAAGTTATCCGGACCTGGAATTTTCTTTTTGGTGGTGTTTTTGATTACTGGTTGAATCTTCTTACTAGTTACAGGTCTCTTTGGATTTTTTATTTCTCCGTGATGCAGTATGGTGGTTTGTGTTTCTAGGAATTTATAAGTTTATTCTAGGTTGTCCAGTTTTGTGGCATATGGCTGCTCACATTAGTCTCTTGTAATATTTTTCATTTCTGTGGCATCTGTTGTACTGTCACCTCTTTTATTTATGATTTTAGTATTTGAGATTTCTCTTTTTTTCTTAATATAGCTGTGAGTTTTAAAACTTTTATTGATCTTTAAAAAAACAAACTCAGTGGGTTTTTTTTCCTTTTTTTTTCTGACCTTATTCTGCTTATCTCTGCTCTAATCTGTTATTTTCTTCCTTTTGCTTGGTTTGTCATTAGTTTTTTTCTCCCCCCTTCAGGTGTAATGTTAGGTTATTGATTTGAGATCTTTCTTCTTTTTAATTTAAGCACCTGCAGCTATAAGCTTCCCTTTAGCAAGGGTTTGAGATCTTTCTTCTTTTTAATTTAAGCATCTACAGCTGTAAGCTTCCCTTTAGCATGGGTTTGAGATCTTTCTTCTTTTTAATTTAAGCATCTGCAGCTGTAAGCTTCCCTTTAGCACTGTCTTTGTTGCCTCCTCCTGAGTTTGGGTGTGTCATGGTTTCGTTTTCATTTGTTTAAACATTTTTTGTCCTATTGTAATATAATTGTGTTGTTTTTAATAAAGGTAATTAATGAAACACATAATGAATTGTGCTTCTGTTTTTATAATATTTTAAGCATTCTTAACTCAGAAATGTAAATTTTAGAAAAAAATTCCAGGCCAGACACAGTGGCTCACATCTGTAATCCCAGCACTTGAGGAGGCCGAGGCGGGAGGATCATCTGAGGTCAGGAGTTGGAGACTACCCTGGCCAACATGGTGAAACCCTGTCTTTACTAAAAATAGAAAAAAAATATATATAAAAGTTAGCTGGGTGTCATGGCGGGTGCCTGTAATCCCAGCTACTCTGGAGGCTGGGGCAGGAGAATCACTTGAATCTGGGAGGCGGAGGTTGCAGTGAGCTGAGATTGCACCACTGCACTCCAGCCTGGGTGACAGAATGAGAGTCCGTCTCAAAAAAAAAGAAAAAAGAAAAAATTTCAGACATATTTATTTGTATTTCAATTTAGAAACTATGATCTCCTAAGTGTATTGACACAGCTACCTGACATAAAGATAAAGAATAATAAGCATATAACAAAACGGAAACTTGCAAATACCTGTTTTTTATTAATTTTTAATTATATATATTTAAAAATTGCCGGGTGCAGTGGCTTACACCTGTAATCCCAGCACTTTGGGGGGCTGAGGTGGGCAGATCACATGAGGTCAGGAATTTGAGACCAGCCTGGCCAACATGGTGAAACCTTATCTCTATTAAAAATCAAAAAATTAGCCAGGCGTGATAGCATGCATCTGTAGTCCCTGCTACTCGGGAGACTGACGCAGGAGAATTGCTTGAACATGGGAGGCAGAGGTTGCAGTGAGCCAAGATAGTGCCACTGCACTCCAGCCTGGGTGTCAGAGTGAGGCTCTGTCTCAAAAAAATAAAAATTGTCTGGGCACGGTGGCTCACACCTGTAATCGCAGCACTTTGGGAAGCTGAGGCAGGCAGATCACGTCAGGAGATCGAGACCATCCGGGCTAACACTGTGAAACGCCATCTCTACTAAAAATACAAAAAATTAGCCGGGCATGGTGGCGGGTGCCTGTAGTTCCAGCTACTCCACAGGTTGAGGCAGGAGAATGGTTTGAACCTGGGAGGTGGAGCTTGCAGTGAGCCAAGATTGCACCACTGGACTCCAGTCTGGGTGACAGAGTGAGACTCTGTCTCAAAAAAATAAAATAAAATAAAACTAAGGTGTGGTTGACATACAAAAATTACACATATTTAATATATACCTTGTGTGTGTGTGTGTGTGTGTGTGTGTGTGTGTGTGTGTGTGTATGTGTTATGGAGGTTTTACTCTTGTTGCCCAGGCTGGAGTGCAGCGACACGATCTCAGCTAACTGCAACCTCCGCCTCCCAGGTTCAAGCAATTCTCCTGCCTCAGCCTCCTGAGTAGCTGGGATCACAGGTGTGCGCCCCCACGCCCGGCTAATTTTTGTATTTTTTTAGTAGAGACAGGTTTTCACCATGTTGGCCAGGCTGGTCTCGAACGCCTGACCTCAGATGATCCACCTGCCTCGGCCTCCCAAAGTGCTGGGATTACAGGCGTGTGACACCGAATATATACATCTTAATGAGTATAGAGATAAATATTCGCCCCAGGACTCATCACAACAAATAATACCGTAAACTTGACCATCACCCCCCATATATTTCTCATTCTCACCCTTTTTAAAAAATGAGACCGGGAGTGGTGGCTCACGCCTGTAATCCCAGCACTTTGGGAGGCCAAGGCAGGTGGATCATGAGGTCAGGAGATCAAGACCATCCTGGCTAACACAGTGAAACCCCGTTTCTACTAAAAATACAGAAAATTAGCTGGGCGTGATGGTGGGCACGCCATCCCGAGTAGCTGTAGTCCCAGCTACTCGGGAGACTGAGGCAGGATAATGGTGTGAACTCGGGAGGCAGAGCTTGCAGTGAGCCGAGATCGTGCCACTGCACTCCAGCCTGGGCAACAGACTGTGACTCCATCTCAAAAAAAAAAAAATGAGATGACCATTTCACCTAAAATATACCCTCTTAAGTATTTTTGTAAGTGTACAATACAGGACGGCCATGCATCAGAGATATATGTGGGTTTGGTTCCAGACCACTGCAATAAAGTGTTATACAATTTCTTGTGGTTTCCCAGTGCATGTAAAAGTATGTTTATACTGTGCTGTATAAAGTGTGCAATAGCATATGTCTACAAAGTATGCACACTTTAATTTACAAATACTTTATTTTTAACAAGTGCTAACAGTCATCTGAGCCTTCAGAAAGCTGCAATCTTTTTGTGTGTGTGTGACAGGGTTTTACTCTGTGGCTCAGGCTGGAGTAATTGCAGCCTCAACCTCATGCTCAATCAAACCCCCACCTCAGACTCCTGACTAGCTGGGACTACAGGTGCATGCCACCGTGTCCAGCTAATTTTTGTATTTTTTTTTTTTTGTAGATATGGGGTTTTGCCATGTTGCCTTGACGTCCTGGGCTCAAGCAATCCACCCACCTTGGCCTCCCAAGGTGTTGGGATGACAGGTGTGAGCCACTGCACCTGGCCAAGTTTCAGTCTTCTTGCTGATGGAGGGTCTTATGTTAATGTAAGGTGGTGGTTGCTGAGCGTTGGGGTGGCTGTGGCAATTTCTTAAAATAAGACAACGTTGAAGGTTGCTGTGTCAATTGACTCTCCCTTTCACAAAAGAATTAACTGTAGCATACGATGATAGCTTTTTACCCACAGTAGAACTTTCAAAATTGGATTCAATGCTGTCAAACCTTCGTACTGCTGTACCAACTAAGTTTATGTATTATTGTAAATCACTGGGTTCAATCTTGTCAAGCCTTCCTTCTGCTGTACCAAGTTTATTCTAAATCTGTTGTCATCTCAATATTGTTTACACTGTCTTCACCACGAGTAGATTTCATCTCAAGAAACCACTTTCTTTGCTCATCCGTGGGAGCAACTCATCCTCTCACGTTTTCTCCAGAGGCTGCTGCAGTCTCACCAGATCTTCAGGCTCTTTCTAGTGCTCTTGTTACTTCCACCATATCTGCAGTTACTTCCTCCACAGAAGTCGTGAACCCCTGTGTCATTTGTGAGGGTTGGAATAATCTTCCCAACTTCTCTCTCTCTCTCTCTTTTTTTTTTTTTTTTTTGAGATGAAGTCTTGCCTGGGCTGGAGTGCAGTGATGCGATCTCAGCTCACTGCAACCTCCACCTCCCGTGTTCAAGCAATTTTCCTGCCTCAGCCTCCCAAGTGTTTGGGATTACAGTCACCCCCGACCAGGCCCAGCTAATTTTTTTTGTGTTTTTAGTACAGACAGGATTTCACTATGTTGGCCAGGCTGGTCTCAAATTCCTGACCTCATGATCCACATGCCTTGGCCTCCCAAAGTGCTGGGATTACGGGCGTGAGCCACCAAGCCTGGCCCCAACTTCTCCTAATGTTGTTATTTTGATCTTCTTTTTTAAATCATGAATGTTCTCAATGGCATCTAGAATGGTGAATCCTTTCCAGTAGGTTTTCAATCATTTTGCCCAGATCCATCAAAGGAATCACTTTCTAGAGAAGCTATAGCTTTATGAAATATATTTTTTAAGTGATAAGACTTGAAAGTTGAAATTATTCTTTGATCCAAGAGCACCAGAATGAATGTTAGCTTAGTAGGCATGAAAACAATATTCAGCTCTTTATACATCTCTGTAAAAACCCTTGAATACCAGCGGCATTGTCAGTGAGTGGTAATACTTTGAAAGGAATCTTATTTCTTGAGCAGTAGTTGTCGACAGTGGGCTTAAGATATTCAGTAAACCATATTTGTAAACCGATAGTCTGACATCCAGGCTTTGTTCCCATTTGTAGAGTACAGGCAGAGCTGTGTTTTATCATAATTCTTCAGGGCCCTTGGATTTTCAGAATAGTAAATCATCATTGGTTTCAAGTTAACATCACCAATTGCATTAGGCCTTAACAAAAGAGTCAGCATGTCCTTTGAAGCCTTAAAGCCAGGCATCAACTCCTCTCTAGCTGGGAACATCCTGGATGGCATCTCCTTCTAGTAGAAGGCAGTTTTGTCTCCATTGCAAATCTGTTTAGTGTAGCCATCTTAATCAATTATCTTCTAGATAGCTTTCTGCAGCTTTTCCATCAGTACTTGCTGCTTTATCTTGCGCTTTTATGTTATGGAGATGACTTTTTTCCTTAAACCTCAAGAAACAAGCTCTTCTAGCTTCAGACTTTTCTTCTGCAGCTGCCTCACCTCTCTAAGTCTTCATAGAATTGAAGGGAGGCCGGGTGCGGTGGCTGTCACACCTGTAATCCTAGCACTTTGGGAGGCCGAGGCGGGCAGATCACCTGAGGTAGGGAGTTTGACACCAGTCTGACCAACGTGGAGAAACCCCGTCTCTACTAAAAATACAAAAAAATAGCCAGGCGTGGTGGCGCATGCCTGTAATCCCAGCTACTCGGGATGCTGAGGCAGGAGAATGGCTTGAACTTGGGAGGCAGAGGTTGTGATGAGCCAAGTTCACGCCATTGTACTCCAGCTTGGGCAAGAAGAATGAAACTCTGTCTCAAAAACAAAGAAAAAAAGTAAAAAGAGAGTTAGGCTTAGGCTTAATGGAATTTTTTTGTTTTTTTTTAATCTTCTATCTAGACCAATTAAACTTCCATCATAACAGCAGCAAGATTGTTTAGCTTTTTATCATTCATGTATTCACTGGAGTAGTACTTTAAATTTCTTTCCAGAACACTTCCTTTGCATTCACAACTTGGCTAAGTGTTGCATGAGGTCTAGCTACTGGCCTGTCTTGCTTACAGCATGCCTTCATCACTAAGCTTAATTTTTTCTTCCTTTTGGTTTAAAGTGACAGACATGCAACTCTTCTTTCACTTGAACATATAGAGGCTATTGTAGGGTTATTAATTGGCCACATTTTAATATTAATAAAAAGAAGCCTGAGAGAAAGAGAGAGAAAGAGAAATGGCCCATTGGTGGGGCAGTCAGAACAAACACATTTGTCAATTGTTTGCTGTCTTATCCTGGTGTGATTTGTGGTTCCCAAAACAATGACAACAGTAGCATTAAAGATCACTGATTACAGATCACTATAACAGATTCAATAATAAAAAGCTTAATATACTGTAAGAATGACCGAAATGTGACACAGAGACATGAAGTGAGCACGTGCTGTAGGAACAATGGTGCCAGTGAGACCTGCTTATTGCAGGGTGGCCACAAACCTTCAATATGTAAAATGCATGGTCACAAAACACAATAAAGCAAAGCGCAGTGAAACAAGATGTGTCTGTCTTTTGATAGACTCTGACAATCTCTATCTTTGAATTGGTACATTCATACCATTAGCATTCAAAGTGATTATTGATATCATTGGATTAATATCTACTATATTTGTCACTGTTTTCTATTCATTCTCCTCAGTCTCCATTCTTTTGTCTACCACTCTTTTTCTGCCTTTTGCAGTTTTCATTGATGATTTTAGATGACTACATTTTCCCTGTCTTTCTTAGCATGTACTTCTCTTTTTAAAACTTTTTTTAACTAGTTGCCACAGAATTTGCAATATACATTTACAACCAATTCAAGTCCACTTTCAAATAACACTATCCCACTATCCCACAAATAAGACTACCTGCTTAACAAACAAAACACCTAATTCCTCAGTAACATTTACAACAAATTCAAGTCCATTTTCAAATAAAACTACCCCACTATCCAACAAATAAGACTACCTGCTTAACAAAGAACACACCTAATTCCTCAATATACATTTACAACCAATTCAAGTCCACTTTCAGATAACACTATCCCACTTCACGGGTGACTACCTGCTTAACAAAGAAAACACCTGATTCCTCCCTCCCATCCTTCCATTCCATTCCTTGTATTATTGTTCCTTATTGCACTTGTGTATAAGCATACATAATCTATCTGTGTGTATTTATTATTATCTACAAACTTATTGGTCAGATCAATTATGAATAAATACATGTTTTTATTGTACCACAATTCCTCCCTCCCATCCTTCCATTCCATTCCTTGTATTAGTGTTACTCATTTAACTTGTGTATAAGCATACATAATCTATCTGTGTGTATTTGTTATTGTCTATGAACTTCTTGGTCAGATCAATTAAGAATAAATACATAGGTTTTTATTGTACCACAATTCTTTAATGGTCTTTTTTAAAAAATGTTGATCCAGGTTTCAGTTATATATCTTTTGTTTCCCTCTAAAGAATTTCATTTAACATTTCTTGCAAGACAGGTCTCCTGGCAACAAGTTTCTTGAATTTTTATTTTTCTGAGGAAGGCCTTAATTCTCCTTCACTTTTGAAGGTGGTTTCAGTGGGTACAGAAACTTAGGTTGGTGGGTTTTTTCTGTCAACATTTTGAATTTTTCATTTAATTGTCTTCTTGCTTTCACAGTTTCTGCAATGTTGAATGCAGTTCTTATCTTTGTGTCTCTGTAGGTAAGGTGTTTTCTGCCCCACCTCTGGTTTCTTTCAGAGTTTTCCTTTATCTTTTATTTCATATAGTTTGAAAATTATATGTCCAAGTGTAGGTTGCTGGCATTTATACTGCCTGGTGTTCTCTGAGCTTCCTGGATCTTTGGTTTGGTGTCTGACATTAATACTGGAAGTTCTCAGACATGGTTGTTGCAGAACTTTCTTCTATTTCTTCTCCTCCTGGTATTCTCATTACTCTGTTTCACCTTTTATAGTTGTCCCACAGTCTTGGATATCATCTTCTGTTATTTTCAGTGTTTCTTTTCTTTAGTTTTCGAAGTTTCTGATGATAAATCCTCAAGCTCAGAGATTCTTTACTCAGCTGAGTCCAGTCTACTAATAAGCCATCAGAGGTATTCTTCAGTTATTTACCACATTTTTTACCACTACATTATGTTGAAGTTTCTTACGATGTCTGTCTTTCTGATTACATTACCCATCTACACTTGAATGCTGTCTACTTCATTCATTAGACCCTTAGCATATTCTCCAGAGGTTTAAAAAAAATTCCAAAATCTTATCTTTGTCTGCTTCTGAAGCTTGCTCTGTTGACACAAATTGTATTTTTTTCTTTTTTTGGATTTTAGTATGCCTTGCAATTTTTTCCCTTTATTCTCATGCATGAAGCACCCACTAAAGGTGACTGCTGTTAGTATAGCTTTAGTAATGCTGTGATGAGGTGACAGGGCAGGTGATGCTCTCTTAGTCTCTTTACACTACTATAACAAAATACTTTAGACTGAGTAATTCATAAACAACAGAGATTATTGCTCACAGATCTGGAGGCTGGAAAGTCCAAGACTGAAGGGGCAGGATATTTAGTGTTTGGTGAAGGTCAAACATTCAGACACTCCCAACGACTATAGTGACAGCAGCAGTCTTCAGGAATCCTATGTGAGGGAAAAACATTCAGACCACAGCAGGAGTGCTCAGGAATCCTATGTGAGGGGACAAACATTCAGACCCCAGCAGTAGTGTTGTGGAATCCTATGTGAGGGGAAAACTTTCAAACCCTTGTAGCAGTGTTCTGCAATCCTATGTGAGGGGCAAAAATTCAGAACCTCGTAGCAGTGTTCTGGAATCCTATGTGAGGAACAATCAGACCACAGCAGGAATGTTCTGGAATCCTATGTGAGGGGCAAACATTCAGACCACAGCAGGAGTGTTCTGGAATCCTATGTGAGGGACAAACATTCAGACCACAGCAGGAGTGCTCTGTAATCCTATGTGAGGGACAAACATTTCAAAACCTTGTAGCAGTGTGCTGGAATGTTATGTCAGAGACAGACATTTAGACCCTCGCAGCAGTGTTCTAGAATCCCATCTGCGAGACAAACATTCAGACACTCGCAGCAGTGTTCTAGAATCCTATGTGAGGGACAGACGTTCAGACCCTAACAGCAGTGTTCTCGAGTCCTATGTGAGGTATAAACATTCAGACACCAGCAGAAGTGTTCTGGAATCCTATGTGAGGGACAAACATTCAGACCCTCGTAGCACTGTTCTGGAATCCTATGTTAGTGACAAACATTCAGACCACAGCAACAATGCTCAGGAATCCTATGTGAAGGACAAACATTCAGACCCTCGTAGCAGTGTTCTGGAATCTTATGTGAGGGACAAACATTCAAACCACAACAGCAGTGTTCTGGAATCCCACGTGAAGGACAAACTTTCAGACCACAGCAGTAGAGTTCTGGAATCCTATGTGAGGGACAAACTTTCAGACCAAAGCAGGAGTGTTCTTAAATCCTATATGAAGGACAAACATTCAGACCCCAGGAGCACTGTTCTGAAATCCTATGATAAGGGCAAACATTCAGACCCCAACATGAATGTTCTGGAATCCTATGTGAGGGACAAGCATTAAGACCATAGCAGGAGTATTCTGGAATCCTATGTGAGGGACAAACATTCAGACCCTTGTAGAAGTGTTCTGGAATCCTATGTGATTAAAAAACATTCAGACCCTCGTAGCAGTGTTCTGGAATCCTATGTGAGGGACAAACATTCAGACCCCAGAAGGAGTGTTCTGGAATCCTATGTAAAGGACAAACATTCAGACCCTCGTAGCAGTGTTCTGGAATCCTATGTGAGGGACAAACATTCAGACCCTCCCAGCAGTCTTCTGGAATTCTATGTGAGGGACAGACATTCAAACCCCAGCAGCAGTGTTCTGGAATCTGATGTGAAGGACAGACATTCAGACCCCAGCAGCAGTCTTCTGGAATCCTATGTGAGGGACAAACTTTCAGACACTCATAGCAGTGTTCTGGAATCTTATGTGAGGTACAAACATTCAGACCCTCATAGCAGTGTTCTGGAATACTATGTGAGGGACAACCATTCAGACCATGGCAGTTCTGAAATGCTATGTGAAGGACAAACATTCAGACCCTCGTAGCAGTGTTCTGGAATCCTATGTGAAGGACAGACATTTAGACCCTCGAAGCAGTGTTCTGCAGTCTTAAGTGAGGAACAAAAATTCAGACCCTCATAACAGTGTTCTGGAATCCTTTTTTGAGGGACAGACAATGAGACCCCAGCAGCTGTGGTCTGGAATCCCATGTGAGGGACAAACATTCACACCCCAGCAACAGTGTTCTGTAATCGTATGTGAGGGACAAGCATTCAAGACCCCAGCAGCAGTGTTCTGGAATCTTATGTGAGGGACAAACATTGAGACCCTCGTAACAGTGTTCTGGAATCCTACGTAAGACACAAACATTCGTACCACGGCAGAAGTGTTCCAGAATCTTATGTGAGGGACAACCATTCAGATCACAGCAGGAGTGTTCTGGAATCCTTTGTGAGGGACAACCATTCAGACCACAGCAGGAGTGTTCTGGAATCCTATGTGAGGGACAAATATTCAGACCCTCATAGCAGTGTTCTGGAATCCTTTGTGAGGGACAAACATTCAGACCCCAGCAGGAGGGTTCTGGAATCCTGTGTGAGGGACCAACATTCAGATCCTCGTAGCAGTGTTCTGGAATGCTATGTGAAAGACAACCATTCAGACTCTCATAACAATGTTCTGGAATCCTATGTCAGGGACATTCAGACCCCAGCGGCAGTGTTCTGGAATCCTATGTGACAGACAAACATTCAGACCACAGCAGGAGCGTTCTGGAATCCTATGTGATGGACAAACGTTCAGACCATAGCAGTAGTGTTCTGCAATCCAATGTGAGAGACAAACATTCAGAGCCCAGCAGCAGTGTTCAGGAATCCTATGTGAGGGACCAACAATCAGACACTCGTAGCAGTGTTCTGAAATCCTATGTGAGGGACAAACATTCAGAACCCAGCTGCAGTGTTCTGGAATCCTATGTGACAGAAAAACTTTCCAACCACAGCAGCAGTGTTCTGGAATCCTATGTGCGGTACAAACTTTCAGACCACAGCAGGAGAGTTCTGGAATCCTATGTGAGGGACAAACTTTCAGACCCCAGGAGCAGTGTTCTGAAATCCTATGTTAAGGGCAAGCATTTATATCCCAGTGTGAATGTTCTCGAATCCTAGGTAAGGGACAAACATTCAGACCACAGCAGGAGTGTTCTCGAATCCTATGTGAGGAACAAACATTCAGACCACAGAAGGAGTGTTCTGGAATACAATGTGAGGGACATTCAGACCCTCTTAGCAGTGTTCTGGAGTCCTATGTGATGAACAAACTTTCAGACCACAGCAGGAGTGTTCTGGAATCCTATGTGAGGGACAAACTTTCAGACCACAGCAATAGTGTTCTGGAATCCTATGTGAGGGCAAACATTCAGACCCACGTGGCAGTGTTCTGGAATCCTATGTGAGGGACAAATATTCAGACCACAGCAGGAGTGCTCTGGAATCCTATGTGAGGTACAAACATTCAGAACCTCGTAGCAGTGTCGTGAAATCTTATGTGAGGGAGAGACATTTAGACCCTCGCAGCAGTGTTCTGGTATCCCATGTGAGGGACAAACATTCAGACCCTCCCAGCCATGTTCTGGAACTCTATGTGAGGGAAAGACATTCAAAACCCAGCAGCAGTGTTCTGGAATCTGATTTGAGGGGCAGACATTCAGACCCCAGCAGCAGTGTTCTGGAATGCTATGTGAAGGACAAACATTCAGACCATGGGAGCAGTGTTCTAGAATCCTATGTGAAGGACAAACATTAAGACTCTCGTAGCAGTGTCCTGGAATCATATGTGAGGAACAACCATTCAGACACCAGTAGAAGTGTTCTGGAATCCTAGGTGTGGGAAAAACATTCAGAACCTAGTAGCAGTGTTCTGGAATCCTATGTGAGGGACACACATTCAGACCACGGCAACAGTGTTCTGGAATGGTATGTGAAGGACAAACATTCAGACCCTTGTAGCAGTGTTCCAGAATTCTATGTGAGGGACAAACATTCAGACCACAGCAGCAGTGTTCTGTAATCCTATGTGAGTGACAAACATTCAGACCCCAAGAGCAGTGTTCTGAAATCCTATGTTAAGGGAAACATTGAGACCCCAGCATGAATGTTCTGGAATCCTATGTGAGGGACAAACATTCAGACCACGGCAGGAGTATTCTGGAATCCTATGTGAGGAACAAACATTCGGACCACAGCAGGAGTGTTCTGGAATCCTATGTGAGGGATAAGCATTCAGACCCTCGTAGCAGTGTTCTGGAATCCTATGTGAGGGAGAAGCATTCAGAGCACAGCAGGAGTGTTCTGGAATCCTATGTTAGGGACAAACATTCAGAACCTCGTAACATTGTTAGGGAAACCTATGTGAGGGACAGACATTTAGACCCTCACAGCAGTGTTCTGGAATCCCATGTGAGGGTCAAACATTCAGATCTTCACAGCAGTGTTCTGGAATTCTATGTGAGTGACAAACTTCCAGACTCCAGCAGCAGTGTTCTGTATTCCTATGTGAAGGACAACATTCAGAATCCAGGAGCAGTGTTTTGAAATCATATGTTAGGGGCAAACATACAGACCCTAGCATCAATGTTCTAGAATCATGTGTGAGGGACAGACATTCTGACCCTCGCAGCAGTGTTCTGGAATCCTAGATGGGGGACAAACATTCAGACTCCAGCAGCAGGCTTCTGGAATCCTATGTGGGGGACAAACATTCAGACAATGGCAGCAGTGTTCTGGAATCCTATGTGAGGGACAAACACTCAGAGCCTTGTAGCAGTGTTCTGGAATCCTATGTGAGTGAGAGTGCCTGGAGCCTACCCAACATGACGCCCCCAAAGCCCTCACAGGGTCTGACCTCCCAGCAGGTACCTGCCTCTCCCTGAACCCCAACCGCCCACCCTGCCTGTTCCCTGGCCTACTTCATCCTGTGCAGCCCATAGACTGTGACTATCTCTGCAGCCACTCTGGCCCTTCCTTTACCTTTGTCCTGTCAGAATCTCTGAGCAGGATCTCCCAGGTCCATCCAAACACGTGCTTTGTCCACTTTTGACTAGGCCCTTGGGCATCACTAGGCTATCCCAGCTGTCCACAGGGTCTTCAATAATGCACATTGCACCTGGCTTATCCAAGCAGTGCTCCGCAGCCCACATTGACCAGGTCCCTGCTGACCAGACCCCACACATCAGGTCCTCCCTGATGACACCTTCACTGATTAGACCCTCATGACCAGGCCCCACTAACAAAGCCCCCACTGCCAGGCACACAATGACAAGGACTCCACCGACCAGGACCTTACTGACAAGGCCTCACGGACCAAGTCCTTACTGACAAGTCCTCACTGACTAGGTCATTATTGACAAGGCCTCACTGATCAGGTTCCACTGATCATGACCTCATTCCCTGGCCCCAAAGATGAGGCCCCACTGACCAGGCCTCCAGGGAACAGGTTGCCACTGATCAGGCCCCTAAAAACCAGGCCTAAGGTCACCAGATGCCCCTGACTGGGACCCTAGTGAGTAGACCCCAGTGAACTGGCACCAAATGCTGAGATCCCCGCTGACCAGGTCACCCTGTAGACCAGTGCTACAAAAGTCACCACTGACCGAGTCCTCTCTGACCAGGACACTACAGATTAGGTCCCGCTGACAAGGCTGCCCTGACCAGGGCCCCACTGACAAGGGCCTCACTGATGAGGACACGCCCACCAGGGTCTGCTGACTAGGTCCCATGTGCCCAGTCCTCCACTGAATAGCACCTCTTGACCTGGTCACCAGTGCCCCAGCCCATGCTGACCAGGCCAGCCCTAAGCCCCAGCTGACCAGGTCTCCACTGATCAAGCCCCACAGCCCAGGTTTGCACTGAGCAGACACCAAACAACTGGCAGCCAATAGGTCCCCACTCACCAAAACCCCCACTACTAGACGCCACTAATGAGACCCTCTCTAAGCAGACCCCTGCTGACCACGATCCCACTAAATAGTCCTCACTGACCTAGGCCCACTGACCAGGCCCACCCTGATCAGGCCCCTCCTAACCACACCGGAAATCCAAGCGGCAATGACATGTTTCATATGGCAAAAGTTGGAAAAAGACAGAGAGAGAAAAGAGGTTCCACAGCCTTTTAAACTACTAGATCTCATGAGAACTCACTCACTATCAGGAGGATGGCATTAAGGGCTTGGTGCTTTGCCATTTGTGAAGGATCCACTCCCACCCCTTTATGATTAAAGCTTTTTCCACCTAGGCCCCGACTCTAACATTAGGGAGTGTGCTTTCACATGAGCTTTGGAAAGGGCATAGAGAAAAACTGTATTATTCTGTCCCTGACCCCACAGATCTCATGTCCTTCTCACATTGCAAAATACAGTCATGCCTTGCCAGCAGTCTCCCAAAGTCTTAACTCATTTCAGCATTAACTCAAAGTTACAAAGTCCAAAGTCTCATCTGGGTCAAGGCTACATTCTCTTTTGCCTACGAGTCTCTGAAATAAAAAGCAAGTTCACTGCGTCTAAGGTACAATGATGGTACAGGCATTGTGTAAGCTTTCCATATGCAAAAGGGAGACATTTTCCAGAAACCTTCTTATTTTTATCTGAGGCCCCTCAGCCTGGCCTTCACTGTCCATGTTTTTGTCAGCATTCTTGTCACAGCCATTTAACCAGTCTCTAAGATGGTCCAAAAATGTTCTCATCTGTCTGTCTTCTTTGGAGCCCTCCAAACTCTTCCAACCTCTACCCATTACCCAGTTCCGAAGTTGCTTCCACATTTTCAGGTATCTTTATAGCAATGCTCCAGTCCTCATTTGTCATTTTTGGTAAGATTTATTTTGAAAAAGAGGTTTAATTGGCTCACGGTTCTGCAGAGTGGACAGGAAGCTTAGTGCTTCTGCTTCTGGGGGGCCTCAGAAATCTTTCAATCATTGTGCAAGGTAATGAAAGAGTGAATTGTCTCATATGGCAAGAGGAAATCATGGAGATTAGGGAGTGATATAGAGTTTTCAGTGGCCAGATCTCACGAGAATTCACTCATGATTGTGAGGAGAGTACCAAGGGGATAGTGCTGAACCACTCATGAGAAATTTGTCTTCATGATTCAATCACCTTATACCAGGATCCACCTCCAACATTAGGAAGCATAACTCAACATGAGATTTGGTGGAGACACATATTCGAATTGCCTCATCAGTCTTTGAGTATAAAGACATCCATAGCAGGCTTTATCCAGCCAGCTTCTTTGGGATTCTTTATAGGGTTTCAGGTCTATAGCACATCCACTAAAATATTCCTACTTCAAAAGGCAATAAAGTAAGTGGTATTATCATTCTTCAAAAAGTTATAATGGTAGTGTAGGCATTCATAGTATGATTTAGTTCATTTGCTACTGTTTCTATTCTATCACCATATTAACACTTTCCTACACAGTTCTATATTCAGCTGGGTTTCAGTTGAGCACAAAGTCATCCTTGTACTACCACCGATAGCTGGCACTAGCTCTTTGATACTGTTATCATTCTGCTGTAGAAAGTACCTGTGAACTGGAAAAAGTCCACAATAAAATAGCTAGTCATTCAACACTATCAAATTTTAGGTGACTTTTTGAAAAAATAGTATCTCTTGTTGCAAGAAATGGTCCATCTGTGATTTCAAGTCTCTCACTTGAGTGAATTGGATGGAAGTGGTGAATTTCAGCCAAAGTGGCCAAAGAAATCCCATTCCTGTGATGATGATGCCATCAGCCTCTGCACCTCTGTCTTCCCTTCTGCCACCTGTTGCCTGTTCTCCGTGACTTTGGTAAGAGCTTCCTTGTGTATGAGGATGATGTCCAGGATGTTGGTCTGGTGTCCCTGAGACAGCAATAACAAGTCCATGGCTGGGTCCAGGTCCTTCCTGGACTCATTGGCAAAGAGCTTACTGATGTTCTTGAAGGCATCTCTGGTGAAGTGGATGGCCTAGTCAAGTTCCAAGGCCTGGCTGAGGCTGAAGAAAAACTGGCCACCTTCTGATGCTCTTTCCAAAAGCCTGTCACTGTCATCTGCTTGCTTGTCAACACATTGGCTGTAAGGATGAGCTGAGTGGCCTGTGTCCATCTTCTTGGGGAAGCATTTGAAGCCATCAGTCTTGCTCTCCCACCCCTAAAGGTTGATGGTCACCACCTGGGGGTGTGCTGAGGGTTGGAAAGAAGCCCGCACTCACTATCTCATCCTTCTCAGCCTTCCTCTTGCACTCTCTCCAGGCTGTCGCTTCAGTGTTGGTGGGATACGTCAGAAAGCGATGGAAGATGTGGCACTGTGCCCACACCCAGAAGCTGGCCATTGGTTGGCTCATCCACCAGAATGGATGCTCTGGGTGCTCTTTAAGCCAACTTGGCCTTGCCTGACATGCACGGCCCCAGGTTCTGACATGTTGCTCCGAGTGAGCTTGTCCTGCCTTGGGCCAAATTCTGTCAGGCCAGGGCCACAAAAGGCCGAGTCCCACGGGTGGTAATCCTGGCTGCTTTCTGCACTTCCACATAAAGACCTCCTGAAGATGGCCTGTGGTCTACCTCTTTGCAACCAAGAAGCCCACAGTGCCATATGAACCCTTAGGCATGGACTGGAGCCCCTGAGGAAGCACACACCCTGTTCCTGAGCCTGCTGCTCATTTTCTCTGTGTGGCTCCATTTGTGTCACAGTTGTTGCACAGAATTATGCATGCCGGGCAAGGCCAAGCTGGCTCAAAAAGCAACCGGCCACCTCTGCAAGGTTGTGCCAGGAGCCGGTGGACCGGCCACCAACCTCACTTGCTGCCGGTCAGCTTACATCAGTTCTTCTACCCTAGAGGTAGGGCCCCAGTGCCATATGCTTTTCCTCAGGCCTCTGCTCTATCAGTCATCAGGTGGCAACCACTTAGGCTGTGGGAACCTGGTCATCCCTCCTTCCTTGAGTAGCTGAGGTTGCTGGCTTGTCTGCCTGCTACAGGTGCAGCCTTGCAGATGTGGCTAGTTGCTCTGAGCCAGCTTGGCCTTGCCTGGCATGCATAGGCCCCAGGTACTGACACTCTGCTCCGAGTCAGCTTGTCCTGCCTTGGGTCAAATTCTAAGTCTGGCCAGGGCCACAGAAGGCCCAGTCCCCTGGGTGCTAATCTTGGCTGCTTTCTGCACTTGAACATAAAGTCCTCCTCAAGAAAGCCTGTGGTCTGCCTGTTGGCGACCAAGAAACCTACAGTGCCATATGAGCCCTGAGGCATGGACTGGAGCCACAAAGGCAGTGCACGCCCCGTTCCTGAGCCTGCTGATCATTTCCTCAATATGGCTCCATTTGTAGCACACTTGTTGCAGCGAGGCTTGTGCTTGCCCAGCAAGGCCAAGCTGGCTCAAAGAGCAAGCAGCCACCTCTGCAAGGGTGTGCCAGGAGCAGATGGACCAGCCGCCAACCTCACTCACTGCCAGACGTGGTACAACAGTTCTTCTACCCTAAAGGTGGGGCCAAGAGGCAGACCACAGGCCATCTTGAGGAGGACTTTATGTTCAATGCAGAAAGCAGGCAGGATTACCACCCTGGGGACTCACCCTTCTGTGGCTTACAGTGCCATATGAGCCCTGAGGCATGGACTGGTGCCATCTGCTTTATACAAAAATTATCTTAAGATGGATTAAAGAGTTAAATATGCCATCTGCTTTTCCTCAGGCCTCTGCTCCATCAGCCATCAGGAGGCAGCCATTCAGGCTGTGGAAACCTGGCCATCCTGGCTTCTTTCAGTGGGTGAGGTTGGTGGCTGGTCTACCTGCTCCAGGCACACCCTTGCAGAGGTGGCTACTTGCTCTTTGAGCCAGCTTGGCCTTGCCTCGCATGCAGAGGCCCCACCTACTGACACACTGCTCGGAGTGACCTTGTCCTGCCTTGGGACAAATTCTGTCAGGCCAGGACCACAGAAGACCGAGTCCCCTGGGTGGTAAGGTGGTAATCCTGGCTGCTTTCTGCACTTGTACATAAAGTCTTCCTCAAGATGGCCTGTGGTCTGCCTCTTGGCAACAAAGAAGCCTGCAGTGCCATAGGAGCCCTGAGGCATGCACTGGAGCCCCAAAGGCAGTGCACACCCTGCTCCTGAGCCTCCTGCTCCTTTCCTATATATGGCTCCATTTGTAGCACGGTTGTTGCACCGAGGCTTGTGCATGCCAGGCAAGGCCAAGCTGGCTCAAAGAGCAACCAGCCACCTCTGCAAGGGTGTGCCAGGAACAGGTGGGCCAATCACCAACCTCACATGCTGCCAGTCACAGTACATCAGTTCTTCTGCCCTAGATTTAGGGCCCCAGTGCCATCTGCTTTTCCTCAGGACTTTGCTCCATCAGCCATCAGGTGGCAGCTACTCATGCTGTTGGAACCTGGCCATCTGGGCTTCCTTGAGTGGGTGAGGTTGCTGGCTTGTCTGCCTGCTTAAAGGTACTATGGGGATAGAACACTGAAATAATAATAATGCATTTTTCAAACAAATTAATTCCTTGATTTTCAAACAAATTGAAGACAAAGGAAACTCATGATTCAAATGAATACATATGGCTCATTTTATTCAATATTTATGCTTACAGAATATATGCAAATAAGACATTCCCATGATTAATATTAGTATTTAAGACTGATAAACTTTTGAGTGGGCAGTTAAAGCTTATCTTCTACTATTTTCTAACTTCAGAAATGCTTTTGTTTGAAAGCTGGGTGACAAAGTTTCAAGGAGATTCAGTCCCAATATTCCTATTTTAAATCTCTCAGCTTGTGCAGGCAGGGCAGGTAAACATGAAGTTTTTAAGGATAGAAGGGGCCTGAGAGATAGCAGAATATGTCTGCTACATAACAGGTACTCAGGTTATGTTTGATGAATAAATGGAATGAAAGAATGGATAAATACAGTTGGGGAGTTCAATATTTTTAAATAAACTCCTATAAAGCAATATTTTTGCAATAGTAGTATTTAAATGTTATTTTTAAGAATACAATTAAAATGAAATGATTAATCTATCATTGTTTGCATAAATTGAATGAATACATAAGAAAAACATATGTACGTAATAAAATATATAGATAATAAAATCTGGAAACAGATAAAAATATTCCCTTTTTACTTCTGAAGAGGCTAAAAGTTCAAAGAAGATAACAATACACTCAATGATAAAAAATAGAAAGTGAGAAATTATTTTTAATATTGTAAGATTCATATTCCTGTCTTCCCAAGGATTATTCCTTTATTAATAAACTTTACTAGAAGTTTTGTACATGCTCACTGCAGCAATCACAGATAAGAAAAAGGAAAAGAACTTTACTTAAAATACAAATGCTCAGAAATTACAAATTTTATATTTTGTACATATTTTTTGATAAAACAAGACCATAGTATGTTTGTATGTACAATTTAATTGATCTTTTTCTCACTAGCTATAACAAAATACATCTTTGCACATCAATATACTTCTGTATCTATTGCCACCTTCAATGGTCACATATTATTCCATCCTGTGGATGCAACTGAAGTTTATTTATAGGATCCATTCTTTGGGTTCTTTTTAAAATAAGTGAGGTGAAAAATAAAGTGCATGTATCTTTATTTCCTAAGGGTGCTTTAGTGTAATGGAATTGATGGGTAAAGGGCATACGTATTTTTTAATTGTAGTATTTACCACCAAATTATCTATTTGAAAAGTAATCAGCAACTTAAACTTTAACCAGGAGTATAAAACATCCTCACAAATATTGTGGATAGAAAACTGTTTCATTCCTCTTTTATTTAAATTCTTATACCAGAAATGCGAAGGACTTTTTCTTATGTACACAAGTAACTTGCAGATCTGGAAAAGTGTACTTTGCCCAATTTTAGAGTGTTTGATGATTTGATTTGAAAGAATTCCCTGTCAAATGAAAATGTACTTTTCATCTAATGTGTGTATATAACTGATATATATGACAGATTATATCTGGTATATATGTATACGTATCAGTAATATATATATATATAAAACTTATGATATATAATAAACAACATAGGCCGGGCGCGGTGGCTCACACCTGTAATCCCAGCATTTTGGGAGGTGGAGGCGGGCAGATCACTTGAGGTCAGGAGTTCGAGATCAGCCTGGCCAACGTGGTGAAACCCCCTCTCTACTAAATATACAAAAATTAGCCAGGCACGCTGGCACCTGCCTGTAATCCAAGCTACTTGGGAAGCTGAGGTAGGAGAATTGCTTGAACCGAGCAGGCAGAGGTTGCAGTGAGCCCAGATTGTGCCATTGGACACCAGCCTGGGCAAAGAAGCGAGACTCCGACTCAAAAAAAAAAAAAAAGAATATAATGAATTCCCTATAAAATGAAAACATACTTTTCATCTGAAAATATACATACATATATATATATATATATATATATATATATATATATATATATATATATATTACATACATATATATATATAATATAGTAAATATTTTTCAGGTAAGCTCTCTTATCTGAGAACTTTTTGCCTACTGAAATAACTCACGGTATTTTTGATAGGGGAATGAGTTCTCTCATTAGGTACCTCCTATAATGTATATAAACCATGTTTTCAACGTGTACGTTAAAAATAACAACACTGTGTATGCTGAACTTTGTGAGTTAAATAACTCAAATTCTCCAACTGCTCCAGCCATGGAATTATGAGGGATGGAAAACAGCTGAGAGTCCGTTTGGCTCCGCCGCTCTGAGGGTGCCCAGAGCGCTGAAAGGCCCCATCCCAGGGGCAGTGGGGAAGCCGGGCCTGGGGACCCCCTCCCACCCCGGGCTGAGTCCCCGCTACCTGTGCTGCTTGTCCAGGGCATCCAGGCCTCCGCTCCTGCGCGCCAGGCAGCGCTCCACCCCCGCGGCGTCGCCCTTGACAGCTGCCCTGTGGATCTTCTGCAGTTCGGAGTCCCGGATTCGGTATCCGGAACCCATGTAGACATGTTCTATGGAGCCGTGGGCCCTCTGGCCCCTGCAGCTCCCGAAGCCGAATAACTTCATAGTGGTGACTTCTCAGACCCCCAACCTCTGGCTCTTGAGCGGGGGCAGCTCCCTGTCACCTTTTCACCACCCCCCTCCCCCAACCCCGGCCGACCTCCCTGTCACCTTTTCACCCACCCCCTCCCCCGACCCCGGCCGACCCAGCCCCAAATCCCCTATCCAACCCCAAATCCCTGATCCAACCCCAAATCCGCGATCAACCCCCAATCCGCGATCCCAAATCTGTGATCTACTCCACAGTCCGCGATCCAGCCCGGTCCACCACAGCTTTCAGCAGCGACACTCGCAGCCTCCGACCTCTCAGACCAAGTGAGCCTCGCAAAGCCGTTGGGCGCCCGCCTGCACTGCGGTTGCTGCCCGGCTCCCTGAAGCCCTTCCCTGGTGGCGCGCGCCGGCAGGTGGGGCTGCAGCTCTGGGCGGGCGCCGATGGGCTCGCAGGTCCTCTTGGGATCGCCCGGGCGTCCCCAGGATCACAGGAGCGCCGCCAGCCCGGCCTGAGAAGGAGGGCCTGTCTGGCCTTGCAGCCCGCCCCGCTCCTCCTCAGAACGGAGATAGGGTGCTAGCAAGGGCACTCCGCGGCCACCTGGGTGGCTTCGCACATGGCCCGGCTTCACGCTGAGGCTCTGGTCCTGGAGTCTGTGTGGCTAGTGTCAGGTAGCTGGAGAGGCATGGAGGCAGAGTAAGGGGCTGCTCCTTCCCCCAGCAGCCCTCACTGCTGCCAGTGCCCCACGCGCAGTTTGCAGCTGCAGATCTGGCACTGGCATGGGACGGCGGAGCTTCCCTTGGATGGCCTCAGGGTCGCAGAGCACACAGCCCACCTGGCCTCAAGTTCCGCTCTTCTTGGACATCTCTCTGGATCCTGGGCCCGGGCGCTGGGCACTCTGTATCCACATGGATGAAACTGAACGGCTGCTGGCGGGACCCATCGCCTGATTTTGCTGCCTGGGGGTCTGGCCTCAGGATCCACGCTACTGGGGGGCGGGCCTGGTCTGGGGTGTCCAGTCACTTACTGCCAGTGCACCACGTCTAGACTGCAGCTGCGGCTCCGATGCCGGCGTCAGCTGGCGGGCCTGGTACCTGATGTCCTCAGGGTCAAGTGCATCGCCCTCCCACTTGAGGGGTTGCTGTGATTTGGCCTCCTCCAAGAACTCAGGGGCCACCAGGGCTGGCTCTTCGTGGTAACCAGGATGGTATTGAGCAGCAGGTTTTCACCCTGGTGCCACTGCTGTGCGGACTGCCTGACTTGGGCGCCCAGGCACTGGCCTCAGGGTCCGCGTGGCAGGTGTGTGTGCGGGTAGGGTGAGTGGCACGGAGGGTCAGGGGTTGCTCCGTCATCTCTGCCTGTGTGCAACTTGCAGTTTTGCAGTTTTCTGCAGCAGCTGAGGCGCTGGCGTGGGAAGGCGGAGCTCCCCTGGATGGAGTCAGGTTTGCAGGCACAGAGCACAGCCCAGGCCTGAGGGTCCGTTCAGGGGCCATGGTGGTTGAGTTCTCCGTGGAAACTGGGATGGGGTGAACGGCCAGTTCCCGTCCTTTGGCCGCATGGCCAACTACCAGACTTAGCCGCTGCTGCCCAGGCATCTGTCTCTGGGGTTGCCGCTACTTGGGTAGAAGTGGGGGTCAGGGTGGGGCATGGAGCGTCACCGGTTGCCAGGCCAGCACTGTCTTTGCAACATATTCAGATGGCGGCGGGAAGCTCGGGCACCAGCATGGGCTGGCGGGGCTCCCCTGGAAGGCCCTCAGATCGCTCACAGCATTGTCCCAGGGCTTCCTCGGCCTGTGCCAGGTGAGCAAGGTAGGGGGGAGCTTCCAAGGCTTCTATCACAATTCTACCTATTTCTAGCTATTTTCTCTTGAGTTATTTTGCGTCTATCTCAGTTTTATTTGCAAAAATAGTATATGCAAAATACATCGAGTGAATGTACATCAGGCATATAGAAGATCTGGCAGAAACACGTTTTCTCATGCCCATTTCCATTCAGTATTTGACCACAGAGGCTTCCATGGTTTTGATTCTTTCCACAAAAGGATAGTTTTTTCTGTTTTCACCATTTACATAAGTGAAACTATAAATTATATAATTTTTATGTTCATTCACTAAACATGCTTGTGACATCATTTTGCTCCTATTGATTATTCATTAATTTTATTTTGTAATACTCAATTTTATGACTATACCACAGGTTTGAGGCCTTTGCTTGTTTTGTTTATAATCCACTCCACTATTGATAGACACAAAAGCAGTTTCTGATTTGAGGCTATCATGAATAAACCTGCTACGAAAAAATCAGATATACACATTTTTCTGTAATAATATTTTCACTATTCTTGAGTTTACGTACATAAGAGTGGATTTTCTGGGTTATAAAATAAGTATATATTTGGCATTGTATGAAATAGGGAGACATTTTCCTAAGTGGTTGTGCCATCTTAAACTACAATGAAAATGTTTGAGAGAATCAGTTCCACTTTTTAACCAATACTTGATGCTGTCAGTTGTTTTAGTGTTATCCATTGTTATGGGATATAACTGCTGAGTAGCTGTCTGCCTTCCCAATAACACAGAAAATTGAGGGCCCAGAGGACAGTTTTATTTTCATATTTGACATCTTCTATTATTTTTTATAGAAGGGTGATTTGGGTAGTAAAATTGTCTTTCAATTTTCTAGGTTGTCTCTGAATCTTACTGGGGTTCCTTGTCCTAAACCACATTCAGAAATTTTCACGACCAACTTTTTATCTTTGTCATACCAGGCCAATGAGGGACTGCATTCCTGAGACTTTTTAAGTATTTTTTGTGTGTATGATGGTCTAATAATCATAGCCTTAAAACTTTCTGGCTGGGCATGGTGGCTCATGGCTGTAATCCCAGCACTTCGAGAGGCCAAGGCAGGTGGATCACCTGAGGTCAGGAGTTCAAGGCCAGCCTGATCAACGTGGAGAAACCCCAACTCTGCTAAAAATAAAAAATTAGCTGTGCATGGTGGCACATGCCTGTAATCCCAGCTACTTGGGAGACAGGAGCTACTTGGGCTGAGGCAGAAGAATCGCTTGAACCCAGGAAGGTTTGTAGTTAACCGAGATCACACCATTGCACTCCAGCCTGGGCAACAAGAGTGAAATTACTTCTCAAAAAAAAAAAAGAAAGAAAGAAAGAAAAAAAGAATCTCAGACTTCTGGGAGACACTGAATTTGTGAATGTGTACAGCATGTCACAATAACTTTTTTTTTTTTTTAGACCAAGTCTCACTCTGCTGCCCAAGCTGGAGTGCAGTGGTCCATCTCAGCTCACTGCAAATTCTGTCTCCTGGATTCAAGCAATTCTCCTGTCTTGGCCTCCCGAGTAGCTGGGATTACAGGTGCTGCAACCATGCCTGGCTAATTTTTGTATTTTTAGTAGAGACAGAGTTTCACATATTGGCCAGGCTGGTCTCGAACTCTTCACCTCAGGTGATCCACCTGCCTCAGCCAATGGGTGGACTGTTAACTCAAAATACGCACATTGAATACTGAGGAAAATGTATAGCCATCATCACCAGCAGCTGAGATGCCAGTTGAGATACCAGAAATGCCCCAGCATGTAACTCCTCTTTTAATTCACACACACACACACACACACACTCACACACACAATCATGGTAACCAGTTCAGGATGGACACAGAAACAGTCAGTCTTTTTTGGGAACACACTACCCTGTGACACTTAGATCCTAATGCTGACTCCAATTCCCTCCTGGGACCTCCCCTCTCCTTGCAGCATGCTGGGCTTTCCCTTAGAAAACCCCATGTCATTTCCTTCAGTGGAACATGAATCAGCTTCACCCACAGTGTCTGCATGTCTCTGTCCGTAGCAAACGTTTTTATTACCTTAAAATATAGATTTTTACCTTAACTAGCCAAGACTTAGGACCCTTTTTCCAAGCTCTTTTAGATGAAGTAATAAATGCAAACATTAGAGATGTGTATATGTGTATAAATATATGGAGAAAAGATGTTGCCTAGTTGTACAAATTAGCTTTAATAAAACTCCTGATTTAAATTAATTAATTGTGACAAGGGCGATTCTAACTCAACACACCAACGAAATAAAAGCCTTATCCCTCTGCTCCGCCAAAATATCCCATTTAGAGCCTGCGTGTGTGTGTACACACACGTGTGCACTCATCCCCACCTGACCGTATCAAATTATTATTTAAACTAGATATTTTTACTTTGTTGCATAGTAGTAATGGTTTCTGGAATGAAAAAATAAAAAACAGGAGAATAAAACTGTTTAAATGTATCCCCGGGTGAACTCTGTGGCCACTGCACGGACCCCGCCGTTGGCGCCCAGTACCTGCGTCTCAGGAAGAGGTTCTGGCGGGGCCTCCGCCTGAGGCCACGCCCCTGGGACCTGTCCCGTGTCCACGTGAAAGCGGAGCGGAGCATTCACCATCCCCTCCCTGAAACAGCGGTCCCCAATGTGCTCCACAGGCAGGGCCGAGCTGGGCAAGGGGGAGCCCAGCCCCTGCACGGGCCGCCCTGAGCGGCGGGGACGCAGGAAGACCTCGCCGGCTCCACCAGCCCCTACCCCAGATGCGGGGCCTCAGACCAGCGATGACCTGGAGCCCCCGCCCCACGGTTGCCAGGAGGCGGACAGGGGCAGCTCCTGGGGGGCTACCGCCCCGAGGCCATTCCGCCAGAACTTGAGCGACTTGGGAAGGTGCAGTGCCCTGCCCTTGAAGAAGAACCTGTGTCCTGGAGGCAGCAGCCTGGGAGCTCCTCCTCCGAGGACACCGCAGAGAAGAGTGACTCTGGCGGTGCAGCGCTGGCTTTCCCATCCGCGGAGGAGAGCTGTGGGGCTGGGTGAGCTGGACCAGGGAGCACGGCTGGCTGCTCTCGGCCTCCAATGGGGAATGGACAGCTTAGGGGGTTGCCCCCGTGCCAGCCGGCCTGCTGGCCACTCTGGGCTTCATCACAGCCTCACCTGCCTGCGCAGGCACCTAGCACTGCAGGCTGGAGCTTCTGGCCATGCTGGTCAACTTCCCCAATGAGCCTCTGCTGCCTGGGAACAGCAAGGCCAGAGCTACACCACCCTGCACTTGGCAGCCATGTACCTTGGAGATGGTGAAGCTGCTAGTGGGGACATGGGACGCCGATGTGGACATCAGGGACTACATTGGGAAAAGGGCCTCCCAGCATGTGAGTCAGAGCATCACAGAAGAGATTGAGACCCTGATGGGAGTCCTGGACAAGGACGATGGGGAGAGCACCGCCAGCAGCGGGGGTGGGTACTGGAAGACTTAAAAGCTGCCCCCTCCATCTCACCACCTACAAACTCTCACACGTCCTGGAAGATGGGGGGACCCTCTCCACCATCACCACTTGGCTGAAGGTGGTCCAGACGTGAAGCCAAGGATTCCAGGGCGCACAACCTCGGGCAGGACTAATGGACTTAAAAAACAGGCTCAACAAAATCCACTTCACAACCCAGATGGTTCACATCACACCCTCTTTCAGGGACCCAGAGCAGCCACTGGAAGAGAAGGAGTAGGAACGCTCTCTTAAAGTCCACTTATCCTATTCCTTCAAATTAAGACCAAAGTCCAATGTATTTAGGTAAAAAATAATTTCTTTTAGAAAATGCTAAGGTTTGTCTTCGAAATTTAATAACAGAAACAAAAAAAGAACACTAGATGTAAGGAAGTGAGACCAGAAAAGACTAACTAAACTATCCTTACTAGGTTGGAATGGATGGGGTGGAGTTCCTATCAGGCTAGCATTCTGGGGAAAGCGGTATTTTTTTTTTTTTTTTTTTTTTTTGTCGGTGGGGGGAAGGAGTCTCGCTCTGTCGCCCAGGCTGGAATGCAGTGGCGCCATCTCCGCTCACTGCAAGCTCCGCCCCTCGGGTTTATGCCATTCTCGAGCCCCAGCCTCCCAGTAGCTGGGACTACAGGCGTCCGCCACCACACACGGCTAATTTTTTTGTATTTTTAGTAAAGACGGGGTTTCACCGTGTTCTCCAGGATGGTCTCGATTCCTGACCTCGTGATCCGCCCGCCTCTGCCTCCCAAAGTGCTGGGATTACAGACGTGAGCCACTGCACCTGGCCGGATTTCTTTTTAAGAGATTCATCATACCTTGACCTGTGCCCCATTTCCCTCCTCCACCTGTCTGACCTGGCATTCCTATTTCGGGAGACCAGAAGTGGGGGGAAGAGAAGGGATGACTGTTTCTTTGCTTTCACCATTCCTGCATGCCATGCAAAGGAAGGAATATTGCACTTTTAAATATCCGTTTTATTAAGTAAGTGGTTACTCTTTCAAGGACAAAAAAATGCAAATTGTTACAAAACTGGTAGTATTTGTAAGTGCAAGCACTACATGCTGCCTTGTTCTTTTACCAATTGCATTTGCATTTTAAGGTACTACTGGTACAGCCATGGTGGAGAACAGTTTGGAGGTTCCTCTAAACACTGAAAATAGAGGTGCCAAATGATCCAGCAATCCCACTGTTGGATATATACCCCAGAAATAAGAAATGAGTATATCGAAGAAATTATCTGCACTCCCATGTTGGTTGCACCACTGTTGACAATAGCTAAGATTTGGAAGCAACCTAAGTGTCCATCAACAGATTAATGTATTAAAGAAAATGTGGTAGATACACACAGTGGAGTATTATTCAGCCCTAAAAAAGAATGGGATTCAGTCATTTGCAACAACATGGAAGGAACTGGGTATCATTATGTTAAGGGAAATAAGCCAAGCACGGAAAGGCAGACATTGCATGTTCTCACTTATTTGTGGGATCTAAAAATCAAAACAATTGAACTCATGGACACAGTAAGTACTAGGGGGCTGGGGGGGGGAGACAGGGCACGGGTAATGGGTACAAAAATAGGCAGAAGGAATGAATAAGACATACTATTTGATAGCACAACAGGGGGACTCTAGTCAATAATTGTACATTTAAAAATAACTAAAAGAATCTAATTGGATTGTAACACAAAGGAAACATGCTTAAAGGGATGGATACCCACTCTCCATGATGTGATTAGTTCATGCTGCATGGCTGTATCAAAACATCTCATGCACCCCATAACTATATATGCTTATTATATACTCACAAAATTGCTTGAAAATAAAAATAAAGGAACTACTGAAGGTCAGGTCAGAGTGGAAATGTAAAAATACTAATTAGAGAATAATGTGAATACAACAGGAATCCTGTTGGTATTCTATTTATATTGTAAGCAGCAGTTCAATTGTTTTGTAAAAGTAATTTCAATTTTAATCACTGAACTAAAGAAATGGGCAACGCTGACTTCCGTAATATAGGTTCTACCTAACCATCTCTAACACCGCTGTCAAGGAGGACCAGTGTTAAGGTACATTACTAACAACCACACAAATTTTTAAAAGAAAAGAACACTCTTAGCAGCCTATGGTACTTTGAAATGAAATATTGCCTCTCATTCTCACTTGTGTTGCCATTCCAAAAGTTTGAATTTGCTGAGGTTTATATTCTGCGTATTATATAACCATTGGTTCTATTTGGCATAACCCTATTAAATGGTGCTCAGAGCTGAATTATGTACAGAAACTTTCTGGTTTAATTAGCATAAATTGGTATAAATATTAGTGAGCCCATACATCTGTGATATAATTAAACCAACTTAATGATTCTCACATAAGGTGTCAATTTATTTTACTAATGCATTCATAATCTATGCTTTGTAGCAACATTTTTCAAATGTTTAAAATGCTAAATCTTCTCAATTTTCCAATCTTTTCTTGAATCAATTAGATACCTATAATGTAGTTACTGAATAGCTGGGAAACAAATACACCTAGTTAGAAATGGCACTGCTTTATAAAAGGCACTAGAGAAAAGATGAGACTATTCCTATATTTAAATGCTGCTGGCAAGTGAATTCCTTTGTATATAAATGAAAGATACCATTCATTAAAATGAAAGACTTGTTTTAAGTGTGATTCTTACATTTCATTCATTTATGATAGAGTAAATGGCTTTATAATTACTTTAAAATTTAACTCACTAGTACATTAAATCTGTTCATTGCAAGATTAGAATCAACTGTGAGGGGAACTAATTTAAACAAGCCCTTCCTTAGTCTTATTGAGTCTCATATTTGCCGAAAGTACCTACAGCTTGCAGGATAAGGGAGTTCACGGACCATAGGGTGAGTGAACCCATGCACAAATTGCAAACTGCCCAGAGCTACTACATTTAGGATTTTTAGACCTTTAATTTTCCAAGTCATAGAAATTTGTTACAGGTTCATCACATCTTTGTCTAAATGGCAACTGAATTTCTTTAAAGATAGGTTAAAAAAAGGCATAAAACTATGAATTATTATCCATTTGTGTGCCTCTATTTTTGCTTTAGAATTATGGAAATGGACCCTGTGAATTTGGGAAACACTGTTATGTATACACATGGGTGAAAAACAATCTAACATTGTGTAAATTAAAATACTTTTTTTGAGGTTGAAAAGCATCCATTTGTTCTAAATCTATATATATTATGTGTATCTAGTACAGAATAAGGTGTAACTTCTCATTGAGTAATCTTAGGTTTTACAGATATGTAAAGCTGAAGCAACTCTAAAGAGTAGACACTTCAGAACAGGAAGGTTCTGGTCAATGTTGAGAGTAGACACTTTCACTGAAGGTTCTGGTGAAATGTGGGTAACTAATTGCTTGAAATCTATATTTTGCTATATAGTTAACTATTAAGTTAAAATGTCATTTACCATGCTTTTTACACTAAAAGCTTTAACTTTTCTGAGAAAATAATATTTTAAATGTTCAATTATTACTTCTGAGGAAAGCTACTTCTAGCATTCTTTGTCATGATGTGCTTGTGTGCAGTAAGCAGAGCATTTTCAGCCACTTACCTCTACAATGTTCCTGTTTTTCAATTTCTGATTTAGATTATAAAAGGCAAATGATTAATTTAATTTGATACTCAGAGTTGTGTTTACTTTTAATGGACAAATATATGTCAGATACTTTGATGTTTATTGATATGACACCGTGTGGTTAAACAATGAAAGTATGTCCATGTGTTTCTTATAGGGTACACTTGAAACTAGTGGTGTTTATGCAGTTCACTTATGTAACTTGAAAATCTGGTACTATTGCATTCAGGACTGAAATCTTGGAGTTTAGGTGTCTTGTCTCTCATTTTGAAAATAAGTGAAAGTTGAGAATGTAAAATCTATAAAGTTCATTTTTTTAACTAGGAAAAAAACACAAATTAATGACAGACACCAAATTACAAATCCAAAAAGCTCAGAGAACACCAAGCAGGATGAATATTTTAAAAATATACCTAGGAATATCATATTCAAACTGTAGAAAACCTGTAACAAAGATAAAATATTAAAATAAGGCAGAGGAAGAAACACATTGTCTACAGAGAAACAGACATAAGAATTACATTGGACTTCTGTTTAGAATCCATGCAAGTAAGAAGTGTTGAAAAAATTAGAATACAGTGGGTATTTTTTATCCAAGTATTCATTATTTAAAACTGCAAAGTGAAAATAATTGTAACAAGAACATATTCACTAGCAATCTGAGCACTCATGATATTAGTGTCTGTTCTGGAGAGAATTATGTCCCCCCAGAATTCCTAACCTGAAGCCCTATCTCCCAGTGTGACTGTATTTGGAGAAGGAGCTTTTAAGAAGGTAAAGGTTAAATAGGGGCAAAAGGGTAAGGCCCTAATCTGTTAGGACTGGGGTCATCATCCAAAAAGGAAGAGACACCAGAGATACATATCTCTCTCTCTCTCTCTGCCTCCCTCCTTCTCTCTCTCTCCCTCTCTCTCTCCCTCTCCCCATATACATTTGTTAAATTGAGGTTTTTTGTTAGAACATACAGAGTGGCATTTTAATATATTATTACTCTAGTTAAAACATACACACACACACACACACACATACAATTTTGATAAATTCTTTTTTGAGGATAAGGCCGGGCATGGTGGCTCACACCTGTAATCCCAGCACTTGGCGGGATTATCATCTGAGGTGGGTGGATCATCTGAGGTCAGGGGTTCAAGACCAGCCTGGCCAACATGGTGAAACCCGTCTCTATTAAAAATACAAAAAATTAGCTGGGCATGGTGGCGGGCACCTGTAATTCCATTTACTCAGAATGCTGAAGCAGGAGAGTCCCTTGAACCCAGGAGGCGGAGGTTGTGGTGAGCCGAGATTGCACCATTGCACTCCAGCCTGGACAGCAAGAGCAAAACTCTGTCTCAAGAAAAATACGGTAAAATAAAAATAAAAAAACACAAAACTGGGATGTGTCCCTGTCTTTTAGGCAGATATACTTTACCATTACTAAAATTGAGCTTCAGAAACATTAAGCATGCTACACAAACTTAGCTGGAAATGAATACTGAAATGGAAGTTTGAATCCAAGATGATTTCTTTTGACTCCCATGCTAATGCCGTTAACTCCTATAGACCCTTCTCAGGTGCAGCCAGAGAGACACTAGCCCACTGATGGACGGACAGACGTGGGCAGGGTACGTGTCACTAAACCTCCCACCACTGCCACAGCTGCCTACAACAGACACATCAGATGACACTCCGGGCAAATAAATGATTTTCACTGAGGACTTACTGGTTTTAATAATAGGTCCTGGTGTAGAGAAGTCCCTCAACCTATTGTGCAATGAGTTTTGAGAAGCGGGTAAGCTGTATGTTTTGTGGTTTTTGTTTCATAAATGCATCTACAGGAAGACCAATATTGACTGAATGAAGCTTTCATTTAAAGAGCTAAAATATGCTTTGTGTTTTTATATGTGGATACTACTTTAAACCTAATGACTATTCATTGTATCATAGCTTGTGATGTATTCTGCTCATGGCTTTTAAGGTAAATTGTGCCATGATCCACTGCCATTCTAATTGCTTTAACAAGTCATTGCCACACTACTGTTACATATTAATTATGCATACAGACAGGTAGACTTATTTTACATATGTGAACTAACTAGTTGTCAAAGCAAATGCAGATTGTATTCTGCAAGTAAAGTCTTTTTCTCTCTGAAATTTCTAGGGATGTTCTTTAAGTGAAATTCATATTCAGACTGAAGATTTTAGTTACAAGAACTGAGTGCAGATTAAAGTCTTTTTGTGATTCAAACATATTCAAGAGTACAACTGTGATATTTCATGGAAGTTACGCAATAAAATGTCTCTAACCTGCGAACAAATCTATCAAGCAGACGGCACAGTACTGAATTTGAAACCAGAAATACTGGGTTTTTATATAAATGCTTCATAGATTTGTTTTATGATAAAGGGCACATAACTCTCCTAAACCTCACACCATCTCTTGAATAGGTATAATAAGCCCACATCAATGCTGATGCCTTAGCTATTATTAAACTCTTACAGTATGATGTAAAGTGAAAGTACAATGTAAGATCATTCCTAGGCCAACTTTGACCAGTTTTATACAGAAACATGTGCCAACTTTTCTGTTTGCAAAGATAATATCAAAGCAAACACCAGAAAGTTATATCTTTGGTGCATTTTTTCAAAATCATACACATAATACACAAACCAAAGACAAATGATGAATATTATGTCAGAAAATATAAAGTCTTCCCCTTTCTTCTTTTGCCAAGAAAGTCCAATATTTTCACCATTTTTATGCACACAATCAACTTTATTTAAGCTGGAAGTTAATGTCTCATTGTTTTCATTGTTCTAAATAAACACCTTTTCCCTTGAGTATTGTTCTAAAAATTTTGAAGTTGTGTGAAAAATTTTGTTCTGATATTTCACATTTGTGCTAATGATATGTGAAAAGGAATACAGATGGTATTTAATTATGAACAGGAAAAGATGTTAAATATCATTAGTCATTAGAAATTTGCAAATTAAGACCACATTGACTAACACATATATATCAGAATAGCTAAAATAAAAATAAAACATCAAACGCTGGGGAGTATGAGTAAAAACTGGAGCTTTCACACATGACTGGTGGGAATGTAAAATCATAGTTATGCCAAAAAGGAGCATAGTAGTTTCTTAAGAAACTAAAGGAACCTGAGTCTCCAGGCGTGCAGTCTGGGCCAAGGTCACTGTCCCTGGATCAATCAGGATGGGGTTCAGGGGCCTTCCTGGGGCCATCCAGTGTCCAAGGTGCCCTTTGGTGGCCTCATCTGCCCCTCAGCCCCTGAGCACGTCCCTCTGTCCCTCCAATCCTCCCTGTCACGGGACATCTGTCACAGAGCCATGCCCTACCTCCTGCTTTCTGGAGATGCCAACTGCCTGGGGTGCTCTTAGCCCTGCCCTCCCTATCTCTGGGTCCTGACCAAGGTGCTCTAATGGATACCCCCTGACCCAGGTCTCAGAGAGCTGCCAGCACCCTGGGTCCCTGAAGCTGAGATCCAGCAAGACACATGTGGCCTGAGAGTCCCACTCTCTGGCTGGCAGAACCCAGAGGTGGGAGCACACTGGAGTGTCCTTCAGGGTGTCTTCACCCCATGAGAGGGCTGGGGGCTTTGGGATTTTGCAGCTGGCAGGAGTCAGGGCCCAGTCCCCTAACTCTGATGCGTCCTTGGTCAAATCCTGTGCCTCAGCCTGCAGGGCCTATTGTGGTCACCAGGTGAATGTGTTCCCTTAGTCTGGGAGCCCCAAGTAGGCAGCACCCCCTGCCAATGACTTCAGGGCACCTGGAAGTGGAGGCTGAGAGGTCTCCCACTTCGCAGAGCTGGGCTCTGGCCCAGAGGCCTTCTCCTTGGCTTAGGTCATCTCTCGGGCTCCTGGGGCTGCAGATCAGGGACAGAAACAGGCAGCTCTGCTCTGCTATGCCTACAGAGAGGTGCCCAGTGAATGCAGGTTCCAGACAAAAGGTGGAGCCTGGCATCCTGCCCTGCATGGGCTCCAGCCTGCTGCCATCTGGGGAAACTGAGTCATGGCGAGGCTCAAGGATGTTTCTCAGAGGTCCGCTGACCTCTCAATCTTGATGGAGAGTGAGAAGAGGTTCCCAGGCCACCTGCAATAGGATCTGGCTCGGCCTGGGTTGGGGTAAGTCTCCCGGCTGCTGTCCTCAAAGCCCCTTTAGGAGGCTGTGTCAGGCCAGTGCACAGTGGTGACAGCAGCATGGACTGAGGGTTCTGGCCACGGGGAGGTCAGGACCGGGGGAGGTCAGGTCCAGGAGGTGGGCACTGGCCGGCACGTGGTTGTGCTGGAGAGACCTGGGTGGGGTGGTGGGAATGGCCCAGGAGGAGCCCCGGCTCCTGTGCCTGGAGTGAGGGTGTGGGCTGTGGTGGGAGAGGAGGTGAAGGTGGAAGGAACAGGGGCCCAGGGGCCTGTGCTGTAGGAAGGGCATGGACTTCCTAGCGAG
Source organism: Homo sapiens (assembly GCF_000001405.40). Lineage (NCBI taxonomy): Eukaryota > Metazoa > Chordata > Mammalia > Primates > Hominidae > Homo > Homo sapiens. The sequence continues at coordinate 11,160,235 of NC_000024.10, read as the reverse complement.
GACTTTCTGGTGCGGGATTCTCAGGGAAGAGGATGCCGGAGGGGCTGGGGTCCCCAGGAGTGCATGCGCCAGGCAGGCGGAGGGGAGGCCGAGCCAGGAGCCGCAGGCTTCTCACAGCCAGGCCAAAGCCGCCCTCCGCTGGCTGCGTGGGGAATCTCCCCTAGGCTGGAGCTCCCCTGGCCCCAGGTTTGGGGGATGCCGATGTGTCCTGGGGCGCTTACTGCCCATCCAGCCTCCGCCAGGCAGCATGGCCCTGGGTGGCTTTCAGGGCAGCCTCCGCAGCACAGGACCTTCCTCCGCCCTGTGGGGCAGATTTGGGCATATGACTCTGGACACTTATCCAGAGGCTGAATTCAACTCCCCAGGAAAAAACACACTCAGACTCCCTCCCTCCCCACTGTGCCCAGCCTGAGGGGACCCTAGCTGGGACTTGGGAGGAGAAGGCCAGAGGCCAGGGCCTGGCTCTCAGGCACTAGGTCCAGGAGAAAATGGAGCAGAGTCCCTGCAGGAACTGCTTCAGACTGCCCCTGAGGGGGCCTGGCCTGGGACCCTCCCTGTGCTACCAGGCTGCTGTTGGGGCCAGGAGGGCAGGGAGAGCAGCCACCTGTACGGCATCAAGTAACACTATCACTCAGCACACCCAACATTCACACAACAGCCACAGCCCTCTGCCCTGAGGGGGCAGGTGGGCAGAGCCTCCTCTGTCTTGTTCACCCTGAGCGTGGAGCTCCGCACAGGACAGGATCAGAGAGCAAACCAGGAACAAATGGATGAATCAACGAAGGGACCAGGGCAGTAGGTCCCCACCCACACCCTGAACCCTAAGGGTGGGACACAGAGGCTGGAGACGGGCTGGCCCTGGGATCCTCTAAGTGACAGGAACCCTTGGCCACTGTTGATTGCCCCGAGGTGGGGACAGGGATGGTGGGGCTGGGGCTGCCTGGCCCTTTAAGAGGGCAATTCTGCCCGCCGCCCTGAATGCCCCCTCCCCTAGCCACTGGAGAAGAGATCCCGTTTCTTGGCAACAGGAAGCTCTTGGTTTACTGTGTCACCCAAGCAACTGGGAGCCACGTCCTGCTCTGCGACAGAGCCGTTGGAGCCGACCGATGACTGCACTGGGCTGACCGCAACAAGCTGACCACACACACTCCTCACTCCCCTGGCCCTGGTGGGTGGCAGACACCATGGTGCAGACGGATATGCTCCTACCAGAGCCGGCCCCGCAGACAGTGCCGCCCTGCGAGCTGCCCTGCAAAGAGTATGACGTGGTCCGCAACACGGGCGCCTACACGTCCTCCGGCCTGGCCACCGCCAGCTGGTGGTGTGGTTCCAGAACTGCTATGCTCGCTACCACCAGGCCTTCGCCGACTGCAACCAGTCGGAGCGGGAGCTGCAGGGGCACAAGAGCCAGCAGCTGGCTGCAGAGATCCAGGCGCTGGCACAGCCGACACAGCAAGACTCCAAGTGCAGGGTGGGCGAGCGACTGCAGGACATGCACAGCTGGAATTCGGAGCTGCAGGGCGAGGTAGAGGCGCTGGCTGCGGAGACTGACCTGCTGCTGGCCCAGAAGCAACGGCTGGAGCACGCCCTGGATGCCATGGAGGTGCCCTTCTCCATCGCCACTGACAACATGCAGTGCAACCAGCGCCACCAGCACGCCAACCTTGTGCGTGACCATGTGGAGACGGAGCTGCTGAAGGTGCCAGCAGCCTTGGGTGGCCAGGACTTGTGGGCACAGAGAGGAGGAGCCCCTGGCAGTTCATGTGGAGAAGCCAGGTGGCTGCTACAAGCACACGGGAGACCAGCCCTCTGTGCGTGAGACCCCTGAGTCCCGAAATCTGTCCCCTTAGTGACAGGAGGCAGTTTTGCCCCAGAAGTCCCCTGACTTCCAAGCAGCTGTTTCTCCTCTCCTCCTCCAATACCTTTGAGTCCTGGCACAGTCATCCTGACCCTGTGCTCCCCAGAGACCTTCCCTGGTTGGGACAGTTGCTCCCGAGGTGGAAACCCAGGTCTGGGCCAGCACTGCGGGTGTGGACAGGTAGGGTGGGATAGGCTGGGAGCCACTGCTCCTATTCATCCTATACAGAGCCGGGAACACGAAGATCTGCACCCACAGGTCCCCTTCTCCATGTCACCTGTAACTTCCCAATCCAACCCAGCTTGTCTATGGGTCAACCCCATAGGGTGAGAGAGTAACTCAGTCCTGGCCCTGATGCTGGCTCTGGAGAATTCCCTGAGCTCTCAGAGCCTGGGGCCTCCATGAGAACCACTACAGGCCTGTAGACATTTGTGAAAGATGTGGGGTGGAGGCAGCTGGTCTCCTGCCATACCCCCAAACTCAGGCAAGAACCCTTGAGTCCCTCCCTCCCCTCATGCCTTCCCTCCTCCCTCCCTTCCCCTTCTGCAGGCCTATCCCCCTGCACCCTCTCAGTGCCTCAAGAACTGCTGCAGTTCCCGCAAACCCTCTGCCAGCAACAAGGGTGTCTGCGAAGTGATGGAGACACTGACAGTGCAGGAAGAGGCAAACCCAGGGACAGAGGGGTGCAGGACTCGGGCCCTGGCACACAAGGAGGTAGCTGGTGGTCCAGGCAAAGACCCCAGTCACAGGGGAAAAAGGCTTGTTCCTACACACAGAAAATTAAACTGGCCAGGCAGTAAGAAGAAACACATGGTCTTCCTCCTGTTCTTGGTGTGAGGATGGTCTTTCCCAACACAGAGCCCTGAGGGGCAGCCTAGGTGGGCATCTGGGCCCCCAGAGTTTGGGTCCTCAGGGGCTGTCCAGAGGCCAGGGGCAGGCCAACGTTCCTGGGTGCACTGAGTGAGCAGCAGTGATGACTCTTGAGGCCTGGGGCGTGGGAACTGCCGCTGAGGGACCTTCCCAGCAGCCCATAGAAGGCCCTGGAGGAAAACACCCCACTTACAACACACCAAGGAGAATGCCCAAAAGCCCAGGATAAACCCAGTGAGAGAGCAGAACTTGCACAGTCAGAGCTCAGGCCCGGCATTCAACTATTTCTGGTTGCTCAGGTGTTGACCAAGGCCTGCAGCAGCTGGGCCTCCTGGGATCCTCACCAAGGGCCGGCTCTGGTGCTCAGGGCGTCTCCTCCCTCAGGAAGCTGAGCTCATCCGGAACATTCAGGAGCTGCTGAAGAGAGTCATCGTGCAAGCAGTGAGCCAGATCCGGTGGGTCGAGGGCTGCCCAAGGGATGACTCCTGACCCCACCCACGGCTGGTCCTGGGGCAAGCCATTGAACGACAGGGCCCTGAAGCTCAGAGCCGGCAGGGGCTGTCCCAGGTCACAGTGGGAGCACAGGGCTGGGTGGGGGAGTTTCCGGCCCAGCCTGAGTTTGAGTGGCCAAAGCCCAGTGCCACAACTGATCTGCAGCCTCCCAGCATGGGCGGCAGCTCTTGGTCACTGCTGAGCACGAGGACAGCCGGCCCAGAGCTCCCTCCTGAAGCGGGCATAAAGGCCTAGCCTGCAGCATGGAGGGTCCCCAGCGGGGCCCTCCCTGGCCACACACCAAGACCCTGCCCCACCCCGCCCCAGACTGAACCGAGAGCACATGGAGATCTGCGAGATGGACTGGTCGGACAAGGTGGAGGCTTACAACCTCGACGAGACTTGCGGGCGCCACCGCAGCCAGAGCACCGAGGTGCAGGCTCATCCGGCACTCCACCACCTTCCAAGAGAGGGGGGCCCCAGCTCTGCCCCCGTGCTTGCCCTGGCTGTGGTCTTGCCTCCCTCTGCCTGGGGTCCCCAGCGGCGCTGCTTCCCCCAGCCTGGCCCAGAGGCCCTCGCCCCCGAAGACACTTGGGCAACTGTCTGCCCCTGGCATGAGAAAGCATGCAAGACCTCCTCAAGTGCCCAGCGCGTGCACAGCCTGGTTGCCCTTAGACAGGACAGGGTGGGGTGCGGTCAGCCCCAGGCGCCGGCAGGATTGCATTTCCACCCAAGGCCAGCAGAGGGAGCACGACCACCGCCCACTTGAGCATGGCAAACTCCTGGGTGCGAGAAGCGGACGCGGGCGCTGGGTACTAGGGAAGGGGGGTTGCGGGGGACGGAGGTGCTGCAGAGGGGGCCTCTGGGGCAGCGGTGCTGGGAGCGGGGTCACGGGGGCAGGAGGGGACTAAGTGCCCGGGGTGGGTAGGGTGTGGGTGGACTCAGGGGAGTTGTGGGCGGGGGGAACTCGGAGGCAGGGAGCTTGGGGGACTGGGCTTCGTGGGTCTGCACGGGATGCATTGGAGTCCATGCAGTTCCTCCAGGAGCATGGGGTGCAGACAGGGAATGGGGGCGCGGCAGGGCCCCCAGCCATTGGCAGAGCCTCCCCGACCTTCTCCTGGCTGTCCCCAGCCCCGCAGCGCCTCCACCCCAGAGACCCGGACCAAGTTCACACAGGACAATCTGTGCCGCGCCCAGCGCGAGCGCCTGGACTCAGCCAACCTGTGGGTGCTGGTGGACTGCATCCTTCGCGACACCTCCGAGGACCTGGGACTCCAGTGTGACGCAGTGAACCTGGCCTTTGGGCGCCGCTGTGAGGAACTGGAGGACGCGCGGCACAAGCTGCAGCACCACCTGCAAAAGGTGGGGCACCCTGAACCCCAAAGATGGCTCCGGCGCCTGCCCACCACTCTGCCCCCTCTCATCACCTGGTCTGGGCCCTCAACACCTTTCTCCTCTGTCCCACTTAACCCGAGGGACCCCAGAAGCAAGTGTCACCTCTCCATAAACCTATGTAAAACCAGGTGACACTGGGTATGATCGCAGTGCGTTGCAACCCCCATGACTGAGCAGGAGGAGCTGTGGGGAGGATGGAGGCAGGAGCTGGTCTGGGGAGCATTGACTGCCTGGGAGGTCCCCAAGAGTCCTGGCGTGACAGGCAGGGCTCTGACTCTAGGGCCTCAGCATGGCCTTTACCACCTCTGAGTCCCCAGTCCTTGAGCAGGATTTGGGTCCTGGTGACCACCAAGGATGGGGGTTCTTGGACCAGAGCTAAGAGACAACAGGCTGCCTGACTCTCCAGAGCCCACTGGGGGCCCCGTGCACATTGTTCCCCTCATCCACGCCTCCCCAGGGCCACTGGTCAGGACCACCCTCTGGACACAGCCCCAGGACCTGGGTAGGACCAGACTGGTCTCTGCATTCCATATGCCCGGGCATGGGGGCACAGGCCCAAGGGGCACTGTCCTGTCGGCAGATGCTGCGGGAAATCACAGATCAGGAACACAACATGGTGGCACTGAAGGAGGCCATCAAGGACAAGGAGGCACCTCTGCACATAGCCCAGACCCGGCTGTACCTGCTCTCACACCGGCCCAACATGGAGCTGTGCCGCGATGCAGCCCAATTCAGGTACTGCCTGGGCCTCTGAGGCAGTCCCAGGTGCCCTCGTCCACCTCCTCGCTGCGACCTTCTCCAATAAACACTCCAATCTCCACACACACATCCCCCACAGGTGCTGAGATGGGAAGGAGACTTTGCGGCCACACGCAACACGCAAGCACGCCTTAAACACACAGATATAGACATGACACTGGGCAGGTCATGGGTCGGGGGCCTCCCAGTGCCAGGGACCTGTGCCCACGTGGTCTCACCCCACCCTCTGCTACCTCATCTTCCCAGGAGGAAGCTCCTTCAGACAAGGTGAGCTCCTGGAGGCCACGGGGCCAGAGAGGCCAGGGAGGGCCATTCCCTGCTGCCCTGAGGGTGCTGTCCCCACCTCTGGTGGAAAGTATGACCTACGCCTGGGCTACAGGCATAGATGGGCCATCCTTTTGTTTCCCTTGTTAATGGATGCCTAGTGGCCCCTTCTGAGCCTAAGTACCTTTCTTCCTTCCCTGCCCCTCAGTTCCTTCAAGGAACTGGGTGCCTCCTTCCGTCAAATATCAGGAACGGAAAGAACTGAGCCTGGTCGGCTGAGGCCAGTCCTGTCCTGCCAGGGTCGAGATTGCACGCGGGTCACTCATTCCCACTCAGGCCCGCGCTCCCTGGGAGGACCCTAGTAATTTATGCTCTGCCCTAGAGCCACTTTCCTGGTGGGATCCTTTCATGGCGTCTTCCCAGGACCTCCTGCCAGCTCCCATTGGGAGTTTTGGGTCCCCTCCACCCCGGTAGGTGCATACTTCTTCCCTCCCCAGCCCCAGCTCACACCCCCCAACACCCCCAAGCTGGTGAGTGAGTTGGAGGAGCTGTACAAGTCCATCACAGCGCTGTGGGAGAAGCTTCTACAAGCGGAGCAGTCCCTGCACAACCTCGAGGACATCCACATGAGCCTGGAGAAGGACGTCACTGCCATGACCAACAGTCTCTTCCTCGACCGCCAGAATTGCATGGCCCATCATACTTGCTACCCCACCATCCTGCAGCTGGCTGGCTACCAGTGAGCAGCGGCACGGTGCTTCCCCCCAATCCCCCAAATAAACAGTGCATTAGCTTTCTGCACAGTATGTGTGTGTGCCTGGTGGGACCTCCAGTTGCTGTCCATCTGAACTGGCCTTTGGGTCCCCTGTGAGGCTGGCTCTGCCTATGGACTCGTCATCCCAGCAGTTGGAGATGAGGGGTCAGAGCTGAGGGTGAGGAATCCCTGTGCCTCAGAGGACAGGACATGCCCAGGTGGGGACTGGGCCTCCACAGCACAGCTCAAGTGTGGGCACAGACCGTGTGTCCAGCTCAGACCCAGGCCATCCATCTCCCCCTCCCCACTTCCCCACCAGTGCTGGCTCCTCCATTCCCTCACCAGTGTCTTAGGGCCTTGGGACATCTTTGGGGCCTCTGCATCTCCCCAACTCCTCCCCCTGCACCTCCAGGCCCCCAGCCTCAGCTCACATACCCCTGTGACAGTGCACTTATTCTGCTAGAAGCTGGTCTGGCTGCTGGGTGCACCTGCTGTGGCGATCCTCCAGGCAGGCCCCATGCAGAAGCACCCACTTCAGCATCCCCTCTCCATCCCCAATGACAGTGTGTACCTGAGCTCAGCCCAGCCCAGCTCTCAGTGCCCAGGACCCCTGAGGCTCAGATGGGCAGATGGGCAGGGGTACATGGAGTTCCCTCCAGGGTGTGGGCCCAGTGTGGGGAGAGGGGCCTGAGAACAGCCCAGGGTGAGCATCCACCTGGAGAGCATGTGGGTGGGGGTCCCATCTGCAAGATCCAGGCCCACAGGGCTCTTGTCTCAGCCTGAAGGGGACCGGGAGGTAACAGCCCCTTCCCCCCAGTCAACCACAAGGACACCCAGCTGGGCAGCTCTGTGAGCTGGGTGGGGTCAGCCAGGTGGAATTTGCTGCTAGGGGTTGCTGGGAGGAGAGGCATGGGCTGCCTTTCACGTGGGGCTAACTCAGACCTCTCTCCCCGACCTGCTAGGACCCCTCCAGAGGCCACTGCTGAAGATGAAAAACACTACTGGTGATAATGTTGACTGCAGGCAGTTGGCTCAGGGAGGAGCCTTCTTGGGAATCCTACTCAGCCTGGATGGGGAGAAATCTGGGAGAGGCTGTGTGTGAGCAGGAAGTGCAGGGAAGGCTTCCTGGAGGAGGGAGCCTGGCTTCCACTGCACAGGCCAAGGCACAGGGGCTGGGACCAGGGAAGGAGGTGTCTGGGCTAGGCCTCTCGCTTTATCTTGAGCTCTGGTTCACTGCGATAGTCTCATTGCTAACCAGGCCCCGCCCTCCCCAGCTCCAAACCCAACTGCCAGGCAGTGAGGATTCTTCTGCTCACCCAGCCACTCTCAGAGATGCAGACCCAGACCCTGGAGGGTGGGCCTGAAAGCTTCCAGGACCTTCTCTCCAGTGCAGATTCAGGGGGAACTGTCACTTCTCATCACCACGGAAGCCACACTACTTGTCACAAGCCACCAGCCACTACAGTGACACCCAGGCCCACTCTTGTTCTTTGGGGTGCCATTTAAATTCACCCTGGATGCTGTTACCATGGGGCTTTGACAGCCAGGAGCAGAGGCAGTGGGACACAGCAGCCAAGCCTCACCTGGGGGCTGCAGACAGTTGGTGTCCTGTCCATGTAGCTCCTCAAAGCTGCTCCAGGACACCAGGCAGGGGCTGAGGCAATGACCTGTCCAGGGAACGCCAAAGAACCATCTCCTTGCAATCACCCCCAGCACAGGGGAAACCTGCAGTGAGGCAGATGGTGGTGAACTCAAAGGCCCCTGAGCTGGGGGAGGTTGTTGGGTGGGAGCTTCACTCCCTGCCACCCTAGACACGATGGCCAGGGAGGGGTCATGTGTGGGTGGGTGGTGGCTGCAGTGCCCTCCCTGCCTGCTGCAGGGGGATGCAGGTTGTCCAACACCATCCTGGGCCTGGTCAGCCCTGGTGCCAGCCTCAGCCCAGTAGCAAGGAGTCCTCCAGGAGAGCCAGGAACCTCCATGGGAGGTGGGTGGAGGTGAGGCCCCTCCACGCTGTGCCCACCCCAGCCTCAGAAGGAGCTGCTGGCACTGTCCCCTCTTGAACAGCAGCACTTCTCCCAGACTCTAGGGAAGTAGCCACTAAGAGGCCCAAGAAACAATGGCTCCCTCCATGCAGGCCCCACACTCAGGCTCCCATTATCGCCCAGGCCCAGGTGGCGCTGCCCAGCCCTGTCAGGTCCCCAGCAGGCTCAGGACCTCCTTGTCCCACCCTGGAGGGGGTGGCTGATGGAGAGCTGAGTGTGGGGGGTGCCAGAGGAGGGGGCCTGGGAGAAGTATTTAATCTCTGATGCCGGATGGTGGCACCAGGCTAGGAGGAACCGAGCTAGGTGTCATCCTGAGCACATGGCAGGTTTTAACTCCTTCAGACCTCATGACAGCCTATCACATGCATTTTACAGCAGGGAAAACTAAGGCCTGAGGGTCCCTGTGCCCACTGTGCTCGCACCCCAGGGACAGGTTGATGCAGGGGAGGCTAATGACAGCAGTGATGGAAATCACTCTCAGCTAGAGAGAGGCCACCTCCCCTGGCCCACAAACTTCATGACTCAGTGCAGAGCCAGCACCTGGGGCTGCTGGGCCAGAACCCTAAGGGCTGTCTCCTCATGCTGAATTCCCTGCTGACCTCCAGATTGTCCAACCCCCACCCCTGAGGCCATCTGGACACTGGCAGCTGCTGCTAACCCACAGGCCCCTCTTTGGAGTCCCTGTTGTCTTGGCCTTGAACTCCTACCCATGGTGGAGATCAGGTGTGGCTTGCTCCAGGAAGCCTCTGGGCTCCTGGGGATTGGGAGAGTGGCCGGAGGTGATTCAGACCTCCAAAGTGGGCAGGAAGGTGGATGCCCACACTGGGCTCTTCTCAGGCTCCTCTCCCCACCCTGGGCTTCTAGCACAAGAATAAAGAAGGCTCCAGCAGCTCTTGCCTGGAAGAGACTGTGGTACCTCCTGTCCTTGGCAGTTCACAGAGGGAGGGGTTGCTGGGGGCTGCTAGCCCATGGCTGTTACTGACCGGGTCAGGGTGGGGATGGAGACGTCCAGGCCCTGCCATCTGAGGGGTGCAGGTGGGATCTGGCCCAGCTGCAGCTTGGCCCTCTCCCAACCCCAGCCTGTCCTGTCCTTCAGTGAGCCCACACCCTGGAGTCAGAGCTGTGTTCTGTACTCTGCGGAATCCAGTGGAGCCTGGACACAGCTGCCCCCTCCGTGTTGGGGTCGCCCTCGGCTGTCCCATGTCAGGGTTCCCTCATCTGCCCCCTTGTGCAGTGGTTCCTAGAGATCACTCTCACAGGCATTAGATGCATGGCTCAAGGTCAGCGCCAGAGCCCCTGGTGCAGTGCCCGCTCTCCAGCCAACACGGGCCACCCTGGAGGGCTGCAGTGGAGCCTGCAGTAACAGAAGCCTCACTCCTTCAGACCCCCACTCCCCTCCCACACAGGCTGGCCACTGGGCTGGGGCTCATGGGCTGCCTGCCTTGTGCTAAAAATGGAACCCCAGACTTTCTGGCTTTAATAATACAATCCTGACCCCCCAGGGCCCTCCCCATTTCCTGGGAGCACCCCAAACATCTTCCATGGGAAAAATAGGACACGGAAACCCAGGCATCCAGGAGCCCAAGGTATCACACCCAGAGAGCGAAGGGCTTGCCAAGGCTCTTACCTCAGTGCCCAGCACCACTGCCAGCATCCCACAGTACAATGGGGGAGATGCTGTTGGCTGTCCATTGGGAGCCAGCCCCAGGAGCACAATGTACAGCAGCACTTTCCTGTCGCCATGGCTATGCTGCAGCCATGAGTGACCAGGGCTCTTTCTGTCCAGGAGACACCTGTCCTGCCCCATATGCTCACACTCTGCTTTCCCTGCCCACCCTACTCTGTCCTGGCCTGGGGTCCCCAAGCCACAGTGGCTCAGCCACCAGCCCTGCCAGCTGCCTGCCCAGATGGATGCTCCCCAGGCCAACCAGATCCGAGGAACTGGAGAGAGCTCTTCTCCTGTCCATTCAACCACCCCTCAGCCTCCCTCCACCCTGCCCTGCACTTGGGGAGTCTCTGTGACCAGTCCCCCACACAAGGAACTCACAGGAATGCCCCTTTCTGTTCGGGGGCAGGACTGCTGTCATCAGGGATCATTGAGGGAAGCACATGGAGAGGGGGACTGGGGTTTCCCATGACTGTGCCCCAGCAGCCCCCACACATTCCCCCACAGGGGATGCTCCCAGACACTTCTAAGCTGCCATGGGTGCCCATTTCACAGGTAGGGAAACCAAGGCTCAGATCCAAGGAGCTGCAGTATGTGTGCATCCACCTGTCTTTCTCCACAAGCCCCAGGAGCTCAGGGGCAACAATGTGGAGCCCCTGCCCTGGTGGCCCCTACCCTGCCACAGGCTCACAGTCTCCCCCTGGGGATGTGGCTGCCCACCTGCAAAGCTGTGTCCTCATCACCCAGGTCTGAGCCGTGCAGAGCTGGTTCCAATGGCGGCAGGCACCACAGTCGCAAAGCTGGAAGAAACAAGCATCCTCCCCAAGAGACTGCAGAGGGAGCGCATTTCTGCCCACACCTTGATTTTGGACTTGTGGCCTCCAGAACTGTGAGAGAATAAATTCCTGATGTCGTAAGCCATCACTACAGCAGCTCCCGGACACTAATATTGCTCAATCCGTCCAGGCTCCTCTCTCTGTTTGTTGCTGTTCTAGGTTTTTCTGAGACAGGGTCTGGCGCTGTCCCTCAGGCTGAAATGCAGTGGCACAATCATAGCTCACTGTAACCTCCATCCCCTGAACTCAAGCCATCCTCTTGCCTCAGCCTCCCCCACAGCTGGGACTACAGGCAGAGCTGCCATGGCTGGCCAACTTTTAAATTAGGTAACCCTTCCCAATAACTTTCACGATTAGTTAACATCTTCTACATTCCTATTTATTTTCCCTTTTAATACAAACATATGCCCATTAAATAAGCAAAATAGGGGAAAAATATTTAATCACCCAAAACCCTACCATCTACCTACCAGAGAGACAATAATGACAATAATGTAATTACCAAATTACATTAATTTTGGTAATCCAAAGCAATAGAAAAATCTCCAGTTTTCAATTTATTCTTCTTAGATTTCTAATCAAGAAAACCTATTTTCTACACTAAAGCAAATATATACAAAAGGAAAAGACACACTTATGAAGCAAAGGGATGAACTGGAGTCCTAATGTTACAAGAGGCTGGTAGTCATTCATTTGTCATCACTGAGGTATTTTCAGAAAATAGCCATGGTTCCCAGAACTTTAACAAGCACAATAATCCACTCTTAGATACTTGAAAGTCAGATAAGAAGACATCTATCCCTTAACTAGTTGTTATACACTCTATGTAAATAAAACCATATAATTTAAATTTCCTCAATTAATTCTCACAGACAATACCCAACCTCACATCACCATGATCTTTGACATATCAATGTTTTATTTTAAATCATGACAGACTATCTACATAGAATACTCATGATTTACAATTTCAGATTGTCAACCCAGCCAGTAACCTACGTAGCACTGAATTCAAATACCAGAAAAAGGACCCAGATTCCCTCACCACCTAGCAGAGCTCAAGTGAGCTACACAGCCTGGTAGGGAATGGGGAGTAATTAAAAGGTTGCAAGCAGGTACTACTATAGCCAGATGAGTTTTTGACAGGTTATCCTAAAAGCACTGAGAAAAGAAAACTGTTGTAGTATTCCAGATAAGATTATGTGGTCTGTAAAAGGACAGTGTCAAGGATATAGAAAAGAACAATCAAGGAATTTCAAAGGGTAAACTGGATGTAATTATATAGTACCACATCAAATGAACATCAGGCTCAAAGAAGGCACGGGGGAGCAGGAGGCTGCTTTCCCCAGGTACTCTCTTTCCCAGGCTTGCCCAGCAGTCCTGGCAACTGACATATATACATATATGGAAACCATCATTCTGAGCAAACTATCGCAAGGACAGAAAACCAAACACCACATGTTCTCACTCGTAGGTGGAAATTGAACAGTGGGAACACTCGGACACAGGATGGGGAACATCACACACAGGGGCCTGTCGTGGGGTGGGGGGAGGGAGGAGGGATAGCATTAGGAGATATACCTAATGTAAATGATGAGATAGTGGGTGCGGCACACCAACATGGCAAATGTATACATATGTAACAAACCTGCACATTGTGCACATGTACCCTAGAACTTAAAGTATAATAAAAATAAAAAATAAAAGTCTTCCTCAAGTTTATCATCAAAAAGTGCTACACATGATTTACAAGTATTTTCTTCCATCTTGTGAGTTGTCTTTTCACTTTCTTGATGGTGTCCTTTGAAGTGCAAAAATGTTTAATTTTGATGAAGTCCAGTTCATCAATTTTTATTCTTGTTGCTGGTCTCATATTTAAGAAAACTTTGTCAAATTCAAGGTCATGACAATTTACTCCTATGTTTGCTTCTCAGGATTTTATAGTTTTAGTCCTTACATTTACGTGGATTAGCTCAAAATGGATCCATTTGATCCATTTTTTTTTTTTTTTTTGCATCCATAGTTTTTGTATATGGTGTTGGGTAAAGGTCCTACTGCAGGTTTTGCATATGTTTACATATCTAGTTGTCCTTGTGCCAGTTCTCAAACTTCTTTCCCCACTGAATAATCTTGGCACCCTTGTCAAAAGCAGTGGTTATATATGTATGGGTTCATATCTGACTCTCAATTCTATCCCACTGGTCTATACATCTATCCTTCTGCCAGTATTATATTGTCCTGATTACCACTGACTTGTAGTAAGTTTTAAAGTCAGTAAGTATGAGTTCTCCTACTTTGTTCTCATTTTCAAAAGATTATTTTGGCTATTCTTAGTCCTTTGCAATTCCATATGAATTTCAGAGTCAGCTTGTCCATTTTACAGAGAACTCATCTGGGATTCTGACAGGGATGAAGTTAAATCTGTAGATGAGTTTAGGGAGTATTGCCTTCTTAACAATGTTAAGCCTTAGGTCCATGATCATGGGATACTTTTACGTTTATTTAGATCTTCTTTCATTTCTTTCAACAATCTTCTATAGTTTTCAGAGTACAAGTTTTACACTTCTTAAATGTATCAGTATTTTATTCTTGTTGATGCTATGATAAATGAAGTTGCTTTCTTAATTTCATTTTCTGATTGCTCATTGTGAGTATGTAGTACTCAGTTAAAGTGTGTCAAATACTATTGATTTTTGTATATTGACCTTGTATCCTGCAACCCTGATGAACACAAGGGATTTGTGTCTGGCGTACATAAGGAACAATTACAATTCTGTAATAAAAAGACAAAACAACCCAATTAGAGATAGATAATTCAAGAATGGATAAACAAACTTCAATACATGCAAACAAATGGAATATTATTCTGCAATTTAAAAAATGAGCTATCAAGCCATGAAAAAGCACAGAAGAACCCTAAATGTATACTGCTGGGTGAAAGAAGCCAGTCTGAAAAGGATACATACTACATGATCCTATTATATGACATTCTGGGAGAGGCAAAATTAGAGAGTAAAAAGATTAGTAATGACCGGGGGTTTGGGAGGAAGAGGAGGGGGAGGAATGACTCAGTGGAGCACAGGAGATTTTTAGGGCAATGAAACTGTTCTACATAATACTGTAATGGTAGGTACATGACATTATACATTTGTCAAATCCAAAAATCTATAAAACACAGAGTGAACCCTGAAGTAAACTATGAATTTCAGATATAAGTATCAGTTCATCAAATCTAATCAATTTAGCACAGTAGCGCAAGGTGTTAAGAGTTGGGAAAACTGGGCGGGGGCACTGTAGGGGAGCATATGTGGACTCTCTGCACTTTTCTCTCTATTTTTTCTAAAACTGCTAAAAAAAAGTCTATTGTTTTTAAAATAAAATGATCCCTAACAGGAAAAAAAAAATGACAAAAGATCTCAACAAATATTTCCCCAAAGAAGATATACACATGGCCAATAAGCATGAGAAAAGACACTGGACATTACCTTCAATAGGAAAATACAAATCAAAACCACAAGGAGATACAATTTCACATACATTATAATAGCTACAATTAAAAAGTCACACAGTAAGTGTTTGTGAAGATGTGGAGAAACTGAAATTTTAATACACTGCTGGAGGGAATAAAAAATAATGCAGCCATTTCAAAAAGTAGTTTGGCAGTTCCTCAATTAGACAGTTATATGCATCTGAGCAATTCTGCTCCTAGATAAACACCGAAGACAAATGTCTACACAAAAACTTATACACCAATGTTTATAGCAGCATTATTCATAATAACCAAAAGGGGTAAACAATGTCCTAAATATCCATCAAATGACAAGTGCATAAACAAAATCCAGTGTATCCATGTAACAGAGTATCATGTGGCCATAAAAAGTAAGTACTGATACATGTCACAGCATAGACAAACCTTGCAAGCATTATGCCAAGTGAAAGAATCCAGTAACAAAAGCCCATATGATAGATAATCCCATTTATATGAAACACACAATAGGGAATCCAGAGGCAGAAAGATTGGTGATTGCCAGTGCTACAACTGCGGGGGTGCAGATGATGTATGTGGAGAGACAGAATTGAAAGCTAAACGGCACAGGAGGCAGGGTGTTGTGGTCCATGCCTGTAATCCTAGCTACTAGGGAGGCTGAGATGGGAGGATATCTTGAGCCCAGGAGTTCAAGGCTGCACTAAGCTATGATTACACAACTGTACTCCAGCCTGGGCTGGTCGACTGAGCAAGACCCCATCTCTTAAAATAAATAAATAAATAAATAGAAAGAAAATAACCTAAAGGGCATAGGATTTTTTTTTGAGGTGGAAAAACAATTCTAAAATTGATTGGAGTGTTGGTTCCCAACATCTGTGAATATACTAAAAACCACTGAACTATATACTTCGAGTGGGTGAATTACATGGCATGTGAACTGCCAATAAAGCTGTTTTAGAAATCCTAATATTTGCTGTGCTATAACTTCAGCAAAGTACCGCAGGGCAATAATTGCAGAGCCAACCCTATCATTACAGTATGACACAGGAAAACTTAAAACTGCACTTACGATCAAGCTATATGCAGAGCATATTAGCACACCAAAAATAAATGACTACACTAAAGACCCATCCTTCAAGGATTACAGAATTTAAGTGCTGAAAAGGAGAGTAAAACTACTCTGTTTTTTTAAAAAGGTAAGAACTCACAACTTAATTAGTCACTTGTAAAATTCTGGATTGCTAAGAGATTTTCAGATATAATTTAAAAGAAAACACACGACCAAGACAATAATGAAAATCTATACATAAATTTACTATTACCTTTAGCTTCTGAACACACAGCCAAAAATCCATCTTCTGTCACTGCTTTAAACAAAGGTCTGACTCCTTATGTATCTCTGTCCAGGGACACTTTCTTATTGGCAGAATCCAGTAAAACAAATGCAAACACACCATCCAACATACAAATTGTTTGCTCAATTCCTCCTTTGTCATAAAGATGAAGGATTATTTCACCATCCACTTTGGTCTGGTATTCAAATTCAAACTGGTGCTGCACCTTAGGAAGCAATAGCAAAACCAAAACATTATAGACTCCTTGTGCATCCACTAATAATTTTCTGTCACAAAGTTGCTTCAGTATTTCTGGAGCTTTAAAATCATTTCATGCACTTTGGTGATTTAGGAGAATCATAGCATTATCAAACTAGGGTTTGCTTCAACTCATAATTCTGCAAATTCTGTTCAACATAAAGCTGAACCCATGAAAGTTTTAGTTGCAGTCTGATAAACAGAATATAACGGGAATGTACCAGAATAGTAACCTGTAGAGGAATGGAAATTCATATTATATACATACTATGTATGTGATACATAAATATTTTATATATGCAGATTGAGTATCCCTTATCTGAAATGTTTGGAACCAGAAGTGTTTAGGGTTTCGGAATTTTTTTTTGGATTTTATAATATTTGCATCTACGTGAGATATCTTGGCGATGAGACCCAAGTCTAAACGTGAAATTCACTTATGTTTCATATATCTTATACACATAGCCCAAAGGTAATTTTATATAATATTTCAAATAATTTTGTGAATGAAACAAAGTTTGTGTACATGGAACCATCAGAAAGCAAAGGTGTCACTATCTCAGCTTCCATGTGGAAAACTTGTGGCTGTCTGACGTCACTGACCATCATTTTTGACTCTGAATTTATATGCTACTGATGAGCAATCATTTTCACACAATTATTCACACATAAGTAAAAATATGACATGCCATTAATACAGTAAAAAACAATAAGCAACACAGTAGCATCACCAGAATACCTGCATCAGCTGTTAAACAGCTGTATAAACAATGGCAAGCTTTCAGGCTCCACCTACAAGGCTGCATTTTGATTAAAAGGTTACTGTACATTGTATTTTTTTCTTTTTTTAGGTGAGAAGAAATATCAGGAGTTGAGCAACTAGGAGGTGAGTCCTCTGAGGCTGAGGAGGCATTCTGCCAGATGGCTTTTTATAATGTTTCTCCAGAGTCATCTGCCTCATTATCAAGGGCTTTTGTCTTGGAAGTCTCTCTTTAATTTTATAAGCTGACATGACCTCTTGTTCTGTTATGAATGCAGGTAGCTCTAGTCCTTCAATATCTTCAATATCTCTATCACACATTTTCACCATGTCATCTATACCTTTACACTACAGTTCAATTTCTGCAACAGCTTGACTTTCTGTGTTCTAAGTGTTTCTACTTTTCCTTATCATTGCTGCTCGCAGGGATATCTACAGGCCTTATTGACATTTTCAGTATGTTAACACCACAGAGCAGAGAATAAGCAAAAATACACAATGAGTAAAGCACTTAGGTCCCATCTGTGGGAATCCTGCCATTGGCGTGTCCAGCTTGCACATGTGCCATTCTGTGACCCTTTGTGTGTGTGCTTGCATGGGGAAATCTGAGCATGTGTAGAAAAGTTATACTGCAGCTGAAGGGGGCTGAGAGGGTCTTTTTTCACTAGAGAACATCAAATAAACTGTGTGTTATTCACCTGCACTTTGACTGGTACATCAAAATCCACATGTGGTGTCATGTCAGTGCTCAAAAAGTTTCAGATTTTGAAGCATTTCAAATTTCAGATTTTTCAGACTAGGGATGCTCAACCTCTAAATTTAATTTAAGGCAATATGTTGCTTGGTTGCCATGACACTAAAAAACGTGTCTTCTGCAACTGTCAACTTTTGGTTTGAGAAGACAGTATTGGCTAAGAAGTTCCTCCAGTTCAGCTTCAAAGACCTAGCTATAAAAATGTAAAGCAAAGGGACAAACATCATTTGGCATCATTCCCTGAAAAATAAATGGCTCCATCACAATAACAGATGCATGATCCAAAACAAAGCTGCTTGTCCTCAGGTGAGGACGACAACACCCAGTGCTCCCACCACTGCAGTAGCATTAAAACTACTGCTCACTGAGAGATAAAATGATGGTGTCACTTTATTAGTCTGCATGCCCCAAAGAAACAGCAAAGGGACTGTCTGCCACTGCATGCAGAGCAAGAAGGTTTGATTAGGCTACTCACCAATTCTGACACTCTCCACCATCACTGGCAAACTATGAGGATGAAAAGTCCTTGATGTATTTCTCTTTGTATGTCATACTCACATTTTTGGCTGACATTAGAGAAATAAGAGGTTTAAATCAGGTGGGAATCCTAGGTTAAGGTTAAAACATGTTTTCAAGTCTCAAAAAGTAAACCTATTATGTATGTGCACGACCCATAAATACACTTCACACTCCATCCAGCTCACTGCATAATTTGTGAACCTTTTATCTGTAAGCCCTCAATGAACTGTCCAAAAATGGGCTTTGCCTCCAGTGACTATAAAGTTACTACCTGGTCACCCCTCTCTGCTCTATCAGGGATGATCTGTAACTAGCAGGTGGGGTCTGGAAACAGTCTTCTGCTGACTGTCCTGGGCTGAACTGCCTGAAGGGTAAGTCACTTACCACTTACTTTATGGTCACTTACCATAAAGCATGGAAAACTGTCATTAGCTGAAAAAAAATAAACCCAGCACCTAGGACAATAAATACATGCCATACATTCCCAAATAGAAGATGAGGCTCCAATTTGTTTTCTGCCTCTTAGGAGCTTATAAAACTAAAGTTCACAATTAATGGGGAAGGGAGGAGACAGATGATCTTCATTGCCTTAGTTACAAACTTGCTTTGGTCTATGCTGATCCTGTGTTAAACTGTGAAATAGAATCTATCATCCTGGCTCTCAGAGGCCCTTGACTTCACTCTTTTAGTGCTTTTCTTACTTATTTTCAAACCTTCACCTCTCTCACATTGAAAATCCCAACTCTTAATACCCTCTCTAAAAAACTACCCCTTCCCACCAACCACCACCACCTACCACACTCTATCATCTAAATCTGTTTCAAGATATAAAAATCTTGGTAATTTATATCTTAACACAAATTACATACTACCTTTTCAAAAAGCAAGTTAAGCCTGATTCTAATTGTGGGATGAAAAGTTTTTTCCCTATGAAGAAATTTTAAATATCATCAAGCATCTTGAGAGGTGCTAGCGAGGGCATGGAGCAAGGAATCAAATTCCATAGGCGATTGTTTTCTCTATCTTTATATAAAAATGTCCTTGCCCCAATTAAAGCCTCCACCAGGTATAAAAAGAAAGCGTTTGGTGATATTAGCAAGCAACAGTTTCCCAAATCTACCTTGCCCACCTCTTTGGCCTAAACTCTGTAGGTAATTTATTTTAAAAAGAGAAGTGTCCTTTGGGTAACAGACGTATCACTTCCTACTCTCTTAAACCAAACTCCGATGCTGCATCTTAGATAAAAGCCCTCAAATCTGGCCTCCTGAAGTCATGCTGTCATTTAACTTGGCTTCAGGCCCCTGATATTCCCCTGCAGGGAGAGAGCCTGCTCTTTGCCCCAGCCTTTACCCCATTCCTACTTTCTTTCACTCAGTCCCCCTCCACTCCCAGCACACCTCTGGCTGTATTTGATTATTAGTAGTAAACTTTATTTTTATCAAAAAGGGGGTAGGGGGTATTTTTGAGCTTATGTTGCAGAATACTTTATATAAGCCTAAAATATACATTCTGTTCATTAGATTTCTAGCTGCCCCAACTACATAAGCTAGGATGCTTGGTAGAAGCAATGGAACAAACTTCTCTAGTTTTACAAATATAACATTTGTATAATTTAGAACAGAAATTAATTGTTTTCAAAGTATTTAACTTCTTTTAGCTTTTTAGAAAAAAAAAAAAAACACTGTCTGAGTAAAACAGGGCACTTTCTATTTCATTTAAGGAGAAAGCCAAGCTGATAATGCCATACTGCCTAGCTTTCTCATGTATATGACACTGATTTGACTTAGAAAGAAAAAAGTTTTAATACTCTCTTCTACTTCCCACTAGCAGGAAATTCCATTCTTGCCTTTCCTTTTCACCATTTCATCCACAATCACCTAGAAAAATGATGTCTGGTGCATATTAGGCCCTTAAAAAAGGAATAAAGAAAAGTGTGAAAGGAATTTCTTGAATAACTCTTTTAAAACTTTTTGAAGAAGAAGACTATTATTAACAGTGTTCCCGTGAGCAGGCAACAAACAATGACAAAAGCTATTATTCAGAGATAAAACTGTCCAAAACATGGTTAGGATATAACTCTCTATCAGTGCATGACAGGTATCTATCAAGAAGTCTCAGAAAAAATACCAAGAAACATCACAACCAAATGCATGAATCTTGAATGAAATCTGTCTCTAAACAAACAAATACCAGCTATAAAGATATTCTTGGTAGCACTTTGAGGGGCCAAGGTGAGCAGATTGCCTGAGCTTAGGAGTTCCAGACCACCCTGGTGGTCCTAAGCTCCTAAGAGGCAGAAAACAAATCTTTACTAAAATACAAAAAATTAGCCAGGCATGGCGACAGGTGGGCCTGTAGTCCCAGCTACTCAGGAGGCTGAAGAAGGAGAATCACTTCAACCCGGGAGGCAGAGGTTGCAGTGAGCCGAGATCGCAACACTGCACTCCATCCTGGGTGACAAAGTTGAGACTCTGTTTCAAAAAAAAAAAAATTATTCAGACACTTAGGGAAATTTAAGTATAAACTGGATATTAGGTGGCATTATGGTTTTTTTTTTTCTTTTTTGAGACAGAGTCTTGCTCTGTCTTCCAGGCTGGAGTACAGTGGCTCAATCTTCATTTACCTAAGTCTTCTTAACACTGCTTAGTGAATATTAAGCCTGATGTAGTAAATACATGCTAACCACTAAATTGAAGGGGAAAGAGGGAGAACAAAGAGGCATGTAAAGTACACTTACTTTTTCTAGTAGGAAAAGCCAATTAAAACTATCACCTATTAGTTTTATTGGACTCAGTCTTACAGGAGGAAAAACTTCCTACTGTCGCTACCTATTCTCAATATTTTTCTTATTTCTTCCTAAACTTCTAGAGCCGTGCTGTCCAATAAATATGTGAGCCATGTACATAATTTTAAATGTACTGGTAAGCCCCATTAAAAGAAAAGGTGAAATTAATTTTAAATATACTTAACTCAGTATGTCCCAAATAGTAATCATAGTAATAATTTTAACATGTAATAAATATTAAAAAAAAATCAAGCAGATATTCTACACTGTTCTTCCCACTCCAATGACAAAATCCAGTGTATTTAACACAACACATCTCAATTAGGACTAGCCAGGATTCCAAGTGCTCAACAGTTACAGGTGGCTAGCGCCTACTGAATTGGACACTGCAGTTTCAGTGCATCGAATTTATATCCCACTTAGCGCTGATTAAAACTTCAACCTCTCACCTGACAATTATGCTAAGATCTCAGTAAGTAACCAACTACAGGCAGTTTCAAGCCCTACTTTACCTCTAATTACTCTTACAGCAATGCAATGAATCATGATTTAAAATTAAAAAAAAAAAACTGCTGTTAAATAATTAGTCAAGTGTCCAGGGCAATGGACAGTAAAGAAATAATGTAGGTCATGGGCCAAGATGACAAAACGGTCCTTTTATTTAAAGCTATAACAATAATCTGAAGCCAGCCCTGTAAAATAGACATCCATTGAAAAAGGCATGCTAGTTCTTTTGCTTTTTTGTGTACTTGGCCTCCTGTGTCCCTAAACAGACCTCTTCTCAGCAGAGTTTGCTCAGCAAGTCACTTGTTGAGTCTTGCAGTCTACAGAGGGGGTGGGGAATGGCAGGGGCTGGCATAGGAGTGAGAGGGGAGGAGGCAAGGTGAGGAGGGCCAGGTGAGGAGGGGGGCACTTGAAGGGGAGTTCAAGACCAGCCTGGGCAACATGGTGAGACCACCACCCCTCACCGCCACCATCTCTGTTCTCACTCTGGTCTCACACACATGAACAAATTAAATTTAATTTAAAAATTAAAAAATTGTCTTAAAATAAATGAAATATTTACATGGATTATGTATACATTCATTTTGTAGAACTATAGATCCCATGTAACTGGGAACTCTTTACTCTTCTAACACAACATTTATTTAGCCACAAATAAAAGAAGACCAGTGATGTAGCCTGTACACAATAAAGTAAGAAAACACTGGTTAGGCTGGGGCAGGGGTGGGGGGAAGAGATCTATGAAATTAAAATTTTATTGGGAAGGATCACTAATTAGAATCAGAACAATTACTGCTTTAAAGTAGTTAAGAACAGAGCACAAGAAACCCAGAGAAGAAGCAGATATGATTCAGAGCAGAGCTCACAGAGCAGATGGTATCTGAGCTGAGACTGATAGAATAACATTAATAAGGGCATTCACGGCCATTTATTATCACTTAACTGCAATGCATTTTGTATAAGTTATTTCTACTCTTCATATTGACCATGGAAAATAATACTTATTCTTCTCTTTTGAAGTTAAGGAAGTGGTAAGTGGTCTAAGAAGATAAATTAACATACCAACACCAAATAGCTCAAGTTCAGTGACTCAGGAGTGCCCGTGTCTCCCCAAGAGGTTGCTCAGCAGGCAGACGAGGTAGAGAGCCCTTCCAAGAAGTGACAGTGAGATGTGAAAGGTCTCAGTGTGTCTCTGAGAACAACAGAAACCAGTAAGTAGACCAAGTGGGAAAAGCCACGGAAGAGGCAGGGATTTCCTCTTAAGAGAGCAAGAATAAACAGAGCAAGGCTGAGGGAAGCCATGGAAAACGGGCAGAATACCATGCATTTAGTGAGAAAAAAAACAACTTTTACTTTAGAAAGGGGGAAAGAATGGTGGTGGTCTAGGTAAGCCTAGAAGCAGAGGAAAGGGCAGTGGAGAAAAAATAAACAAAATATATTAGTTAGGGTTCTCCAGAGGGACAGATCCAACAAGATACACGTATATGTATAAGGGAGTTTACCAGAGAGAATTGGTTCACACGGTTAGAAGGCAGTCCCACAATAGGCTGTCTGCCAGGTAGGGAAAGAGAGAAGCTAGTAGTGGCTCAGTCCAAGTCCAAAAGCCTCAAAACCAGGAAAGCCCGCAGTGCAGTCTTCAGTCTGAGGCCGAGGGCCTGAGAGCCTCGGGGAAGCCGCTGGTGCAAGTCCCAGAGTCCAAAGGCATAAGAACCTGGAGTCTCATGTCCGAGGGCAGGAAGAAGGGAATCAGGTGTCCTGCATGGGAAGAAGAAAAAAAGAGAGCCAGAAGCTTCAGCTAGCAAGGTTATCCCACCTTCCTCTGCCTGCTTTGTTCTATACAGTGCAGCGTGTGTACACCACTTCTGTGATATTGTTCCTAATATCCATGGGAAGAAAGGGTGATGTTACTCCCAAT
Source organism: Homo sapiens (assembly GCF_000001405.40). Taxonomy (NCBI): domain Eukaryota; kingdom Metazoa; phylum Chordata; class Mammalia; order Primates; family Hominidae; genus Homo; species Homo sapiens. Next base: position 11,136,983 of record NC_000024.10, on the reverse strand, counting down.
AGCACATGGGGGTGTACATCCCCTGTGATATTATTCCTAGTATGCAGGGGCAGGGAAAGGATGACATTACTCCCAATATCGCAGACGGTGTTCTCCCTGCCTTGTGATATTGTTCCTAATATTTAGGGGATAGTGGGTGATATTACTCCCAATATCACAGAGGGTGTGCACCCCCCATGATATTCTTCCTAATATCCAGGGGGGCGACAGGTTGATATTACAGTCAATGTCACAGAGGGTGTACATCCTCCCGTGGTATTGTTCTTAATATCTGGAGGGGGGAGAGGATATTACTGTCAATATCACAGGGGGTGTAGACCCCTTCGGTGATATTGTTACTAATATCTGGGGGGGAGAGGATGATATTACTGTCAATATCGCAGGGGGTGTACACCCCCCCGTGGTATTGTTCCTAATATCCGGGGGGGGGAGAGGAAATTACTGTCAATATCACAGTGGGTGTACACCTCTTCTGTGATATTGTTCCTAATATCTGGGGGGGAGAGGATATTACTGTCAATATCGCAGGGAGTGTACAACGCTTCTGTGATATTGCTCCTAATATCCGGGGGGGGGGAGAAGATATTACTGTCAATATCACAGGGGGTGTACACCCCTTCTGTGATATTGTTCCTAATATCCAGGTGGGGAGAGGATCATATCACTTTCAATATCGCCAAGTGTGTACATCCCCCTTGTGATATTGTTCCTATATTTAGGGGATAGTGGATGATATCACTGTCAATATCACAGGGGGTGTGCACCCCCCCATGGTATTGTTCCTAATGTCCAGCAAGGGAGAAAACACGACTACTCCCAATATGGCAGGGGGTGTACACGTCCTATGCAATACTCTTCCTATATCCATGGTGGAAAAGGATATTGGGAACAATATTACAAACAATATCACAGGGGGGTATACATGTCCTGCGATATGAGGAGTAATATAACCCTCTCCCCCTCTGGATATTACAAACTGTATCACAGAGGGGTGTAAACCCCCTGGGATGTGGAAAGTAGTATCATCCTCTCCCCTACTGGATATTACAAACAATATCACAGATGGTGTACACATGAGGTGTTTACGATATTAGGAGTAATATCATATCCCCCAGTGGATATTATGAACAATATCACAGAGGGGTGTATACACACTCTGCCTTATAGGGAGTAATATACTCCTCTCCCACCCTGGATACTACATCGCAGGGAGGTGTACATCTCCTGTGATACAGGGAGTAATATCATCCTTTTCCAGCCTGGATATTACAAACAATATGGCAGGGGGCAGTACACCCTGGCGATATGGGTAGTAACATCATCTCCTCCCCACGTGGATATTATGAACAATATTCTAGGGGGTTGTACACCCCCTGCAATATGGGGAATAACATCGTCCTCTCCCCCACTAGATATTATAAGCAATATCGCAAGGGGGGTGTACACTTCCTGCAATAAAAGGAGAAATATCATTCTCTCCCCCCAGAGATATTATAAACAATATCGCAGGGAATTGTTCTCCCATGCTATATGGGGAGTAATATCTTCATCTTCCCCCTGGATATTACGAAAAATAACGCAGAGGAATGTAAATCCCCTGCGATATGGGGAGTAAAATCATTCTCTCTGGCCAGGCGCGGTGGCTCACACCTGTAATCCCAGCACTTTGGGAAGCTGAGGTGGGTGGATCACGAGGTCAGGAGATTGAGACCATCCTGGCTAACATGGTGAAACCCCGTCTCTACTAAAAATACAAAAAATTAACTGGGCGCGGTGGCGGGCGCCTGTAGTCCCAGCTACTAGGGAGGCTGAGGCAGGAGAATGGTGTGAACCTGGGAGGCGGAGCTTGCAGTGAGCCAAGATCAGGCCACTGCACTCCAGCCTGGGCGACAGAGCGAGGCTCTGTCTCAAAAAAAATAAAATAAAATCATTCTCTCCCTCCCTGGATATTACGGACAATATCACAGCGGAGTGTACAATGAGTTTCTAGAATATATTTGAGGAGGGTGAAGGGCGGTGTGTGCGTGCTTCATGGCCTTATTCAATTAAACACTCTGCTCTCAATTTATTGCTAAATCCTCCTTGAGCCCTTAGATTTCATAACGGTTGTCGCGAGATTTTTCTGGATGTAGAAAACGTACCTATTTCTTACCACCTCATGGGCTACACCTTGACCTAACGTTTTTATGTAGATACTTATGCTTACTCTGTGGCCTTTCCAGGGTTTGCTGAAGATGGATGTATATAGTCTGGACAAGAGGTGGTGAGGTAAATTGGGGCTTATCGATTATAGAACAGGCTCCTTTAGAGGGATGTAAAGCACCGCAAAGTCCTTTGAGTTTTAAGCTGTTGCTTGTAGTGTTCTGGCGAACAGTTTTGTTGATCTAACTATTCGAGTTTAGGGTTAAGCATAGCGGGGTATCTTCTCCCAATTTGGATCTTAGCTATTTTGTCTTCAGAATATTAAAGGCATTTTCGTAGTTATTTCAGCTTGGGTTTTTTTACAACTTTTTTACAATTTATTTAGAAACTTTCAGGTTTCTAAATATATGAATGAACCATAATATAAGCCTTGGCCAATACAATGCAGGTTAGGCCTCCTACTGTAAAAAGGAAAATAAATCCCTGGGCTCACAGCATTGTGGGGGATCACTTGATATTACCGCCGTGAAGTGTAGCTAGCTAGTCAGCTAAAAACTTTGACGCTAGTAGGAATAGCAATAATTATAGTAGCAGAGGTGAAGCAGGCTCATGTGTCCACATCTATCCGTACCGTAAATATATGGTGGGCCCATACAATAAACCGTAAGAACCCAACTGATCCTATAGCTCACACTAGACCCATAAACCTGAATGGTTCTTTTTTTTCCCAGAATAGTGTGTTATGGCGTGGGAAATTATCCCAAAGCCCAGTGGGATGAGGATTTAGACTTCAGGGTGACCAAAGAATCTGAATAAATGCTGACATAAGATAGGATCACCTCCGCCAGCCAGGTAGAAAACAGTAGTATTATGATTGAGGTCAGTTAACAATATAGTGATGCCAGAGGCTAGGACTCGGAGACAAAGGAGTAGAAGAACTGCTGTAATTAGGACTAATTAGATGAAGAGGGGTGTGTGATATTGGGACATGGCTGGGGGTTTTATATTAACAATTGTGGTAATAAAGTTAATAGCCCCTGAGGTAGAAGAAACACCTGCCAAGTGGAGTGAAAAGATAGTGAAATCTACAGAGGCGCCTGAATGTGTTAGGTTTCCTGCTAAGGGAGGAGAGACTGTTCAGCCGGTTCCAGTGCCGGCTTCTACTATAGTGGATGCAAGTAATAATAGGAAGGAGGGTGGGAGGAGTCAGAAGCTCATATTATTTATGCAGAGAAATGCTATATCGGGGCGCCAATTATCAGGGGGACTAATCAGTTGCCAAGACCTCCAATTATAGTATTACTATAAAGAAAATTATGACAAATGCATAGGCTATAACAATGACATAAATTTGATCATCTAGTGGAGTTCAGCTCGAATAAGTCTTAAAGCTGTACTGACTATCCCTGCTTATGTGACAAATAATAAATATAATGTCCCGATATCTTTATGGTTGGTTGAGAATAGTCGACTGTCAGCCAACATAAATGAAGTGAGAAAAAAGGGTAAAATGACTAAGTAGGGCATTAGACTGTACATCTAAAAACAGAGGTCAAGGCCTGTTTTTACCAGTCCCAAGGTGATTTTCACGTTGAATTGTAAATTCAAAGAAGCAGCTTCAATCCTGCTTCTCTCACCTTTTATCCCCCAGCGGCTGGAGAAGTAGATTCAAACCAGTTGACTAGGGAGTTTAGCTGTTAAGTTTTCGTGGGTTTAAGTCTCATCAATTTAGTAAGAACTTAGCTTACTTAAAGTGATTGATCTGTATTCAATTGACCAAGGGTGGTCTGTATCAGAGAAAGTACATTTCAGGGCCACCATACAACGACTGTTCAAAAAGGCCTCCAATATGGGATAGTCCTATTTATTATCTCAGAAATATTTCTCTTCGCTGGATTCTTTTGAGCATTCTACCATTCTAGCCTAGCCCCTACTCCAGAATTAGGAGGACATTGACCCCCGACAGGTATTTCTCCCCTTGACACCCTGGAAGTACCCCTCCTGAATCCATCTGTATTACTTGCATCAGGAGTTTCAATTACTTGAGCCCATCACAGCCTAACAAAAAATAATGAAAAACATACAATCCAAGCACTACTTATTACAATTATATTAGGTATCTACTTCACCCTCCTACAAGTCTCAGAATACTTCAAAGCTCCCTTTGCTATTTCTGATGGTATTTATGGCTCAACATTTTTTATAGCTACAGGCTTTCACAGACTTCACGTCATTATTGGATCAACATTCCTCAGTCTGCCTTCTCCGCCAACTAAAATACCACTTTACATCTAGTCATCACTTTGCCTTTGAAGCTGCTGCCTGATATCGACACTTTGTAGATGTAGTATGACTATTCTTGTATGTTTCTATTTATTGATGAGGATCTTACTCTTTTAGTATAAATAGTACCATGATTTCCAAAGTTTCGATAGCATCCGAAAAACAGTAATTCACCTAACATTAACCCTAGTAATCAACACCCTATTAGCCCTGTTACTAATAATTATTACATTTTGGCTCCCACAACTTAATATATATATATAGAGAGAGAAAAAAATATATATATATATGTATAAAATAAATATATATAGAAAAATCTAGCCCTTATGAATGCAGATTTGACCCTCTATCTTCTGCCCACATTCTCTTCTCCATAAAATTCTTTCTAGTAGCCATCACATTTCCCCTATTTGAGTTAGAACTCGCCCTACTACTACCCTTACTGTGAGCCCTTCAAACAATCTGATACTAATAATCCCTGCGATATGTGTAGTGACTTCATACTTCACCTCCCCCCCCCGGATATTATGGCCAATATCAGAGTGGAGTGTGCACCCCCTGCAATATGGGGAGTGATATCATCCTCTCCCCACTGGATGTTATGGACAATATCACAGGAGGTTTACTTTCTCTGCGTTATGGGGAATAATATCCTCCTGTCCCTGCCTGGATGTTAGACATATTTACAGGGGGGGTGTCCAACCCCTGCGATATGGGGAGTAGTAATATCCTCTCCTGCCCTGGATGTTATGGACAATATATAAGGAGATGTACAATCCCTTCGATATGGGGAGTAATATCATCCTCTTCCCCCTAAACGTTACGAACAGTATCACAGGGGGGTGTACACCCCCTGAAATATCTGGAGTAGTATCATCCCCTTCTTCCCTAAATGTTACAGAGACTATCACAGGGGTGTGTACACCTTCTGAAACATGGGAATAATTTTATCTTCCCCTGTGGAAGTTATGGACAACATTACAGCCGTGTGCACCCTCTATGATATGCGGAGTAATATCATCCTCTCCCCCCTGGATGTAAGTGACAATACCACAAATGGGTTTACATCCCCCGTGATATGGGGAGTAATATCATCCTCTTTCCCACTGGATATTAACAATATCACATGGGGATGTACAACCCCTGTGATATTCAGAATAATATCTTCTAATCCACTGAAAATTATAAACAATATCACCAGTGTACACTCCCTGTGATATTGGAAGTAATATCATCCTCTAATCCCCTAAAAATTATGAACAGTATCACAGGGGAGTGTATACTTCTTACTATATTGGGAGTAATATCATTCTGTCCTCTTCTAAATATTATGAACAATATTACAGGGGATGTAACACTCCCTGCAATATGTGGAGTAATATCATCCTCTCCTCACCTAAATATTGTGAACAATATCACAGGAGGTTGTACACAACCTGCGATATTGTTTGTAGTATCCAGTGGGAAAGAGGATGCTATTACTCCCCATATCACAGGGGGTGTACACCCCCACTGTGATATATTCAATAACATCCAGAAGTAATATTACTGACAAAATTGCAGGGGGTGTAAACCCCACGTGTGATACCGTTCCTAATATCCCGGGGAAGAGAGGATGATGTTATTCCCAATATTGCAGGGGGTGTACACCCACCCTATGATATTGTTCTTAATATCCAGGAGGGGAGACAATGGTATTACTCACAGTATCAAAGAGGTTGTACAGCTCCCCTGTGATAGTTTCTAATATCCAGGGGGTGTACACTCCCCTTGTGATATTTTTCCTAATATGTAGGGGGAAGGACAATGATATTACTGTCCGTATCACAGGAGTTGTACAACATGCCCCCCGGGATATCATTCCTAATATCCATGGGAAGAAAGAATACTACAATATCGCAGAAGTTGTACACCCCCTCTGTGATATTGTTCCTAATATCAAAGATGGAAGGGTATGATGTTCTTCCCAAAATCACAGGGAGTGTACACACATCCTGTGCTATTTTTCCTAATATCGAGAGTGAGAGACAATGATACTTCCAATATCGTAAGGAGTGTACACTCTCCCCGTGATACCAGGTGGGGAAATGTTGATATTACTCCAAATATCACAGTGGTTGTACACACGTTTTGCGATATTGTTCCTAATATCAAGTGGGGGGAGGATTGTATTACTCCCAACATATTACTCCCCACACCCCATTATACTGTTCTTAATATCCAGATTTGGAGAGGATGATATTACTCCCAAAATCTCTGGAGGTGTAGACCCCTTCTGTGATACTGTTTCTTATATCCAGGGGAAGACTAGATCATATTACTCCCAACAGTGCAGGGTGTTACACGCCACCCCCCATGATATTGTCTCTAATATCAAGTTGGGGAGAGGGTGATATTGCTCCAAATAATGCAAAGGGTGCACACCAGCCCTGTGATATTATTCCTAGTATCCAGAGGAGGAGAGAATGGTATTATTTTTAATATCGCAGAGGGTGCACACCCCCCTTGTGATACTGCTCCTAACATCCAAGGGGTAGAGGATGAAATTACTCCCAATATCACAGTGGGTATACACCCCCCCGTGGTATTGTTCCTAATATCCAGGGGGTATAGGATGATAGTACTATAAATATCGCAAGGGTTGTACACCCCTTCTGATATTGTTACTAATATCCGTGGGGGGAGTCGATGATATTACTTCCAATATCACAGGGCATGTACACCCCCCTTGTGATATTGTTCCTAATATCCTGGGAGGAGACTACTATATTACTGGCAATAACACAGGGGGTGTGTATTCCCGTGATATTGTTCCTAATGTCCAGCAAGGGAGAAAATATTACTCCCAATATGGTGGGGGTGTACACTTCCCATGCGATATTGTTCCTAATATCCATGGGGGAAAAGGATGATATTACTCTAAATGTCGCAGGAGGTGTAAACTGCTCCTGTGATATTGTTCTCAATATCCATGGGGGGAGAGAATGATATTACTCCCAATATCACAGGTGGTTGTCACCCCTTCTGTTATATTATTCCTAATATCCAGGTTGGGAGAGAATAATATTACAGGTAAAATAGCAGGGGGTGTACACTCCACCTGTGATATTGTTCCTAATATCCAGGGGAAGAGTGGACAATATTACTCCCAATATCGCAGGATGTGTACACCCCCTTTTTGATATTGTTCTTAATATCCATAGGGGGAGAGGGTGATACCACTCCCAATAGTGCAGAAAAGGTACAGCCCCGCTGTAATATCATTCCCAATATCCAGAGGGGACAGGATGATATTACTCCCAGTATCACAGAGGGTATACACCCCCTCCCCATGATATTGTTCATAATACCCAGGGGGTAGAGGATGATATTACTCCCAATATCGCAGTGGGTGTACACCCACCCTGTGATATTGTTCCTGATATCCATGTGGAAAGGGTATAAAGTTACTCCCAATATCACAGGGGGTGTACAACCCCCTTGTGATACTGTTCCTAATATTCAGGGGAGAGACAATGATATAGCTGTCCATATTGCAGGTGGTGTACAACCCCCTGGGAATTTGTTCCTAATATTCAGTGGGGAAGATTATATTAATTAAAATGTCACGGGGGGTATACAACACCTTTGTGATATTATTCCTAATATCCAGGGAAAGAAAGAATGTTCCCAATATCACAGGGGATGTACACCCCTCTCTGATACTGTTTCTAATATCCCTGGGGAGAGTCTATAATATTACTGGCAATATCATAAGGAGTGTATACCCCCCGTTATATTGTTCCTTATGTCCAGCAAGGGAGAAAATATTAATCCCAATATGGAACAGGGATTCCATATTGTTGTTCCAATATGGAACAACACCCATGAGGTATTGTTCCTAATATCCAGGGAGGGAAAGGATGATATTACTCCCAATGATGCAGTGGTGTATAACCCCCCGTGATATTGTTCCTAATATCTAGGTGGGGAAAGTACAGTATTATTCCCAATATAGCAGGGGTTGTACACCGCCTTTGTGATATTGTTCTAAATATCCATGGGGAAAGAAAATGATAGTACTCTCCAATATCGCAGGTGGTGTACAACCCCTTGTGATACTGTTTCTAATATCCATGTTGGGGGAGGATATTACTCCCAATATTGCACGTGTTGCACAGACCCTCTTTGATATTGTTTGTACTATGAAGGGTGTGGGGGGAGAGGATGATATTGAGAGTAATATCACCCTCTCTCCCCGGATATTAAAAGTAATATTCAGGGTGGTCGACACCTCCTGCAATATTGAGTATAATATCCTCTCCCAACCTGGATATTAGGAACAATATCACAGGGGCATGTACACTCCCTTCCTTTCACCATATACAAAAATCAACTCAAGATGGATGAAGGACTTATGTAAGACCCAAAACTATATAAACCCTAGAAGATAACTTAGGAAATATCATTCTGGACATAGACGCTGGCAAAGATTTCATGATGAAGATTCCAAAAGCAATTGCAACAAGAAGAATTGACGAGTGGGACCTAATGAAACTGAAGAGCTTCAGCACAGCAAAAGAAACTATCAACAGAGAACACCCTACAGAACAGAAGAAAATATTTTCAAATTACATATCTGAAAAATGTCTAATACTCAGCATGTATAAAGAATCAATAAGCAAAAAGCAAACCCACTACAAATAGGCAAAGAACATGAACCCCCACATTCACCATCCTCAAGTCCATGTGCAACTTCTTTCTGGATGCTGGACAAGAACTTGGGTACCAAGAGGGCACTGAACAGGTTAACACTTAAGCCGTCTGTGGATTCTTTTTTCAAAAGACAACGTATGTGTGGCAAACAACCATATGAAAAAATATTCAACATCACTAATCATCAGAAAATCAGAACCATGAGATACCATATCACACCGGTCAGAATGGCTATTATTAAAAAATCAAAACAAAACAGACGGTGCCGAGTTTGTGGAAAAAAAGGGAATGCTTATACACTGCTGGTGGTGATATAGAAAGGAGACAGGGAAATACTGGGTAGAAGAGAGTGGTTCCCTGGCAAAGCCCTGCCCACAAGCTTGGAAACCCATCACCCTAAATGGGAACAGGCATTCCTGCTTTTGCACCCAAAAGTTGTCTTTCAGCTCAGCATGCACCCCCTGTCCTGTACCCATATATGTCCCAGACCCCAGGCTCCAGAAGCAGACAAGCAGATGAGGAGATGAACAGAAGAGCAGAATTGCAGAATGATGTGGCAGAAAGAAGAGAAGGAGCATCTGAATGCCAAGAGGAGTTTGGCTGGCAGTGGTTGGAGAGATCAGCCTCCGGATGGCAAAGCTCCCAGGGAAGATCATCTTCTATTCCATCCCCTTTCCAGCTCCCCATCCATCCCATTGAGTGCCACCTCCACCACTCAATAAAACCCCCACATTCACCATCCTCAAGTCTGTGTGCAACTTAATTCCTTCTGGATGCTGGACAAGGAACTGGGTACCAAGAGGGCACTGAACAGGTTAACATTTAAGCCGCCTGTGGATGGCAAAGCTAAAAGAGTGCACTGTAACACATGCCCACTTGGGCTGTGGGAGTCGCAGGCACCCACCCCTAGACAGTACCATGGCCACTTGCCCTGCCTATTGCACCTGCCTGTTTGCATGTTCCCCTGCCCAATAAGGGGTTTGACAGCACACATAGTGGGCAGACAAGCCACACCCCTGTTGCACATCCTGCCAAGGGGAGTCAGGGAACTCTCCAGTTTCATCAGGAATGTAAATTTGTTCAGCCATTGTGGAAAGCAGTTTGGAGATTTCTGAAATAACTTAAAACAGAACTACCATTCAACCCAGCAATCCCATCACTGGGTATATACCCAAAGGAATATAAATCATTCTGTCATAGACATATGCACGCATATTTTCATTATAACACTATTCACGATAGCAAAGACACGGAATCAACTTAGATGCCTGTTAACAGAAGACTGGATTAAAAAAATGCAGTGTACATACACCATGGAATACTACACACCTATAAAATAGGATGAAATAATGTATTTTGCAGCAACATGAATGGAGCTGGATACCATTATTCTAAGTGAATTAATGCAGGAACAGAAAACCAAACAAACACTGCATGTTCTCACTTATAAGTGGGGGCTAAACATTGAGTCCACATGGACACAAAGAAGGGAACAATAGACACAAGGTCTACTGTGGGTGGAGGGTGGGGGGAGAGTGAGGATAAAAAAACTCCCTATTAGATACTACGCTCACTACCTGGATGACTACATAATCTGTACACCAAATCCCATTGACACACATTTTATCCATATAATAAACCTGCACATGTACCCGCTGAACCTAAAATAAATGTTGGAAGGAAATAAAGTTACAACCAACTCTTGTACTGTTGTGAGGAAACAATCATATGTGTTCACAGAAAATCAACTACTAATAGATTTATAATAGCATATATGTAGCAGAAAAATATCAGATATAACTTATATACCCAAAAGTATGACTTAAAAACAGCATGACAATCTTTATGATGGGATATTGTGCAACTACTAGAAGCACATTTTCAGAGATTATTTATTAACATATGATAATGACTACATTGAGTGGTTTTTAGAAGCATGAATTGAAACCATGTATAAGCATGACTTTATTGAACTTATATATAACATTACACACACATTTACATAATTATAAAATAAGTATGTGCATGTTCATAATATGTATTTATTTATATTCATATGTAAGGCCAATAGGAAGTAATCTCTGTATCTGAGTTATTATTTCATAAATAATTTATGCTTGTTCTGTGAAAATAAAAACACTGCTATGGATCTTCCAAGTATCCTGAAAGGATACAGTTTATAATTAAACAACAACAATTTTAGAAATAATTATTTTAAATAAAGCTATGATAAATCTGGTTTCATTGCACACTTTAACTTTGGAACATTTCATGAAGCGTCCCTTGATCACGACTCTCACATTCAGGAGTTTTTTGAGATCAAATGGGACAATCAGTATGAATCTATTTTTTAGACATGCAAATGGATAACTTTAAATAGCAGTAGCGATATAGAGTGCACAGTTGCTCTGGGACAAAACTTGGAAATGAGCATATTTTTAGATTCTTAATGTTTTGCACACTTTAGCATTCCACAGCACCATTACATACTCATTTTTCTACCAGAATATCTTGGTAGAAATTCACAGTAGAGATCAGGCTTGTCCTTCATACATTAACTAATCAAGTAGGAAAGTGCAAATGAGAACACAATGCCAAACATAGGCACCACATGGAAACAAGCATGGAACTGCCAGGAAGACATTTTTGTAGCTTTATAGCCCAATTATATTTTTCCTAATGTATTGCACACAAAACTTGGGGGAAAAAAAAGAGGCAGAGAGAAAACAGGTTATATCAGCCCTATCTCACAATCCACAAGTTCATCCTATCAGAGGAGTAACTATGTAAAACAAACTTTATCTGTTGAATGTCCTATTTAGTTAATCGCAAAACTGTAGGAGTACACACTTGTGACTTATTTAGCAGCTTGTTTGTTCTCTTTCCTCTGGCTTCACAAAGGTCCTTTGGAAAGAGAAAGTACATTTGGAACCCTGTACACCTTTTCTTTCTCCAGTACCCTCTTGTCACTTCCATCACTAAGGTGACAGAAGCAACTATGGGCAATGCATTTGTAGCACACCTGGGTCAGAGGTATCCTCCAGGGGAAGGATCAGACCTGCTTGAAAACATGTCGTTGGAATTGGGAGGCTTCTAGTAGCTATAACATAAGCACTGATGTTTACTGTTCCCTGCCGTCCACTTTGATCACTCTGGGAAACATTTTTTTAAAAAAATCAATTGTATTCAAACATAATTTACATAAAATAAATATTCCTATTTTAAAGTGCACAGTTTGCTGAGTTTTGCCAGATGTAACCATCCAGGTGAATAAAATTGATTAAACTGATCTTTCAAATAATAAATTAAACTTGCAATCTTGCTAGAAATTTAATTTGTTCAGTTTATTATCCATTCTATGTACTGCTACATTCAATTGGTTATTATGTTTTAAGGACTTTTGAGTCTATGTTTATGAGGGATAAACATCAAAGTTGAATAAAGCCTTTGTCTCGATTTGGAATCAGGGCAATACTGGGTTCATAAAATAAGATAGGAAGTGTCCCTTTAGATTCTTTTTTTTTTTTTTTTTTTTTTTTTTGAGACGGAGATTCACTCTTGTTGCCCAGGCTGGAGTGCAATGGCACAATTTCGGCTCTCCACAACCTCTGCCTCCCAGATTCAAGCTATTCTCCTGCCTCTGGCTTCCGAGGAGCTGGGATTACAGGCAAGCGCCACCATGCCCTGCTAATTTTGTACTTTTAGTAGAGACGGGGGTTTCTCCATGCTGGCCAGGTTGGTCTCAAACTCCTGACCCCAGGTGATCTGCCCGTCTTGGCCTCCCAAAGTGCTGGGATTACAGGTGTGAGCCACTGTGCCCAGCCCTTAAATTCTATTTCTTAAAAAGAGTCTGTTCAAGATTGATATTATAGATACTCCTCAACTTACAATGGTCTTATGTCTTAATGAACTCATCCTAAATTGAAAATATTGTAAGTCTAAAATGCATTTAATATATTTAACCTACTGAATATCATGACTTAACCTCGCCTACCTTAAACTTGCTCAGAACATTTACATTATCCTACAATTGGGCAAAATCATGTACCACAAGGCCCATTTTAAAATATTGAGTATCTCATGAAATTTATTGAAAACTATACTGATAGTGAAAAACTGGTCATATTGATGCTCATCATTAATGTACACAGATGAAAGCACCATTATCAAGTCAGAAGAGCACAAGTCAAACCACCGTAAGTTGAGGACTCTCTGTACTTTCTTAAATGTTTGATAGAATTCACCTAAGAAACCATGTAGACTGTAATTATAGAAATCTTTTTAAATTAAAAAAATTCTTCAATACATAGAGAAGCTATTACTTTTTCTATTTCATTTTGCATCAGTTTTAAGAATTAGTTTTACAAATAATTTCCCAGTTATTTTAATTGTCAAATGTATTGGCCTAAAGTTTTCATAATTATATTGATGTCTGTAGGTTCTGTAGTTACATCCTCTATTTAATTCCCATTATCTACATTATGTAGCTTCTCTAATTTTTTTCAAGATAAATCTTGCTAGCCATTGTTTATTAAAAAATTTTTTTCAAAGAACCAATTTGTGGGTATATTAATTAGCTCCACCTTTTGTTATTTGCTATGTTGTTGGTTTACATTTTTATCTTTATCATCTTCCTTCTTCTTAATTTGGATATACTTTGCTCATTTTTTTAGCCTCTTAAAAAAGAACCTAAAGGTCATTGATTGAAGCCTTTTATTTTCAATATATTACATCTATAAATGTACCTTTAAGAAAGGATTTATCTGCATCCCACATTTTATTAAGTTTTTAAAAAATTTTCTTTCAGTTTAAACTTTTTTTTGTGTGTGAAACTTTTCTTGACCAATGGGTTTTTCTGAAGCATTTTGTTTAATGTTCAAATGTTGGGGTGTTATTGTATATATCCTACTGTTGTCCATCTCTGGTTCATGATACAACGCATGTTCTCCATTGCACTTAGTTGACATGTCTCCATGTCTCTGGCGAATTCCTCAGTCTTTCTAAAATGCTTTTGAAGAATACTGGCAGTTATTTTGTAAATTGTCCCTCCTCAATTTCAGTTAGTCTGATGTTTTCTCACGATTAGGACTAAAGTTATACATTTTGTCTAAGAATACCATAGAATTGATGTTTTGTCCTACTCAGTGCATCATATAAGAAGTTGCATGAAGTTCATTTATCTTATTATTAGTAATGTTAACTTTGATCACTTGGCTAAGTTGACATCTCCACTTTGAAGTTACTATTCTATAATTATCTTGTGGGAAGATACTTTCATATTATGCAAAAATGTTCTTTCCCAACATATATTCACCACTAATCTTAGCATCACTCCAAGGTTCTTTCTTGCAACAATTATTACTATGATATTTGCAAAGTGATGATTCTTGTATTTTATGTCTCCTACATTTAATGAAATCTTACTGTAATAAAATACTGCCCATTCTCAACCTTTGGTTTATTATTTATGTCAATATGGATTATTACTTTTTTTTTGAGATGGAGTCTTGCTTTGTCATCCAGGCTGGTGTGCAATGGTGCGATTTCCGCTCACTGCACTTCCACCTTCCAGGATTCAAGCCATTCTCCTGCCTCAGCCTCCCGAGTAGCTGGGACTACAGGCATGTGCCACCATGCCTGGCTAATTTTTGTATTTTTAGTAGAGACAGGGATTCACCACATTGGTCAGGCTGGTCTTGAACTCCTGACTTCAAGTGATCTGCCCGCCTCGGCCTCCCAAAGTGCTGGGAATACAGGCATGAGCCACCGCACCCGGCCTGGATTAATTGAAAATTTTCTTCTGTAGATTGTAATATATTATTATTGTTATTTATTTTATTGCCCCAATTTTCTCAAATTTGGCCATGGAAGTTTATTCAAAGTGGATTCTGTTTCCTTTTCACATTTTCCCCATTTTGTGAGCGTTTCCTTTCTTTCTAACATGACAAAATATTTCAAACTAATCTTGTATTTTCCCTGCCCAATCCTGATATCAAATATGTCCCCAAGGAGCCTTGGTTCCTTTAATTGGAGAATGGTGCTCTCATTGTTACTGGGATGATGTTGTTTCTAGGCCCTTTTGTTAGAGGAGCTAGAAAATGTATGTATGTATACTCACACATTTATACACATCTGTACTTATTTATACAATTATCCATCTGTACGTATACTAAAAACAATGATTTCATAAAACTTTTGACCCCAATCCAACACTAGATAAAGACTATATAGGCCCACTTATTTGCAAATCAGCACATAAACATAGAAGGATTATTAACAATATAAGCTGTAGCTTATGCTGAATGTTGGTTGGAACAGACAATAAATTATGGAGAACTTCAGAGCACACTAAGTTTGGATGGGATCTTGGAAGTCGTACAGGTCAATGCCACTCCATCTATTGGCTGAGTTTCACAGGTTAATACATGAACAACAACAAAAATAACCTAGATCAGAAGTTAAAGATCATTTTATTGACTATCTGCTGTGTCTGTGCCACTGCCATGTACCAGGTGCACTTACGAATCCTCTACTTACAAACTGCTTTTCACAAAATATGAAACTCCAGGCAAAGGCTCATATGACGTTTGTTTTTAAAATCTTTCTACAGCCTTGTATCCTTTTTCCTTCCCTTCCTTTTACCCTTTTTAAAATGTATTATGAGTTTTATGTTAGACTAACATCTGTAATGTTGCTATATGACAGTATTCAGTTGCTGTGTTTGATGAACCATAAAATGATGTAAAACTTCAATTAGTGCACTTTTTAAATAAAGTCTCTATGAATGAATCCAGCAAAATGTTTATGATTTGAGTATTCACAAAATGTTACTTTTCTCTGGATCTAACAATAATGTGAAAACCCAAAATGAATATAAAATATTAGCTAATAATAGATTTCAAAGTATTCTACAAGTATGAAAAATATATGATATTGTTACTTTCATATATGTAAAACATTAATAATTTTTGTCAACATAAACATCATCTTTACACCTAAACTTGTATTAATTCAATTAAGAGTTAATATAGTATCCTAAAGTCATCAAATATTCAAAAATAAGATGTATTCTGACATGGAATATACATAAAATTAACTATTTTCAGCTGAGCACAGTGGCTCAGGCCTGTAATTCCAGCACTTTGGGAGGCTGAGGTCGGCAGATTGCTTGAGATCAGGAGTTTCAGACCAGCCTGGCCAAGATGGTGAAACCCTGTCTCTACCAAAAATACAAGTTAGCCAGGCATGGTGGAACCTGCCTGTAATCCCAACTACTCTGAAGGCTGAGGCAGGAGAATCACTTGAACCCAAGAGGCAGAGGTTGCAGTGAGCCAAGATTGTGCCACTGCACTCCAGCCTGGGTGACAGAGTGAGGCTCCATATCAAAATAATAATAATAATAATAGTAATATTAATAATAACTATTTTCTGTGAGTCCAAAGATAAAATAGCATTACAGAATACCTAATAATCCTGAGTTTGGTTTTCTTGGTTTTATTTTTTCATTTAGTTTTGTTCACCTTAACCAGTGGGCTGGTGGTTCTTAGGTGCACCAAGGTTTTCATTTTTCAGTTCAAGATTTTAAAACCTTAATGTGGTAATTTCTCTAATTTTTTTGACAGTTACGTCCCAGGTTGCAAGTTAAAATAAAATTCCCATTTTACTAAAGTCCTTGGTTTATTAATGATTTTATAATGACTTAATATATAATTTAATGAGTAATGAGGGGTACTACATTTCAGAAATCAACACTGAAGAACTTATTCATGGAAGCAAACACCACCTGTTTCTCAAACACCTATTAAAATAAAAATACATATAAATAATTTTTAAAAATAAACACTAAAAATAGAGTGAAAATGAAAAAATATATATCCAGGTTTAAAAAAAACTACTTCAGTTAAACAATAAATACTTTTTGGGGGGACTCAACTCTACTACAAAATTATTCATTGTTTATTATAATCAATAATACAGGTAAAAGAATAAGTTTTTAAAAATGGAAAAATTGTAAACAATAAAACGATATTAACAAATATTGACATACTGGTGAAGGCCAAGCTCAGTGGCTCCTTTCCAAAGTGGTTACACGAGTCGTGTGTGGTGGCACACAACTGTAATCTCAGCACTTCTGGAAGCTGAAGCAGGCAGATCACTTGAGCTCAGGGGTTTGACACAAACCTGGGCTACATGACAGAACCCCATTTCTACCAAAAACTGTAAAAATCAGCTGCACATGATAGCATGCACCTGTAAGTCCCAGCTACTTAGGAGGCTGAGGTGAGAGGATCACTTGTGCCTGGAAGGTCACAGCTGCACTGGCCATGTTCATGTCACTGCACTCCAGCCTGGGCAACAGAGCAAGATTTTGTCTCAAAAAAAAAAAGTTGGTGACAATTGGAATAATTGGAACTCACATATATTACTGGTGGGAACATAAAATGGTGTAATCAATTTGGGTGTTCTCCTGGCATTTGATTTTTTTAAAAAATCAAGACATTGTTTCCCTATGTTTCCCAGGCTTGTCCTTAACTCCCGAGCTAAGAAAATCCTCCAAACTCAGCGTCTCAAATACCTGAGATTAAAGGTGTGAGCCACTGTGCCTGACCAGTGTAACCACTTTGAAAAACAACGTGGCAGTTTCTCAAAGACTAAATGTATAATAATCACATAATGCAACAATTTCACTCCTGAGTGTAAATCCAAGAGAAATAAAAATATATGTTCCCACTAAAACTTACATACGAATGTTCATAGCAGCCTGACTCATGATGGTGAATACGCAAAAACAACACAAATGTCCATCAACTAATGAATGGATAAACATAAACTATTACTCAGCTGTAAAAGGAAAGAAATCCTGATAACACTATAACATGAAAGAAATTTGAAAACATTCTGCTAAGAGAAAAAAAAAGGAAACTACAAAAGATCACACATTATACAATTCTATTTCTATAAAAGGTCCAGATTAGGCAAAACTACAATGACAGAAAATAAATCAGTGGTTGCCTATGAACATGGGGGATGTAGGAGGTAGTGGCTAAGAGGTGAGGGTTTCTCACTCATAAATGGGTAACTCATAAGTGGGTAATCACTTCTAAGAAAGACTGTGGTGATGGATGCACAGCTCCTTGAATATTCTAAAAACCACTCAATTGTATACTTTCTTTTTTTCTTTAGTTATTTAAAGACAGGGTATCCTTTTGTCACCCATGCTGTAGTGCAGTGGTGCCATCTGGTCTCACTGCAACCTATGGCTTCTGGTCTCAAGTGATCTTCCAGTCTCATGTCCCCAAGTAGCTGGGACTACAGGCATGAGCCACCACACCCAGCTAATTTTTGTATTTTTGCTAGAGATGTTGTTTTGCCATGTTGCCCAGGCTAGTCGCAAACTCCTGAACACAAGCGATCCACCTGCCTCAGCTGCCCAAAGTCTTAGCGTTATAGGAACTAGCCACTGCACCTGGCCTGAATTGTGTACTTTGATAAAT
The DNA here is from genome assembly GCF_000001405.40 of Homo sapiens. Taxonomy (NCBI): domain Eukaryota; kingdom Metazoa; phylum Chordata; class Mammalia; order Primates; family Hominidae; genus Homo; species Homo sapiens. The sequence goes on along the minus strand of NC_000024.10, from coordinate 11,118,369 downwards.
GAATTGCATGATACGTTAATCATATTTCAATAACGTTATTATTTTAAAAATGGCTGGGCATGGCGTGGTGACTCACGCCTCTGATCTCAGCACACTGGGAGGCCAAGGTGGGTGGATTGCCTGATTTCAGGAGTTCGAGATCAGTCTGGCCAACATAATGAAACCCTGTCTCTACTAAAAATACAAAAATATTAGCTGAGACTGGTGACATGTGCCTGTAATTCCAGTTAGTTGGGAGGCTGAGGCAGGGGAGTTGCTTGAACCAGGGAGGTGGAGGTTGCAGTCAGCCGAGATCACGCCACTGCATTCCAGCCTGCGTGACAGAGAGAGAGTCCATCTCCAAAAGAAAGAAAGAAAAAGAAAATGGGCATTGAACACAGGTGGCTCCCACCTACGTATAATCCAAGCACTTTGGAAAGCTGAGGCAGAATGATCACTTGAGGCCAGGAGTCTGACAACATCCTGAACAACACAGCAAGTTTCTGTCTGTACAATAAAAAGTAAAGAAGTTAGCTGGGCATAGGGGCAAATGTATGTAGTCCCTGCTACTTGGGAGGCTGAGGTGGGAGGACTGTTTGAGTCCAGGGTTTCAGGCTGCAGTGAACCATGATCACGCCACCGTACTGCAGCCTGGGTGACAGAATAAGACCCTGTCTCTAGAAAGAAAAAAAAAAGAAATCCAAGTTTTTATCACCTTCTGAGAGTAATCAACATTCAGGAGGAACAGAGAACAAAAGACCACTGAATGCTTGAGGGTGGGTTGCTGGTTAGGTTCAGTGGCCAGCTGAGTAGTATCTGAAAAATTCATTAGTAAAATTGTGGGGCTAGGGGAGAGTCATGCAGTCGAATGATGAATCCTAAATCCAGTACAAACACCCATGGTCTTTCTTTACATGAATTCCAGTGAAAAATTTCTAACTGCCTAAAATAGCAAGTGGTCTGAAATGATGGCAGCAGTTTATTAAAGACTGAAAAAAGAGTCCAGGCGTGGTGGCTCACGCCTGTAATCCCAGCACTTTAGGAGTCCAAGGCCAGTGGATCACAAGGTCAGGAGTTCAAGACCAGCCTGGCCAACATGCTGAAACCCCACATCTACAGAAAATACAAAGCTTAGCCGGGCATGGTGACATGTGCCTGTAGTCCCAGCTACTTCAGAGGCTGAGGCAAGAGAAATGCTTGAACCCGGGAGGCAGAAGTTGCTGTGAATTGAGATTGTGCCACTGCACTCGAGCCTGGTGACAGAGGAAGATGCCGTCTCAAAAAAAAAAAAAGAAAAAAGAAATGGCATCTTCAAGAACCACAAGAGAATTCCACGCTGAAGAAGCTCTAATTCTGCATTTACTCAACTATTGATTTGAGTTAGCCAATATGACACTATCTTAGATAAAGTGTACAAACAACTCAATTTCATCTCCTCATTAACAACTGATTAGTCTAATATCAATTCTGATTTTTAAAAAGCTAATTAGAAAAAGAATTAATTATAGAACCAATAAGAGGTTTGAATAGTTACAAGCTATTCAAAGGAGAATTCAAAAAACCACTCAGGTATGAGACCATAAAGTATGATGAAATAAATTTCATTAATATATTTTAAAATAAACTGATTAGACAGGCAACAACACCTGGGCACAGGTCTCCTCACCTCCAGCAACACAAATCCAATCGCGCAGCTATGGGGTTGCAAAGGCTGCATAGTGACAAACAGACTGCTCTGAGTTGAGATTTCTTTACTTGTATCTGTATTCTGAGACCGGGTCTCACTCTGTCACTCTGGCTGCAATGCAGGGGTGCACTCATACCTAACTGCAGCCTTGACCTCCTGGGCTCCGGAGATCCTCCTGCCTCAGCCTCACCATAGCTATGACCACAGATGATCACCAAAACACCCAGCTAATATTTATTTATTTATTTATTTATTTATTTTTTTGTAGAAAGAGGAGCCTTGCTATGTTGCCCAAGCTGGCCTCAAACTCCCTCTCTCAAGAGATCTGCCCACTTCAACAACCTGAGTAACTGGTTGTACAGGAAAATACCACTATGCTTGGATAATTACATTTTATTAATTTTTATTTGCATAGAGAGGAGGTCTTGCTATGTTGCACAGGGTGGACTCAAACTCCTCGACTCAAACAATTCTCTCATCTCTGCCTCCCAAAGAGCTGATGCTACAGGCATAAACCACTGCACCTGGCCCGACTTAAGATTTCTTTAATCAGCATCCCATATTCATATAACTGGGAAAAGCCGTAGTGTTGTTTTTTTTTTTTAATTACTTAGTATTTCAGCAAGAATCAACCATCTCTCACCATTGCCAGGACCCTGGTCAAAACCACTATCATCTCCCACCTGGAGGTTGCCATAGCTTGGCCTCCCTGCTTCTACCCAAATCTTCCCACAATCTTTCTCAACTCAGCCACCATGGGATGGTTTTAAATCAGTAGACAATTTGTGTCACCTCTCTGCTCAGAACCCTTCCGCATCTCCCATCTCAGACAGAATAAAAGCCAAAGCCCCAGCAATAGCCTCCCAGGGCTTACACAATCTGTACTGATCTGCACCCAACAACTCCCTGGCCTCCTTCCCTACTTCTCTCCCTCTCTCTGCTCCACAGGCCTCTTTCCTGAGCTTCAGACACACCACGGAGTTCCCTCTTCGCATCTTTATTCTGTTGTTTCTGCCTACAATGCCCTTCCCTCAGTACCTTGGCCAGCTCCTTCCCCTCCTTCAAGTCTTTGCTCAATTTTCACTTAGGAGGCCAACCCTGACCACTCTATTTAATATTGCTATCTGTTCCTATTCCTGCCATGCTCACTCATTTCTTTTTTCTTTTTTTTTTTTAAGATACAATCTCGCTGTGTCACTCAGACTGGGGTGCAATGGCATGATCACAATGCACTGAGACCTGGAGCTCCTAGGTCAAGAAATCGTCCTGCCTCAGTGCCTCTAGTAGCTAAGACTACAAGTGCATACCACCACAGCCACTAATTCTTTTCCATGTAGACAGGGTATCACTTTGTTGCCCAGGCTTATCTTGAACCCCTGGGCCAAATCAACCATCCTGCTTCAGCCTCCTAAATAGCTGGAATTATAGGTGTGGGCCACCACCCCTGGCTTCATGTTCATTTCTTCTTGCTGCTGTTGCAAAGTACCCTACATTTAGTGGCTTAATACACCACAAATCTACTACCTAACAGGTCTGGGGGCCAGAAGTCCAAAATAGGTCTATTAAGGCTAAAGTCAAGGTGTCAGCAGGACTGCATCCCTTCTGGAGGTTCTGGAGAGAATGTGTTCCCTTGCTTTTCCCAGTTGCTAAAGCCACCCCTATTCTTTGGCTCATGGCCCCTAACTGCATCTTCAAAGCCAGAAGCAAAGCATATTCGAATCTCCCTCTGTGACCTGTGCTTCCATCATCAAATCTCCTTCAATTCCGACTCTCTTACCTCCCTCTTTCACTTATAAAGACCTCTTGTGATTGCTGGACACAGAGGCCGTGGCTCACAACCATAATCCCAACAGTTTAGGAGGTCAAAGCAGGAGAAATGCTTGAGGCCAAAACTTCGGGACCAGCCTGGGAAACACAGTGAGACCCCCTCAATTAAACAACAAAAAGAAATAAGAAAAAATTAGCTGGGCATGGTAGTATGCATCTGTAGTTTCAGCTACTTGAGAGGTTGTGGTGAAAGGATCGCTTTAGCCCCAGAGTTCAAGACCAGCCTCGGCAATATAACAAGCTCCCATCTCTACAAAAAAAAAATACAAAAATTAGCTGGGCATGGATGGTGTGCACCTGTAGTCCCAGATGCTTGGAAGGCTGAGGTGGGAGAATTGCTTGAGCCCAGGTGGTTGAAGCTGCAGTTAGCTACAACTCCATCATTGCACTCCAGATTGGGTGAAACAGAGACTCTGTGTTCAAAAGAAAAAGAAAAGAAATACACATTTGGTTTCTGCCCCTCATCCTGGCACAGAGCTTCTCAAGTTCTTATAAAGGCCTTGGTGATGAAGGTGATGGGGCATCTTCTGTTTCAATATTTGGTCTTAGTCGCAGGTTTCTAACACAGGAGCCTTTAATACCTTTGGGATCACCATAGTAAGAATGGATTTGGTGATGTTACTGAGATGACTGGGTGACTGAAAGCTCCTAGACAGCTTCAGAAAAAGGGCTGGTAGTTGTCAGAAGAACAAACCATGTGATTAGAGGCTTGGAACTGTCAGCCTCACCCACTGGGCTCCAGGAAGAAATAGTGGCCGAAGACTGACTTAATCACCAATGGTCAATGACTTCATCAATCATGCCTGCATAATGAAGCGTTCATAAGCGCCCTCAACAACTGGAGTTGGAGAATGTCTGGGTTGCTGAACACAAGGGAGATACCAGGAAGGTAACATGCACAATAGAGGACATGGAAGTTCTGTACCCCTCTCAACATACCTTGCCCTGTGTGTTTTTTGTTTTTGTTTTTGTTTTTTTTGAGACAGTGTCTGGCTCTGTCTCCCAGCCTAGAGTGCCATGGCACAATCGTGGCTCACTGTGACCTATGCCTCCCTAGCTCAAGCCCCATCCTCTCATCCTCTCACCTCAGCCTCCTGAGTAGCCAGAATTATAGGCACTGAGTAGCTAGAACTATAGATAACTGTGCCTGGCTAATTTTTAGAAAAATCTTTTTGTAGAGATGGATTTTCACCATGTTACCCAGGCTGGTCTTAATCTCCTGAGCACTTAAGCGATGCTCCCACCTCAGTCTCCCAATGTGCTGAAATTACAGGCATGAGCCATTGTGCCCAGCATGTACATCTCTTTCACTGGCTGTTTCTGAGATTTAGCCTTTAAAATGAACCAGTAAAATAAAGTAAATTGGTGAGATGCAGTGGTTCATGCCTATAATCCCAGCATATTGTGAAGTTGAGGTGGGAGGATCATGTGAGCCCAGAAATTTGAGACCAGCCTGGGCAACATAACAAGACCCCATCTCTACAAAAAGTAAAAGAACATAGCCAGATACACTGGTACAGGCCTATAATCTCAGCTCTTTGGGAGGCTGAGGTGGGAGGATCACTTGAGCCCAGGAGTCCCATGCTACAGTATGCTTTGATCACACCACTGCATTCCAGCCTGGCAACAGACTGAGACTCTGTATCTCAGAAAAAAAAAAAGAAAACAATCTGTTTTTCTAATTTCTGCAAGCTGTCCGAGCAAATGATTCCACCCACCAATGGGGGTCAAGAAACCGTGTTTTCTAACTGGTTGGTCAAAACTACATGTAACAACCCAAGACTTTCAATTGGCATGTGGAGTGAGGGTAGATTCCTGGGACTGAGTCCCCATCCTGCGGGGTCTGCACTAACTGCAGGGAGTGTCAGGATGGAATTGTGGGATACCCAGTTGGGATCCAGATTGTCCAAAAATCAGTGTAGAAATTCCACACACACATTTGGTCAGAGGTGTTCATGACAAAGGTCTATTCTTTCGAACTAAAAATCACAAAATTGTAAGTTCTACAAAAACAAATCAACCTTATCTACCGCCCAGTCCTACCGAACTACAGAATGTTAGAACAGAAGGTCTGACCATGGAGTCGAGAGCTGACAGGAATGTCACCACCATCCTGCTCTCCAAGGACTCCTCATCTTCAACAGACTCCTCATCTTCAATGGGCAGGGTGGAAACTGCAACTTCTGCCATGATCCTTGCACAAGAAAAGTAGTAAGAAAATGAGTGGTAGAAATCCAGTGTCCTAAACTCACATCCAGAGCTGTGAGAGTTTTTTACCAGCTGGATAATTCACAGTTTTCTTGAATCAGGGGAAAAATAAGACTCAGAAACTAGGAATTCGTTTTGCCCAAAACTCTCATCAGATACAGAATCCATCCGCTAACTATCTAGTATTATTTCCATAAGTTAGATCAATTATCACTCCCAAAACAAATGCACATGCACCCAGAATCTGTGCATTTCTCCCAAGTAAAAGAGGAGGTGGATGAACTCAGTGTCTCATGCCTTTAACCCCAGCACTTTGGGAGGCCAAGGTGGGTGGATCACCTGAAGTCAGGAGCTCAAGACCAGCCTCCCAACATGGTGATACCCTATCTCTACTAAAAATAAAAAAATGTTAGCCAGGTGTGGTGGCATGTGCCTGTAGTCCCAGCTTCTTGGGAGGCTGAGGCAGGAGAATCACTTGAAACCAGGAGGCTGAGCTTGCAGGGAGCAGACATCACAGCACTTCACCTGAGCCTGGACGACACAGTGAGACTCTGTCTCAAAAAAAGGGGGGGAGGAAAGGAGGCAAGGAACTTTACAACCCAGTGATGGGCTACCACAATTCAACACAGCAAAGAGGTGCCAAGCTCCCTTTCTCCCCTGCACAACCCGACAGAGAAGAGTTGGTGCAGTGGAATGAGGCTGGGTGGAGAGAAGTTCCTCTTCTTTCTTTCTTTCCTTTTTTTTTTTGAGATGGACTCTCGCTCTGTCACACAGACTGGGGTGCAGTGGTGCAATCTCAGTCACTGTAACCTCTACCTTATGGGTTTAATCAATTCTCTGCCTCAGCCTTCCGAATACTGGGATTAGAGGCACCCCCCCACCACCACACCCAGCTAATTTTTTTTTTTTTTTTGAGTGGAGACTGGGTTTCATTATGTTGGCCAGGCTGGTCTTGAACTCCTGACCTTGTGATCGACCTGCCTCAGCCTCCCAAAGTGCTAGGATTACAGGCATGAGCCGCTGTGCCCAGCCAAGAAGTTCCTCTTCTTACTTAGAAAACAGATCACAGAGCATCAAGTAACACGTAAAATCCCTTATAATAAGCAGTATTATTTTTGGATAACCTTTCCTAATATTTTGGTATCAGCAAAAAGCCTCAGATTAATTTCAAACACTCTAAAAATACAATACATAAACAGAAAATATTAACTGTCAGCAATGCTATAGAGAAATTGGAAGCTGTATGCATTGCTTTTTGGAACGTAAAATGGTACAGCCCACTGTGGAAAATGGTTTAGCAGCTCCTTAAAAATATGAAGCACAGAATTATATGATCCATCAACACCCTTTAAGCATATATACCCAAAGGAACTGAGAGCAGGGACTCAAACAGGTGTTTGTACACCCGATTAACAGCAGCATTATTCACAGTGGCCAAAAGGTCGCCCAAACCTAATGCCCATCAGTAGGTGAATAGATAAAGAAAATGTAACATATACATACACAGAGTATTATTCAGCCATAAAAAGAAAAATATCTGGCCAGATTCAGGGTCTTACACCTGTAATCCCAGTATTTTGGGAGGCCAAGGTGAGCAGGTCTCTTGAGCCCCATATTTTGAGACCAGGCTGGACAACATGGCACATTTTGTTAGAAGTGTTTGACCATAACTACCATTCCAGAAAAAGATCTACTCATTAGAACTACAAATCATAAAATTATAAGTTCTACAAAAACAAATCAACCTTATCTACCACGCAGTTCTACCCAATTATATCATGTTAGAACAGAAGGTCTCACCGTGGACTCGATAGCTGATATGAGCAATGTCACCACCATCCTGCTTTCCACGGAATCATCTTCAACAGACTCCTCATCTTCAATGGACTCCTCATCTTCCATGGACTCCTCATCTTCCATGGGCAGGGTGGAAACTGCAACTTGTGCCATGATCCCTGTGCAAAAAACTAGTAAGAAATTGAATGGTAGAAATGCAGTGTCCTAAACTCACATCCAGAGCTGTGAGAGTTTCTCACCGGCTGCTAAATTGTTTTTTGCGTCAGAGAAAAAAAACTTGGCAACTTGGTATTCGATTTGCCCAAAACTCTCATCAGATAGAGAATCCATCTGCTAACTTTCTATCTAGTATTATTTCCATGAAGTTACAACAATATCACTCCCAAAATAAATTCAGGTGGAAGACTAAATCCAAAGCTAGCAGAAGGAAAGAAATAATAAAGAACATAATTAGAGCATAAATCAATAAAATAGAAGATTGGAGAGCAGTAGAATGAAAAAATGTGGATTCTTTGAAAGATCAAGCCTTTCACTATATTGACTGAGCAAAAGATGGAAGACTAATTATTAAAATAATAAATGAAAGCAGAGCCATTACAACCAACTTTACAGAAATACAAAAGGATTACAGGAGTATACTGTGAACAACTGTCTAGCAACAAATTAAGTGCCCTGGATGAAATGGATGAATCGCTAGAAAGACACAAACTACCAAAGTGGCTCAAGAAGAAAGAGAAAATCTGAACAGACCTATAACCTAGGAGATTGAATTAGTAATCGAAAGCGATTAACAAAGAAACATTTGTGACCAAATAGCTGCATTAAGTGGTGAGTCAACCTAACATTTAAAGAATAATTAATACCATTTCTTCTCAAACTCTTCTGACAAAATATATGAAGAAGGAATACTTGTTAATTCATTTTTTGATAACAGCATTATCCTCATACCAAAGACAAAGAGAGCACAAGAGAAATACAGCACTATATCCCTTATGAATATATAAGCAAAAATCTCAGCAAAATACTAGCAATACTAGCAAAATACTAGCAGCAATACCGTATAATCAAAGGATTGTAAACTATCACCCTTTGAGATTTATCCCCAAAATGCAAGGGTGGTTCAACATATAAAAAATCAATCAGTGTAATATGCTGTAAAAGTAAAATGAATAAGCACGTGATGATTTCAATTGATGCAGAGAAAACATTGATGAAATACAACACCCTTCTATAATAAAAATACTCAATAAACTAAGCATAGAAGGGATCTTCTGCAACATGACAATGGGATGTACAAAAACCCAACAGTTAATATCATGATCAATGATGAAACACTGAAAGCTGTTTTTCTAACATCTAGAAGAAAAGGATAGTGCATTTGCCACTTGTATTCAACGTAGCACTGGCAGTTCTAGCCAGAGCAATTAGGCAAGACAAAGAAATAAAAGGCATCTAAATTGGAAATAAAAAATAGGTGTAAAATTATATCTACACATGATCTTATGGGTACAAAGCTCCAAACAAAACACAAAATGGATTATAACTAATAAAAGAGGCAGGATGCAAACAAACATAGGCAAATGAGCTATATTCCTATATAGTTGTAAAGAACTATGAAAACATTTTAAAAATTCCATTTATAATGACATCAAAGAATACGTTATTCAGGCATAAATCTAACCGTGGTGGTATACAAAAACTTTGCTGAAAAAAACTAAAGAGAGTGGAAATAAGTGGAAAGACATTCTGTGTTCACGGGTTGTAAGACAATATTGTTAAGATGACAATACCATCTAAAGTAATCTACAGATTCAATGCAATACCATCAAACTCCCAAAGGCATTTTTGCAGAAACAAAGAAACTCATTCTAAAATCATACAAAAATTCAAAGGATCTCACAGACAAAACAGTCTTGAAAAAGAACATTGGAAAACTCACATTTTTTCAGTTTCACAGCCTACTACAAATCTACAGTAATCAAGAGAGTATGGTACTGGAATAAGACCAATAGACTTTCAGACAAATACAATAGAATAGATTTGAGATCCTACAAGTTAGTCTGTTCAACAAGGTGACTGTTCAACAAGGTGGCCAAATCTAGTCAAGGGAGGAAAGAACAGTCTCTTCAACAGCTGGATGTCAGTGCACAAGAGAGAAGTTAGACCCCTACCTTGCAGTATATACAAAAATTAATTCTAAATTAATAAAAGACTTAAATGTAAGGACTAAAAATATGTAACTCTTAGAAGAAAGCACACGGTAAACCTTTATGACCTTTCAGTTTTAAGTGTATTTTGAAATATGACAGAAAAGCACAGATAACAAAAGAAAATACACGAAAATTAGATTTAATCAAAATAAAAACCCTTTATGCATCAAAGGATACTATCAAGGGAGTGAAAAGACAACCCATAATATGTGAGAATATATGTATCTGATAAAATCAAAGTGTGAATCTGATAAAAGCTTAATATCCCACAACTCAACAACAGAATTTCTAAGATCCCAATTAAAAAATAGGCAAAGGACTTGAATAGACATTTCACCAAAGAAGATACACAAATGTCTAAGAAGGACAAGAAAAGATGCTAAACACCGTTATTCATTAATAAAATGCAAGACAAAACCCAAATGAGATGCCACTTTGCATCCACTAGTAAGGCTTTCGTAACAACGACACAGAAAATCAATGTTGCTAAGGAGGTGGAGAAACTGGAGCCCTCATGAACTGGCTGCTAGGAATAGAAAATGATGCACTTGCTGTGGAAATCAGTTTAGTGGTTCCTCAAAGAATCACACAGAGAAACAGGCGCCGCTGGCTTGCGGGTTCTCCTGGGCTGGCGCGGGACGTCCCGGAATCGCAGGCGCGCATCCCTTCCTGCCTGAGGGCCCGCCTGGCCGTGACTCCCGCCCCTCTTCTCCTCCGAAGAGAGATCGGGGCCACCCCAGGGGCCGTCTGCAGCCACCGGGGATGGGGCTGAGGGTCGGTTCCTGCCCCGGTGCAGCCGCCCCCGGGCAGACCGCCTGGCTTGGTCGCAGCCACGGCGACATCTAGCCCCGGTTCTGCGAGGCTGGGACCGCCAGCCAGCTTGAGAGTTGCCCGGCGCCTGTAGCTGGGCACCCAGTTGGTGGAGCATACCCTGGGCGGCCTCTGGATCGCGGGTACCCCTGGGCTGAGAGCCTGCCAGACCCTGCCCCCACCCGTCTCCTCCTCTGCCATAGCTCCAGATCTCTATCCAGGGGCCCTCTGCAGCCACCGGGGATGGGGCTGAGGGCCGGTTACCGCCCCTGTGCAGCTGCTGCAGGACAGACCGCCTGGCTTGGCCACAGCCACAGGGACATTTGGCCCTGCATCCGAGATGTGGGGAGTGTGGGCTGGCTCGGGAGTTGCCTGGAGGCTGCTGCCTGCACGCAGAAGGCGGCTGCAGCTCGGGTGCCCAGGCGAGCTGGAGGTGCGTGGCCTGGTTGGCCTTGGGATCTACCCAGCGCGCCCAGGCTGAGGGCCCCCCAGGCCGTGCCTCCCGCCCACTCCTCCACCTGAGGGAGATCAGAGCCGTTTGTATGGGCACTCGGCAGTCACCCCATGTGGGGTTGAGCGGTGGGTTCTCAGTTCTCGCTCCTGTGCAGCTGCTGCCGCAGGGCAGAATGCCTGGCTTGGCCGCAGCCACTGGGACACCTGGCCCTGGTTCTGCGATGGTGGGAGCGCGAGTGGGCTCGGGGGTTGCCAGGCAGCTGCTGCCTGCACACAGAGGGCGACTGCAGCTTGGGCGCCCAGGCAGGGGAGCATGGTCTGGGTGGCTTCTGGAATGCGTGAGCGCCAGACCTGAGGGTCACCCTGGTGGAGCCACCTACCCTGGTCTTCCTCTGCCGGAGCCTGGAGCAGCTGGAATGGCCACTATTCAGTCACAGGGGATAGGGTTAAGTTTTCTTATCCCACACATGCACACAAAAAGGTAACTATTCTGTGAGGTAATAAACATGTTAATTGACTTCATTCATGCCACTCTGCACCCACAAGTAAGGCTTTCATAACAATGACACAGAAAATAAATGTTGCTAAGGAGGTGGAGAAGTTGGAGCCCTCATGAACTGGCTGCTAGGAATAGAAAATGATGCCCTTGCTGCAGAAAACAATTTGGTTGTTCCTCACAGAATGAGCATTGGGTGAAAAATGAAATCAAGATGGAAATGTAAAAAATTTCTTCGAACTGGATGACACAACCTATCAAGACCTCTGGGATACAGCATAGGCACTGCTAAGAGCAAACTTTGTAGTCCTAAAAACCTACGTCAAAAAGTCTGAAAGAGCACAAACAGACAATCTAAGTTCACATCTCAGGGAACTAGAGAAGCAGGAACAAGCCAAACCCAATCCCAGCAAACACAGGAAATAACCAAGATCAGAGCAGAACTAAATGAAATTGACACAACAACAAAAAATACAAAACATAAATAAAACAAAAAGTTGGTTATTTGAAAAGATAAATAAAATTGATAGACCATTAGCAAGATTAACCAAGAAAAGAAGAGAGAAAATCCAAATAACCTCACTAAGAAATGAAACAGGGGATATTACAACTGACACCACTGAAATAATAAAGATTATTCAAGGGTACTATGAACACCTTTTGGCACATAAACTACAAAACCTAGAAGAGTTGGATAAATTCCTGGAAAAATACAACTCTCCTAGCTTAAATCAGGAATAATTAGATACCCCAAGCAGACCAATAAAGCAAGCAGCAAGACTGAAATTTTAATTTTAAAATTACCAGCAAAAAAAAGCCGAGGGCCAGACAGATTCACAGCAGAATTCTACCAGACATTCAAAGAATGTCTTCTTTCATTCAAAGAAGAAATGATACCCAACTTTTCATACTATTCCACAAGACAGAGAAAGAAGAAACCCTCCCTTATTCATTCTATGAAGCCAGCATCACCCTAATACCAAAACCATGAAAGGACATAACCAAAAAAGAAAACTACAGACCAATATCCTTGATGAACGCAGATGCCAAAATCCTTAACAAAATACTATCTAACTGAATCCGACAACATATCAAAAAATAATCCACCATGATCAAGTGGGTTTCATACCAATGATATACGAGTGGTTTCACATATGCAAGTCAATAAATGTGATACACCAAATAAACAGAATTAAAAAAATCTAACATGATTATATCAACAGGTGCAGAAAAAACATTTGACAAAATCTAGCATTGCTTTATGATTAAAGCTCTCAGCAAAATAGGCAAACAAGGGACATAACTTAATGTAATAAAAGCCATCTATGACAAACCCACAGCCAACATAATACTGAATGGGGAAACAGTGAAAGCATTCCCTTTGAGAACTGGAACAAGACGAGGAGCCTACTCTCACCACTCCTCTTCAACATAGTACTGGAAGTCCTAGCCAGAGCAATCAGACAAAAGAAGGAAATAGAGGAAACCCAAATCGGTAAAGAGGAAGTCAAACTGTCACTTGTTGCTGATGATATGATCTTTTGCCTAGAAAACCCTATGGACTCCTCTAGAAAGCTCCTAGAACTGATAAAAGAATTCAGCAAAGTTTCCAGATACAAGATTAATGGACACAAATCAGTAGCTCTTCTATACATCAACAGCTACCAAGCAGAGAATCACATCAAGAACTCAACCCCTTTTACAATAGCTGCAAAAAACAACAACAACAAAAAAACAAAACTTAGGAATATACCTAGCAAAGGAATCAAAAGACCTCTACAATGAAAATTACAAAACACTACTGAAAGAAATCATAGATGGAGCCAAGAACGGTGGCACATGCGTATAATCTGAGCTACTCGGGAAGCTGAGGCACGAGAATCGCTTGAACCCGGGAGGCAGAAGTTGTAGTGAGCTGAGATCACACCATCGCACTCCCACTTCAGCCACAAGAGTGAAACTCCCTCTGGGGAAAAAAAAAAAAAAGAAAGAAAAGAAGTCATAGATGACAAAAACAAATGGAAACGCATCCCCATGCTCATGGATGGGTAGAACCAATACTGTGAAAATTACCATTATGTTAAAGGCAATCTACAAATTCAATGCAATCCCCATCTGAATGCCACCATCATTCTTCACAGAATTACAAAAACAATTCTAAAATTAATATGGAACCAAAAGAGAGCCATGTAGCCAAACCAAGCCTAAGCAAAAAGAACTTGGAGGTATCACACTACTTGATTTCAAACTGTACAATAAGGCCACAGTTACCAAAACACCAAAGTACTGGTTTAAAAATAGGAACATAGACCAATGAAACAGAAGAGAGAACCCAGAAATTAACCCAAATACTTACAGCCAACTGATCTTCGACAAAGTAAACAAAAACATAAAGTGGGGAAAGGACCCCCTTTACAATACATGATGTTGGGATAATTGGTGAGCCACATGTAGGGGAATAAAACTGGATTCTCATCTCTCATCTTATACAAAAATCTACTCAAGATGGATTAAGAACTTAAATCTAATTCCTGAACTATAAAAATTCTAGAAGGTAACAATCGATAAAACCTTCTAGACATTGACATACGCAAGGATTTCATGACCAAGAACCCAAATGTAAATACAATAAAAACAAAGATAAATAGCTGGGACTTAATTAAACTAAACAGCTTTTGCATGGCAAAGGGAACAGTCAGCAGAGTAAATAGACAACTCACAGAGTGGAACCCCTGAACCAGACCCTGACCCCTGACCCTGACCCCTAACCCCTGACCCCTAACCCCTGACCCTAACCCTAACCCCTAACCCTAACCCTTAACCCTTAACTGTAACCCCTAAGCCTAACCCCTAACCACAACTCTCACCCTCACACTAATCCAACCCTAACCCCTTATCCCTAACCCCTAACCTCTCTTAACCCCTAACTCTAAACATTGACTCTTAACTCCTAACTCTGACCCCAACCCCTATCTCCAACTCCTAACCCTAAACTTAACCCCTAACCCTTAACCCTAACACCAGCCTTAACCCTAGGTTCGTTACTACGTTTGTATTGACTATGTCAATGTTGATTATTATGATCTCTGTCTTAGGACTGCATGGCAGCAAGGGGATTGCGGATCTTATATTAATATTTTTGTATTGAGGCAGTGCATTAGCATTACAGGTGCTTGTTACATGAGCAATGGGGGTGTCATATTTTGGGTGTCATGTCTGCATTAGGAATGCTGCATTTGTCTTCTGAGGCTGCGGTGTGGATCTCGCACTGCGGCTGCCTCGCCTTGGCTGGGGAGAACCTCGGTGGGCAGGATTCAGAGGGGCTTTTGGTTTCCCGTTTTCCACACTGAACCCTTCTAACTGGTCGCCGACCCTGATTACTCAGGGCTGCAAACAGGAAGGATTTTATTCACCGTCTATGCGGCCCCGAGTTGTCCCAAAGCGAGTCAGTGCCCCCAAGGTCTGTGCTGAGGAGAACGCTACTCTGCCTTCGCGGCGTCCCCCGGGTCTATGCTGAGCAGAACGCAGCTCCGCCCTCACGGAGACCCCAGCCTGCCCAGGTCTGTGCTGAGGAGAACACTGCTCCGCCTTTGCTGTATCTCCGAAGTGTGTGCAGAGGAGAACTCAGCTCCGCCCTGGCGATGCTCTCCGTGTGGGTGCTGGGAAGAATGCAGCTCCGCCCTCGCAAAGGTGCACAGCGCCGGCGCAGGCGCAGGGGGGCCCACAGCGCCGGAGCAGGTGCAGAAAGTCAGAAGGTCCATGAGGGGAAGGTGAGACACCTGGGGCAAAGAAAAAAAAAAATGCGCCGCGAAGCGGTGTCTGAGTCATCCACCGACGAAAGTTTTTTCCCATCAGCCCTTGCGCTGGGCCCCAGGGACTCTGACATCCCTGGTTAGCGCCCAGGGTGCGCCTCGGGCGACTAGGGGTACCCCAACTCGGACAGAAGCCCCATGAGTGGAAGTTGAAGTTTGTGGGAGGAGAGGTGAGGCACCAGGGGCAGAAAAAAAAAAAAAAAAAAAAGAGGACCGCACCTCAGAGAAGTGGGGCCTGGGTCCACCACGGATGAAAGTGCCTCCCCATCAGGCCCTATGCTGGGCCTGGTGTACCCTGGCGACCCTGGTTCGAGCCCAGGGTGCGCCTCGGGACCGCTTGGGGTACCACAAAGCGAACAAAAGGTCCATGAGGGGAAGGTGAGGCACCTGAGGCAGAGAAAAAAAAATGCGCCACCAAGAAGCAGTGCCTGGGTCCCCCACGGATGAAAGTGCCATCCCATCAGCCCCTTCGCTGGGCCCTGGGGACGCTGGCATCCCTGGTTTGACCCCAGGGTCCACCTCGGGCCAGTAGGGGTACCCCAAGGTGGGCAGAAAGCCCCTAAGGGGATGGTGAGGCACCTGGGGCAGAGAAAAAAAAAACTTTGCTGCGGAGAAGCATGGCCTGGGCGCCCCACGGACAAAGTGTCTTCCCATCAGTCCCTGCACTGGGACCGAGGACCCTGGTGTCCCTGGTTCGAGCTCAGGGTGTGCCTCAGCCGCTAAGTGCACCCCAAGTGGGGCTTTGGGCGCACAAAGCCCATGAGGGGAAGGTGAGTTTTGAGGCAGGAGAGGTGAGGCACCTGTCACAGACAAAGAAAAAAAAACCCGCGCAGTGGAGAGCTGGGGCCTGGGTCCCCCACGGATGAAAGTGTCTTCCCATCAGCCCCTGCGCTGGGCACCGGGGAACCTGGGGTCCCTGGTTTGAGCTCAGGGAGAGCCTTGGGCCACTTGGGGTACCCCAAAGCGGTGGAAAGCCCATGAGAGGAAGGTGAGCTGTGAGGGAGGAGAGGTGAGGCACTTGTGGCAGAAAAGAAAAAGAAACCACGCCACGGAGAAGCGGGGCCTGGGTCTCCCATGGAAAAAAAGTGCCTTCCCATCCGTCCCTGCGCTGGGCCCCGTGGACCCAGGCGACCCTGGTTCTAGGCCTGGGTGCACCTCGGGCCCGCTAGGTGTACCCCAAAGCAGGCAGAAGGCCCATGAGGGGAAGGTGAGGTTTGAGGGAGGAGAGGTGATGCACCTGCGGCAGAAAAATAAAAACGTGCCGAGGAGAAGTGGGGCCTGGGTCTCCCACAGACGAAAGTGCCTTCTCATCAGCCCCTGCGCTGGGCCTCCTGGACCCTGGCGACCCTAGTTCAAGGACCAGAAGAGACTCCGGCACGCTAGGGTACCCTAAGGAAGCCAGAAAGCCCATGAGGGGAAGGTGAGATTTGAGGGAGGAGAGGTGAGTCACCTGTGGCAGAAAAAAAAAAAAAAAAAATATATATATATATATATATATCAGCGCCTTGGAGAAGCCGGGCCTGGGTCCCCACTGATGAAAGTGCCTTCCTATCAGCTCCTGCGCTAGCCCCGAGAACCTGGCGACCCTGGTTCGAGACCCAGGAGTGCCTCGGGCCCGCTCGTGTTACCCCAAAGCAGGCAGAAGGCCAATGAGGGGAAGGTGAGGCACCTGGGGTGGAGAAAAAAAACCGCAGCTTTGAGAAGCGGGGCCTGGGTACCCACGGATGAAGGTACCTTCCCATCAGCCCCTGCACTGGGCCCAGGCGACCCTGGCATCCATGGTTCGAGTCCAGGGAGCGCCTTTGGCTGCTAGGGGTACCCCAAGTCGGGCAGAAAGCCCATGATGGGAAGTTGACGTTTGAGGGAGGAGAGATGAGGAACCTGTGGCAGAAAAA
The DNA here is from genome assembly GCF_000001405.40 of Homo sapiens. Taxonomy (NCBI): domain Eukaryota; kingdom Metazoa; phylum Chordata; class Mammalia; order Primates; family Hominidae; genus Homo; species Homo sapiens. The sequence goes on along the minus strand of NC_000024.10, from coordinate 11,101,195 downwards.
AAAAAAAAAAAAACAAGCCGCGCCTAGGAGAAGCTGGGCCTGGGTCCCCCACGGATGAAAATGCCTTCCCATCAGTCCCTTCGCTGGGCCCTGTGGACACTGGAGACCCTGTTCGAGCCCCGGGTGCGCCTCGGGCCTGCTAGGGGTACCCCAAGGCGGGCAGAAATCCCTGAGGGGCAGTTGAGGTTTGAGGAAGGAGAGGTGATGCACCTGTGGCAGGAAAAAAAAAAAAAAAACTGCACCACGGAGAAGCGGAGCCTGGGTCCCCAACGGACGAAAGTGTCTTCCCATCAGCCCTTGCGCTGGGCCCAGGGGACCCTGGCGTAGCTGGTTCGAGACCAGGGTGTGCTTCAGGCCGCTAGGTGTACCCAAAAGCGGGCAGAAGGCCCATGAGGGGAAGGTGATGCACGTGGGGCAGAGAAAAAAACAAAAAACAACCGCGCCGCGGATAAGTGGGGCCTGGGTCCCCCACAGAAGAAGCTGTCTTCCCATCAGCGCTTGCACTGCGCCCTGGGGACCCTGGTATCCCTGGCTGGAGCCCAGCGTGCGCCTCGGCCTGCTAGGGGTACCCCAAGACAGAAGGCCCATGAGGGAAAGGTGAGACACCTGGGGCAGAGAAAAAAATAAAATACTGCGCCGCCCAGAAGTGGGGCCTGGGTCCCCCACGGACGAACGTCCCTACCCATCAGCCCTGCACTGGGCCCCGGAGACCCTAGCATCTCTGGCTCGAAAGCAGGGTGCGCCTCGGGCCCGCTAGGGGTACCTCAAGGCGGGCAGAAAGCCCATGACGGGAAAGTGAGGCACCTGGGGAAAAGAAAAAAAAAAAACGCCGCAGAGAAGCAGAGCCTGGGTCCCCGAGGAAGAACGTGTCTTCCCATCAACCACTGCGCTTGGCCTCGTGGAACCTGGCTTCCATTGTTCGATCCCAGGGTGCGCCTTGGGCCGCTAGGGTTACCCCAAAGCGTGCAGAAGGCACATGAGGGGAAGGTGAGGCACCTGGGGCAGAGAAAAAGAAAAAAAACCTCGCCACGGAGAAGCGGGGACTGGGTACCCCCCCCCCCCACGGACGAAAGTGTCTTCCCATCAGCCCTTGCGCTAGGCCCCAGGGACCCTGGAGTCCCTGGTTCGAGCCCACAGTGCACCTCGGGCTGCTAGGTGTACCCCAAGGCAGACAGAAGGGCCATGAGGGGAAGGTGAGGTTTGAGGGAGGAGAGGTGAGGCACCTGTGGCAGGAAGGAAAAAAAAAACCGAGCCACGGAGAAGCAGGGCATGGGCCCCCACAGACGAAAGTGCCTTCCCATCAGGCCCTGTGCTGAGCCCCGTGGACCCTGGCGACCTTGGCTCAAACCCAGGGTGTGCCTTGGGCCGCTAGGGGTACCCCAAGGCAGGTAGAAAGCCCATGAGGGGAGGTTGAGGTTTGAGGGAGGAGCGGTGAGGTACCTGTGGCAAGAAAAAAAAAAACCGCGCCGCTGAGAAGCGCGGCCTGGGTCCGCCACAGACGAAAGTGTCTTCCCATCAGCCCTTGCGCTGGGCGTCAGGGAACCTGATGACTCTGGTTCGAGCCCAGGGTGCGCCTCGCTCCACTAGGAGTACCCCAAAGCAGGCAGATGGCCCATGAGGGGAAGGTGAGGTACCTGGGGCAGCCGAAAGAAAAAGAATATGCGCCGCGGAGAAGCGGTGCCTGGGCTCCCATGGAAGAAAGTATCTTCCCATCAGCCCTTGCACTGGGCCCCAGGGACCCTGGCGTCCCTGGTTCGACCCCAGGGTTCGCCTCGGGCCGCTAGGGGTACCCCAAGGCAGGCAGAAGGCCCATGAGGCGAAGGTGAGGTTTGAGGGAGGAGAGGTGAGGCACCTGTGGCAGAAAAAAGAAAAAAAAAAAATGCGCCACGGAGAGGGGGGTCCTGGGACCCCCACAGACAAAAGCGCCTTACCATTAGCCCCTGCGCTTGGCCCCGTGGACCCTGGTGACCCTGGTTCGAACGCAGTGTGCGCCTCGGGCCGCTAGCAGTACCCCAAAGTGGGCAGAAGCCCATGAAGGGAAGGTGAGGCACCTGGAGCGGAGGAAAAAAAAAAAACCTCTCGACGGAGAAGGGAGGCCTGGGTTTCCCATGGAAGAAAGTGCCTTCCCATCAGATGCTGTGCTGGGCCCCAGGGACCCTGGCTTCCCTGGTTTGAGCCCAGGGTGCGCCTCGGACCTCTGGGGGTACCCCAAGGTGGACAGAAAGCCCATGAGGGGAAGGTGAGGCACCTGTGGCAGAAAAAAAAAAACGCGCCGCAGTGAAGCGGGGCCTGGGTCCCCCACTGACGAAAGTGCCTTCCCATCAGGCCTTGCGCTGGACCTCGTGGTGCGACCCTGGTTCGAGCGCAGGGTGCGAATAGGGCCCGCTAGGGGTACCCCAAAGCGGGCAAAAGGCCCATTAGAGGAAGGTGAGGCACCCGGGCAGAGAAAAAAAACCGCGCCACTGAGAAACGGGGCCTGGGTCTTCCACGAACGAAAGTGTCTTCCCATCAGCGCCTGTGCTGGGCCGCAGGGACCCTGGCGTCCCTGGTTCAGCCACAGGGTGTGCCTCGGGCCGCTAGCGGTACCTCTAGGCGGGCAGAGGGCTCATGAGGGGAAGGTGAGGTTTGAGGGAGGAGAGGTGAGGCACCTGCGGCAGAAAAAAAAAAAGCTCACCTCGGAGAAGTGGGCCCTGGGTTCCCCACGGACAAAAGTCCCTTCCCATCAGCACTGCGCTGGGCCCCGGGGACACTAGCATCCCTGGCTCGAAACCAGGGTGAGCCTCGGGCCCGCTAGGGGTACCCAAAGGCGGGCAGAAAGCCCATGAAGGGAAGGTGAGGCACCTGGGGAAGAGAAAAAAAAAAAAAAAAACAACCCTGCAGAGGAGCAGAGCTTGGGTCCCCCACAGACGAAAGTGTCTTCGCATAAGCCCCTGAGCTGGGCCTGTGGAACCTGGTGTCCCTGGTTAGAGCCCAGGGTGCGCCTCGGCCTGCTAGGGGTACCCCAAGGCGGGCAGAAGGCCCATGAGGGGAAGGTGAGACACCTGGAGCACAGAAAAAAATTAAAAACCGCTCCGCCTAGAAGCGGGGCCTGGGTACCCCACGGAAGAAAGTGCCTTCCGATGAGCCCCTGCGCTGGGCCCTGGGGACACTGGCGTCCCTGGTTTGAACCCAGGGTGCACCTCGGGACTGCTAGGGTATCCCAACGTAGGCAGAAGGCCCCTGAGGGGAAGGTAAGGCACCTGGGGCAGAGAAAAAAAACCGCGCCGCCGAGAAGCGGGCCCTGGGTCCCCCACAGACGAAAGTGTCTTCCCATCAGCCCCTGCACTGGGCCCCAGGGACCCTGGCATCCCTGGTTCGAGCCCAGGGTGCGCTCGGGTCGCTAGGGGTACTCCAACGCAGGCAGAAAGCCCAGGAGTGGAAGGTGAGGTTTGAGGGAGGAAAGGTGAGGCACCTGGGGCAGAGGAAAAAAAAAAAACCGAACCACGGAGTAGCGGGGCCTGGGTCCCCCACGGATGAAAGTGCCTTCCCATCAGCCCCTGCGCTGGGCCCCGTCGACCCTGGCGACCCTCGTTCGAGCCCAGGGTGCGCCTTGGGCTCACTAGGGTTACCCAAAAGCGGGCAGAAGGCCCATGAGGGGAAGGTGAGGCACCTGAGGCAGAAAAAAAAAAAAAACTGTGCCGCGGAGAAGCGGGGCCTGGTTCCCCCACGGACGAAAGTGTCTTCCCATCAGCCCCTGAGCTGGGCCCAGGGGACCCTGGCACCCCTGGTTCAAGACAAGGGTGCGCTTCGGGCCTCTTGGGGTACCCCATGGCGGGCAGAAAGCCTATGAGGGGAAGCTGAGGTTTGAGGGAGGAGAGGTAAGGCACCTGAGGCAGAAAAGAAAAAAATAAAACCGCGCCACAGAGAAGCAGGGCCTGGGTACCCCACGGACGAAAGTGCCTTCTCATCAGCCCCTGCACTGGGCCCCGGGGACCCTGGCATCCCTGGCTGGAATCCAGGGTGCGCCTCTGGCCTGCTAGGGGTAACCCATAGCAGACAGAAGGCCCATGAGGGGAAGGTGAGTCACCTGGGGCAAATAAAAAAAAAAACTGCGCTGCGGAGAAGCGGGGCCTGGGTCCCCCATGGGTGAAAGTGTCGTCCCATCAACCCTTGCGCTGGGCCCCGGGGACCCTGGCGACCCTTATTCGAGCCCAGCTTGTGCCTCGAGCCGCTAGGGGTACCCCAAAGCGGGCAGAAGGCCCATGAGGTGAAGGTGAGGCACCTGGGGCAGAGAAAAAAAAAAAAGCGCCTCAGAGAAGAGGGGCCTGGGTCCCCCACGGAAGAAAGTGTCTCCCCATCAGCCCTTGCGCTGCGCCCCGGGGACCCTGGCATCCCTGGTTCGAGCCCAGGGTATGCCTCGGGCCGCTAGGGGTACCCCAAGGTGGACAGAAGGCCCATGAGGGGAAGGTGAGGCACCTGGGGCAGAGAAAAAAAAAAATGCGCCGCCGAGAAGTGAGGACTGGGTCCCCCACGGACGAAAGTGTATTCCCATGAACCCTTGTGCTGAGCCCCAGGGACGCTGGCACCCCTGGTTCGAGTCCACTGTGTGCCTAGGGTGGCTAGGGGTACCCCAAGTCGGACAGAAGGCCCATGAGGGGAAGTGAGGTTTCAGGGAGTAGAGGTGAGGCACCTGTGGCAGGTGTCCATCTGTAAACTGTTTATCCATGTGAGCCCTGATGTTCACCAGGGGCTGGATGTCCCCCTGGGGCTAGATGTTCGCCTGGAGCCTGGTGTCTACCTGGGGCCTGATATCCATGAGAGGTTTAGTTATCCACCTACGGCCATCTGGAGCCAGATGCCCACCTGAGGTCTGGTGTACACCTAAGGCCTGATATCTACCTGGGGCTTGGGTGTTCATGTGGGACCTGATGTCTACCTAAGACCGTGTGTTCACCTGGAGCCTGAGTGACCATCTGGGTTATGATGTTCAGCTGGGTCCCAGAGTTCAGCTGAGGACTGGGTCAACCTTCTGCTTGTTGCACACCTGGGGACTAGGTACCCACCTGGGCTCTGGTGTTCACTGGGGCCTGATGTCTATCTGGGGCCTTGTATTTACCTAGGACCAATGCATCCACCTGAGGTCTGAGTGCTCTCATGGAGCCTGGAGTTTTCCTGGGGCCTGGGGTCTGCCTTAGGCTTAAGTGTACATCTGTGGCCTCATGTCCACCTTGGGATGGATGTCCACCTGGGGATGGATATTCAATAGGGGCCTGAGTGTCCACTTAGTTTGTGATGTCTACCTGGGGCCTGGTGTTCATCTGAGGTTTGATATCCACCTGGGGCCTGGACATTTGCCTGGAACCTGATGTACAGCTGGTGGCTGAAGTTCATCTATGCCTGGTGTCCCCCTGGGGCCAGGTAGTCAACACAGGGCCTGAAGACCTTCTAGAGTTCAGTGTTCACCTGTGGCCTGAAGTCCACCTAGGGCTTGGGTGTCCAAATAGGGCCTGGTGTCAGCTTGAGATTTGTGTATTTTCCTAGGGACTGGTTGTCCACTTGGGGCTTGATTTTTTACTTGGTTTTTGTGTTAATTTGGGGTCTAGTGTCCACCTGGGGCCTAGGTATCCACCTAGGGACTATTGTCCAGCTGGAGACTAATGACTACCTATGGCCTGGTAATCACCTAAGGCTTTGTTTCACTTAGGTACTTGGTGCCAAACTGTTGCCTGCTGTTCACCTGGGGTATGGTGTCCACCTGGGGTCTGGATGTCAGTCTGGAGCTTGTTGTATACATGTATCTTAGATATCCAGATAGGGGTTTATTTTCTGCTTAGGTGCAGCAGTCCATCTGGTGCTTGAGTGTCAACCTAAGGCCTGATGTCTATGTTGGACCTTGGGTTCACCCTGAGGCCTGATATCCACCTGGGGACTCAATGTCCAAATGGGGCCTGATGCCCATCTGGGCCCTTGTTGTCCACCTGCAGCATGGATGTCCACTGGTACTTTATGTCCACCAGGGGCCTAATGTCCACCTAAGTCCTGGTGTTCACCTGGGGTCTGATGTTCAGCTGAAGACCGGATGTCCACTTGGAGCCGAGGAATCCACCCAGGGACTGGTGTTGAACTGGGGCCTGATGACCACCCGGGGACAAGGTACACATCAGGCTTGATGTCCACCTGTCACCAGATGTCCACCTGAGTCCTGATGTCCATCTTGATCCTGGGTGTCCACTTTAGGCCTGATGTCCAGCTGGGGCATAGGTGCCCACTGGGGGCTTCCTGTTAACCTGGGGACTGGTGTCATTCTGGGGCCTAATGACCACATGGGTTGTGTTATTCACCTAGGGCCTGGTGTCCACTTGGGGCTTGAGTGTAACCCTGGACCTGGCACCCACACAGGACTTGGGTATCAAACTGGCCCCTTGGTGTCCAGTTAAGACATCATGTGAACCTGGCGCCTGAGTGTCCACATGGGGCCAAATGACTACTGGGGGCCTGAATGACAACCTAGAATCTGAGGTTTACTAGGGGCCTAGGTAACCACCTGGGGCCCAATGTCCACCTGAGCCTGGGTGTCAACCTGGGGCCTGGTGTAAACCTCTAGTTCAGTGTCCACCTTGGGCTTAATGTCAACCTGGAGCCTGATGTCCACCTGAGTACTGATGTTCACCTTTGACCTGATGTCCACCTGTGGACTGTTTATCCACCCATGGTCTGTTGTTCACCTGGGGCTGAATGTCCAGCTGTGACCTGTTGTGCACCTGGAACCTAGGCATCCACCTGCAGCCTGATGTTCAGCTGGGCTGGGACCCGGAGTTCACCTGAGGCATGATGTCCACCTGAAGGTTGATGTTCACCTGGGGGCTGGGTGTCCACGTGGGGCCCAATATCCACCTGGAGACTAGGTACCACCTGGGATATGGTGTTCACTCAAGATTGGTGTTCAGCTGTGGCCTAATGACCACCTGGGTCATGGTGTCTACCTTGGACTGGGTGCTTACCTGGAGCCAGTGTTCACTGGGGACCTAGTGTGCACCTGAGACCAGGGGATGTACCTGGAGCCTGGTGTCTACCTGGTGCCTAGGTATCCACTTGGGGCCTAATGTTCATCTGGAATCTGGTATCCACCTGGGGCCTTGTAATTACCTGGGGTGTGGGCATCCACCTAGGGCTTGAGTATCCTCCTGGGGCCTTGAGTTTTACTGGGGACTCATGTCTGCCTTGGACCTGGGTGTACATCTGTGGCCTAATGTACACCTTGAGAGTGATGTCAACCTGGGGACAGATGTCCTCTTGGGGTCTGAGTGTACACCTGGTGTCTGATGTCTGCCTGGGGACTTGTGTTCACCTGAGACCTGATGATATTCACCTGGGGACTGGGCGTCCATGAGGGGCTGATGTTCAGCTGGAGACTGGATATCCACCTGGGGCTTAAGGATCCACCCAGAAACTGATGTCAAACTGGGGCCTGATGCCTACCTGCGGACTAGGTATCCATGTGAGGCTTGATGTTCATCCGCAGCCAGACGTCCATCTGATGCTTGATGTCCACCTTAGTCCTGGGTGTCTACTGGAGACTTCATGTCCAACTAGAGCTTAGGAACCTACTGGGGGCCTCGTGTAAACCTGGGGACTGGTATGCAGCTGGGTCCCAATGATCCCCTGGGTCATATTATTCACCTAGGGCCTGGTGTCCACTTGGGGCTTGAATGACAACCTTAGGTCTTGTGTTCATATTTGACGTGGTGTCCACCTGGGACTTGGTTATCAACCTGAGGACTTGGTGTCCAATTGAGGTGTCATGACCACCTGGGGATTGAATGTCAATCTGGGGTCTGATGTAAGCCTCTAGTTCAGTATCCACCTGGGGCCAGATGTCTTCCTAGAGACTTATATTCTCTTTTGACCTGATGTCCACTTGGGGACTTGCTATCCATCTATGGTCTGATATTCACCTGGGGACAGATGTCCAACTGTGGCCAGAAGTGCACCTGGGGTCTGGGCTTCCACCTGGAGCCTGATGTTTAGCTGGGGCTAGAGTTTACATGGAGAACGATGTCCACCTGAAGTTTGATGTTTACCCGGGGCCTGATACCTGCCTGGTGCCCAAGTATTCTCATGTGCCTAATGTCCACTAGTTGGCCTGGTGTTCATCTGAGGGCTTGGAGTCAACCAGTGGCTTTATGTACAACTGGATTCTAGTGTCCTCCTGGGGACTTATGCTTACCAGGAGTCTGGTGTACCCCTGGGGTCTAGTATCCACCTGGAGTCTGGGTGTCCACCTGAGCCTAATGTTGAGCTTAGACTGAGTGTCAGCCTGAGGCCTGATGTCTACTTAGGGCATAGGTATTCAGCTGGGGACTAATGTCAACCTTGAGCCTAGGTATCCACCTGGGGAATAGTGTCCAGTTGCAGCCAGATGTCCACCTATGGCCTGAAGCATGGTTGTTATCCTAAGGTCTTGTATTAGTCCATTTTCACACTGTTATAAAAAACTACCTGATATTGGGCAACTTATGATGAAAAGAGGTTTAACTGACCCACAGTTCTTCAGGCTTAATAGGGAGCATGACTGGGTGGGCCCGGGACACTTACAATCATGATATAAAGCCAAGAGCAAGCAAGCCCTTTTTACCATGGGGGAGGAGGAGGGAGAGAGAAGGGGGATGTGCTACACACTTTCAAATAACCAGATCTCATAAGAAGTCTATCACGAGAACAGCAAGTGGGAAGACTGCCCCCATGATTCAATCACCTCTCACCACACCCCTTCTTCAACCCATGGGGATTACGATTCAACATGAGATTTGGGTGGAGACATAGAGCCAATATCAGGCCTGATGCCCGCCTGGAGTTGTGTCTACCTGAGTCCTAATGTAGACATGACACCTGGGCATCCACCTAGGACCTCATGTTAAGATAGGGGCTGGAGTTCTTTCGGTGTCCAGGGTATACCTGGGGCCCAGACGTATAACTAGAGCCTGATTTTCAGATGGAAACTTGCGCCCCAAGTGCTCATCAGATCCTAGGTGAAAATTCAGGTTTCAAGTGCACATCAGACTCCAAGTGGACACATGGGCCCCAGGTTGATACCAAGATTTCAGGTAGACTCTGGGTCCCAGAAAAACACCCCACCCTAAGTGGACAGCTGAACCTGAGTAGACATCAGGCCCCAGATCAACATCTGGCCCCAGGTAGATTCCTAGGCCCAAGGTGAATACTCAGTCTCCAGCCCTAGGGGAATTCAGTCTTAGATGACTAAGGACTGGTTTTCCTCTGGGGTCTCATGTCCACCTGGGCGCTGGGAGTGCACAAGGAGCCAGATGTCTATAAAGGGCCTGAGTGTCCACTAGGGCCTGAGGTTCACTAGGAGCATAGACATCCACCTAGGACCTCGTGTCCACCTGAAACCTGGTGTTCACCTGGGGCCTGGGTGACAACCTGGGATCTGATGTTCACCTGAGGCCCAGAGTTCAGCTGGTGCCTATGTCAGCCTGGCACCTGATGCACACGGGAGGACTAGGTGCCCACCTGAGGACTGGTGTTCATGGGGAACTGGTGTTCAGCTGTGGCTTGATGACCAACTAGGTCCTGGTGTCCTCCTGGCACCTGATGTCCACCTGGGACTGCAGGCTTACCCAGGGCCTGGTGTTCCCCTGGGTCCTGGTGTGCCCCTGAGACCTGGGGTCCACCTGGGCCTAGTATCCACTTAGGGCCTCATATCCATCTGGAACATCATGTCCACTTGGGGCCTTTTAGTTACCTAGGGACTGGGTGTCCTTCTGGCGCTTGAGTGTCCTCCTGGGGCCTGGGGTTCTCCTGGGGCCTGGGTGTACATCTCTGGCCTGATGTCCACCTTGGGATGGATGTCCATCTGGGAACAGATGTTCACTTGTGGCCTGAGTGTCCATCTTGTGTCTAATGTCTACCTGGGATCTGGTGTTTGCCTGAGGCCTTATATCCACCTGGGGCCTGGGCATCCATTTGAGGTCTGATGTCTACCTAAGACCCGGTGTTTAACTGGGGCACAGACTTCTTCCTGGAGCCCGACGTTCATATTTAGCCTGAAGTTCACCTACGCCTGTTGTCTACCTGTGGCCTATGTGTCAACCTAGGGCCTGATGACCACCCTGAGTTCAGTGTTCACCTGGGGCCTGACATCTGCCTGGAGTCTGGGTGCCCACATAGGGCCTGATATTGGCTTGGGACCAAAGTATTTACCTAGGGCCTGGGTGTCTACTTAGAGCCTGACTTCTACATGGTTCATTGTGTCAACCTGGGGCCTGATGTCCACTTAGGGCTTAAGTAAGCTCCTTATGACTAAAGTCCACACAGGGGCTGAAACCATCTCAGACCTTGTGTTAATCTAGGGCTTAGTGTCCACCTGAGGCCTGCCTGGGACCTGGAGACCTCCTGGGGTCAAGCTATCCACCTTGGGCCTGATGACCAATTGGGGCTTAAGGATCTACTTAGAGACTGGTGTCAACCTGCAACCTGATGTCCACTTGGAGTCTGGTGTACACCTTGGGCCTGATGCCCACCTTGGCACAGGTGTACACTTTGGGCCTAGTGTGCACTGAAGCCTGGGTGTCAACCTGGGTCTTGATGCACACCTTTAGTCAAGTGTTTAACTGGGGCCTGATGAAATACTGGAGCCCGATTTACACTTGTGTACTGAGTCTCCACCTGGGGCCTGAAGTCTTCCTGCAGCCAGATATCCACCTGGCACCAGATGTCTACAAGGAATCTGGGTGTCCACCTTGAAAATGATGTATTCCAAGAGACTAGGCATGCACGTTGGGCCTGGGGTCCACCTGGGGCCTGATGTCCTCCTGCAGGCAGATATCCACCTGGCACCAGATGTCTACAAGGAATCTGGGTGTCCACCTTGAAAATGATGTATTCCAAGAGACTAGGCATGCACATTGGGCCTGGGGTCCACCTGGGTCCTGATGTCTACCTGAGGCTGGTATTGAACTGGGGCCTGTGTGTTCACTTGGAGCCTGATATCCATTTGGAAACTGGTGTTCACCTAGAACATGGGTATCCACCTGGATCCTGATTTTCAGGTGGGGAGTGGATATAGACCTGGGACCTGATGGCCACCTATGCTATAAGTAACCCAACCACCTGGGGCCTGGTGTTCACCTGCGGCCTGATATCCACCTGGCACCTGTGTGTCAATCTAGTGCCTGGTGTCCACTTGAGGACTAGGTAGACACCTGGGGCTTTGTGTTCACCAGGGGCCTGGTGTTCATCTTGCACCCAGTGTCCACCTGGACCCTGTGTATCAACCTGTGGCCTAGGTGGCCACTGTAGCTTTATGTGCACCTGGGGCCTGAGAGTTTCCTAGGATCTGATGACCACTGGGGCCCAGGTATCCACCTGGGACATCAGGCTCCAAGTGTATATCCAGGCTCCATGTGGACACCAGGCCAGGAGAACGCCAGCCCTTATCTGAATATCAGGTCCTAGATGGATGCCCAGGCCCCATGTGTACATCAGGCCCCGGGTATACACTGGACTCCAGGTGGACATCACACTCAATTGGATACACACACTCAAGGTGGACACCAGGCCCCACGTGAATTCATACACTCCAGGTGAACATCAGGTCCCAAGTGGATACCTGGACACCAGGTGTATACCAGTCTCTAAATTAATACCAGGCCTCAGAAGGTCCTTAGGAGCCATGTGGGCATTAGTCATCAAGAAGTTACCTAGGCCCAAAGTGCACATCAGGCCACCTGTTGACACAAGATCTATTTGGAAGTCAGGCCCCAGGTGGACACCCAGGCCCTAGGTAAATACTTAGGTCCCAGGTTGACAGCAGGCCCTATGTTAACACTCAGAACTCAGGTGGACATCAGGCCTCAGGTGGACATCTGAGTTTATCTGGAACCTCGTGTTACAGGCCCCATGTAAACAACAGGCCTTAGGTGGATACCCAATCTCTAAGTGGACATCAGAGCTCAGATTGACACAAAGACTCCAGTAGACATAATGTACCAATGAATATCCAGGCCTCCGGTAAATACCCAGGCCCCAGATTGACATCGGGGTCTATGTGGACACACAGGCCCCAGGTAGTAAACAGGCCCAAGGTGGACACTGGACTGGACATCAGGTCCTAGGTTGACAACCATGCTTCAAGTTGACACCAGGCCCCAAGTGAACATCTGGTCCCAGCTGGACACTAGTCTCCTGGTGAATACCTGGGCTCAAGGTTGACATCAGACCCCATGTGAACACTAGACCCCAGCTAAACACTTATGCCCTAAGTGGACATCAGGCCTCAGGTGGTTACCCAGTCCCAAGGTGAACATAAGACCCTGATGGGCACCAGTTATCAAGTGGATTCCCAGGCCCCAGGTGAATATCAAGTCCTAGGTGGATACCAGGCCCCAAGTGGATACCAGGATCCTGGTAGACATCAGGTCCCAAGAGGACACTAGAACCCAGGAGTACATTAGACTCAGCACTCAGATGAACATTAGGCTTCAGGTGGACATCGTGCCTCAGTTGAACTCCAGGCCCCAGATGAACATCAGGCCCCAGGTGGATGCCCAGGATCCGGGTGCACATCTGGCCACAGTTGGACATTCAACCCCAGGTGACCATCAGGCCATGGGTGAATACACGGTTTCCAGGTAGATTTCAGATCAAAGGTGAACATCAGTCCCCCAGTGGACATCAGGCCCAAGATGGGCACTGAACTAGAGGTTTACATCAGGCCACATGTTGACACCTAGTCCCAGGTGGACATCAGGCCCCAGCTGGATACCTAGGCTTCCAGTGAATTTCAGAACCCAGGTTGACATTCAGGTCCCCAGTGGTCATCTGGCCTCATGCGAACACTCAGACCCCAGGTGCAAATGATGTCTCAACTGGATACCAAACCCCTAGTTTGATACACAAGGCCCAGGTGGACACCAGGTCTAAGGCTGACACTCAAGCCCTAAGTGAATACCAAACTCTAGGTGAATAATTCAACCCAGGTGGTCATTAGGACGTAGCTGGATACCAGTCCCCAGGTTAACACAAAGCCCCCGGTGGGCACCTAGGCACCAGCTGGACATCAGGCCCTATGTAAACACCCAGGTCTCAGGTGAACACCATGCCCCAGGTGGACATCAGGCCCTAGGTGGACACGGGGCCACAGGTGGACATCTAGCCGCTGGGCAACATCCAGCCCCAGGCGGACATAACCGTTTCCATGGATAAACCATTCCCAGGTGGATAGCAGGCCTCAAGAGGATGGCAGTCACCAGGTAGACATCAGGCCTCAGATAGACACCAAGTTCCCAGATGTACAGCAGGCCCCAACCGAACCCCAGACTCATGTGGACATCAGGGCACAGGTAGACACCAAGACTTAGGTAGACACCTAACTTCAAGTAGACATCAGACCCAAGGTGGACACCCAGTCCCCAGGTGGACAATCAGGCCCCAGGCCCACATCAGGCCTTAAGTGGACACCCAGGCCCCAGGTTGATATCCAGCTCCCAGGTGATCACCAAGCCCCAGGTAGACACCAGGCCGTAGGTGAGCAACAGGATGCAGTAGATCATCAGGCCACAGCTGGATACCAGTCCCCGGTGAACACAAGGCCCCAGTGGGACACAGAACTAAGGCAGACATCAGGCCCCAGGTGGACATACAGGCCTGAGGTGGAATTCACCCTGAGGGGGACATTCAGCCCCAGGTACGCATCAGTCCTCAGGTGAATAACCAATCCCCAGCTGGACATTAGCCCACAGGTCAACCACAGTACCCAGGTTGATGCCTGGTCCCCCGGTGGCTACCCAATCTGCAGGGTAACATTAGGCCCCTGTAGGTTCCGAGGCCCCAAGTGGATTCCTAGGCCCCTGGTGAACATCAGGTGCAGGTGTCCAAGCAGGCCCTGGGTGGACATAACTGTGTACAGGTAAGGAGTTGACCTGTGGGGAAGGTGAGCAGTCAGCAGCCCACTGGGGTCCTGAGTAGGTCTTCTGGAAGGAGGAGGCCAAGGGGACAGAGCCTTAAAGAAGTGACCTCACTTCCTTGGCAACAGACCCTAACAGAACTTAGAATTCTGGTAACCAGGCCAGACACGGTGGCTCACACCTGTAATCCCAGCACTTTGGGAGGCTGAGGCAGGAGGATCATGAAATCAGGAGATCGAGACCAGCCTGACCAACATGGTAAAACCACGTGTCTACTAAAAATACAAAAAACAAACAAGGTCAGGAGATCGAGACAATACTGGCTAACACAGTGAAACCCCATTTTTACTAAAAATACAAAAATTAGCCAGGCATAGTGGCAGGTGCCTGTAGTCCCAGCTACTCTGTAGGCTGAGGCAGAAGAATGGCATGAACCCAGGACACGGAGCTTGAAGTGAGCCAAGATCGCGCCACTGCACTCCATCCAGCCTGGGAGACAGAGCGAGACTGTCTCAAAAAACAAAAACAAAAACAAAAAAACAACTAGCCAGGTGTGGTGGTGGTGGTGCATATCTTGTGCCTGTAATCCCAGCTACTCAGGAGACTGAGGCAGGAGAATTGATTGAACCCGGTAGGCGGATGTTGCAGTGAGCTGAGATCATGAAACTGCACTCCAGCCTGGCCAACAGAATGAGACTATGTCTCAAAAAAAAAAAAAAAAAAAAAGAATCCTGATAACCAGGCACCCACATCCTAGAGTTAGCCCCATAGACAGCTCACTTGGTGGGAGATGCTCAAGAGAGCAAGATGTTCTTGTGCTGCATCCCCACATCTCAAGGCTCCTGCTTCAGGAATGGCAGGAGTGAGAATCTTTCTTTTCTGACAATGCCCTTGTAGGCTCATCCCTCACCCCAGATGCCTCTGGCCATTTAGCAGAAGGTGCCCCCAGGTACCACAGGACAGGAGTCACCAGGTAGACATCAGGCCCCAGATGGAGCTACCAGGCCAGGCCTCACCAGTGATCCCACCAGGGTCACATCTGCACATTGTCCTTGTCCAGCTGGAGCCTCTGGAGCTCATTGAGACACAGACACATGCTGAGGTCACCTGCAGTCTGGAAGTCTTTCCAGGGACAATGTTTTCAGGCTGAAATTCCTTTAAATTCAGTGAGGTCGTTTTCAGGTTTGGAAATTCCAGTGGAAAGTGAGTGATATTGGTGACCTCTCTCCTTTTTCAGTTCCTGCTTCAGGTGCAGAAATACAGCTATTTCCAGTGCCAGCTGTTGAGCCAGTGCCAGCACCAGGGTCAAAGCCCCCTCCAGGGACAGCGCTGGAGCTAGAGGAGGCTCCAGAGCCCTCCTGCCATTGCCCTGGGACTGCCCAGAACCAGCCCAGTGAGAAGCTGCCTGACTTCATGGCACCTCATGTACAGCCACCGGCCTCAGCCCTGGAGCTGAAAGTGTGGCAGGAGCTAGAGGTGGCAGAGAGGGGGTGACAAGCACAGCTCCAGCCAGCAGCTCCCACACTGCTCCCAGTCCTGGGCACAGTGGAAGCTATGGAGGCAGAGACCAGGGTGTGCAGCCTGGGCTCCTCTGCCTCACTGGAGAGGGACTTCTCTCATTCAGCAGAGCAGCAGCCCTGCTGCTGAAGAGCCTGCTGCTACTGCTGCTGGAGGTGTTTGCCTGCCTACAGGAGGTGCTGGAGAGCAAGAAAAGGAGCCTGTGAGCAGGGGTTCCAGCAGGTCCTCCTGCTCCCAGAGGTGACCTCCTCCTCCAGGCATGGAGATTTGCCCTCACCTAGGCATCTGGGCCATTTGCCTCTAATGTTCTGCCCAGGATGGCCTCTTCTTGACAGGCAGACAGGGGTTGAGGGGGCCAGGGGGCATCTCCAAAGGAAGATTTAAACTCAGCATCTGCACCCCAGAATCTCCATGCCTGCACCTGCCCAAGGATTTATTCATAGCTTAACTAAGAATCTCAAATTTCTACCATAACACTGAAATAAAGTTTGACTTTTTGAAACTTCCATGACTTCTTTCACTCCCTAATATTGTAGATAATGTTTTTAAGGTGACATTGAAAACCTCTGATAGTTGTGTGTTTTGTTATGGCTCTTTGTGTGATTAAATTACGATCTGATCAAGTGATATTGAAAACCCTTCAGGTATGGCTTTTAGAAGAATTTGACCTATTTTTGCTCTTGTTGACTCTCCCTCCAGCTTTGTGGAAAAAGGGATCATGTAGTTTCATTTCTCAGGCAGATCAGTCACCTTTTGCCATCAAAGTTTTAGCATCCATTTCCAAAATTTGGTGTACAAGTTGATATTTTGGTGTATTTAGCTAATCTGGGGTCAAAACAGAATGCCATAGATGAGGAAGCTTATAAACCAATTTGTTTCTTTCAGTTTTGGAGATGGCAAAATTCAAGGTCAAGTGGTTAGCAGATTCCATGTCTGGTGTGGGCTTGCTTTGTGGTTCACAGACAGCCATGTTTCTACCATGTCCTCACATGACAGAAGGGATGAGGGAGCTCTCTATGGTGCCTTCAATAGGGGCTGCTAATCCCACTCCTGTGGCCCCTGCCTTCATGAGCTAATCATTCCCCAAGGCCCTACCTCCAAATGTCATCACATAGGGAATTAGATATCAGCACTTGAATTTGAGGGGGACAATGACATTTGGTCTATAGAATCAGGTTACCGAGAGGCTTATGCATTCAGAGGAAATCCAAAATCTTCTATAAGTATTCGCTGGTCCCCTCTGGGCTTAGGGAAACCTTTAATTGCAGCTCTTGATTCAGCTTGGTCCAAGCTTAAATTCTACTTTTGCCTGCATAACTTGTTCATGAGACAGAGGAAAGTTTAGAGGCGACTGACCATTTGGAGTTTTAAGACAATTGATGGAAGAGGGCTTGGCATATGGATGAGAAGTGGAGAGAGAATAGAACAAAGGCACAGAAGGAGAGAGCACAGTGAGAAAAGGAAAGAGAGACATCTGGACATAAGGGCCAACTGGAGGGCAGGGAAGGTAATTTTCCTTGCATTTTAAACTCAGACCACATATCACATCAGAATCACCTGAGGGAGACATTTTCAAAGCATATTCCTGGGTTTCTTCTCTTGGAAATTTTTATTTCTTAAATCTTGAGTTGTGCTGATTTATCCATATTTATCATAAGAATTTTGGATAATTCCTACTTTGGGAGGCCCCGGCAGTGGATCACTTGAGGTCAGGAATTCAAAACCAGCCTGGCCAACATGGTGAAACTTCATCTCTACTAAAAATACAAAAATTAGCCAGGCATGGTGGTACATGCCTGTAGTCCCAGCTACTTGGGAGGCTGAGGCAGGAGAATCACTTGAATCAGGGAGGCAGAGATGACAGTGAGCTGAGATCACGCCACTGCACTCCAGCCTGGGCAACAGTAAGACTCCATCTCAAAAAAAAAAAAAAAAAGACTTGTGGATAATTCTGATGCAATTAGAAAACAAAGCAGAGCTTGACAACCACTGGGTTGGAAAGTATATCAGGAAGACATTTGATTATGTAAAATAACTGCAAAACAAACTGAAGGGGAATTATTTTAAAATGCTTGAATATAATTATATAATTCAATTCTTCCTATGTATGTAGTTTGACCACATATTTGATGTCTGCTATACTAAGATTGGAAATGTGTAGAAGTTTTTGTTGGAGAGTTGTCCTCCACTCATGCTCAGCAGAGGACAGAGGAGACGGCTTCCCGACAGAGTGCTCG
Organism: Homo sapiens; assembly: GCF_000001405.40. Lineage (NCBI taxonomy): Eukaryota > Metazoa > Chordata > Mammalia > Primates > Hominidae > Homo > Homo sapiens. Next base: position 11,083,536 of record NC_000024.10, on the reverse strand, counting down.
TGGAGGGTGCTCCCCGGACGTGGTCTGCACTGGGTCCTGAGAAGTTGGTAGGGCTGGACTGTGAGATCAGCCGGGAAGTGTTCCAGGAGGTAGGCCCGAGGATGAGAAGTGTCTCTGCTCCTGAGAAAAGGTTACATGACAACGCCACATAAAAGATGTTGCCAGTTCTCAACCTTGGCTGAGCCCCTGTTTCACTTGGGTGTATTTCAAGGTGAATGATTCCCAGGTCCCCAGGCAACCCCTGGCATCCAAATCTCAACGGCTGAGAAGTTCCCAGGAGGAAGATTTCTGGGATGAATGATCTCCCTTTCTGGGATTTGACCAGGATTCACAGAGAGAAGCGAGAACAGCCTTCCCACCTGGTGTTTGGGCTTCATTCTTCATGCTTTAGGGGCCTTGAGGCTGTGGGGCTGCTGCACAGCATAGCATCCTAGGAGCAGGATACACTAAGGACAGGCACACACAGCTGGGGGCAGCTCCCACGGAGGCCTGCAAGATATTCTCTCACCATGAGGTTAGCGTGATAGTTTAAAATGCTCCAGATGGGAAAAATGTTTCTTCTTAAGGAAACAAGACAAGGCTGGGAGTGGTGGCTCACGCCTGTAATGCCAGCACTTTGGGAGGTCAAGGCGGGTGGATGGCTTGAGATCAGGAGTTCGAGACCAGCCTGACAAACATGATGAGAACCCCGTCTCTACTAAAAATACAAAATTAGCTGGGTGTGGTGGCACATGCCTGTAATCCCAGCTTCTTGGGAGGCTGAGGCAACAGAATCACTTGAACCCGGGAGGTGGAGTTTGCCGTGAACCGAGATTATGCCACTACACTCCAGCCTGGTCGACACAGTGAGACTCCATCTCAAAAAAAAAAAATGAAGACAAGAAAATTAAAGTTAAGATTGCAAAGGACAGCTGGGTTCCCACAAACATTGGAATAATAGGAATTAAAGGAACCCACCTCCGGCTTAAATACTGTCATTACAGATGATGGCAGGATGGAGTAGCTACAGTCCCACTCATGGTGGAGTCAAGGCCGTCCCCAAGCAGGTGATTGGAAAGTGCCCTTCAGACTCAAGGACTTGGCATCTCTCCTAGGCCCCCAACAGATAGATGCCTGAGGCCGGCTTTTGATGGAATTGGGTGCGGCACAGAAAGCTGTCGAGAGTTCTTACCCTTGATTTGAAATCTGTTTAGTTTACAAGCACATCTGTACACTAAATATGTTTAGTAACAGGCACATCTTAGTTTACCAGTGACATTTCATCGCTCCATAGAGGTCTCAGAGCTGTGTGATTTTGTTGTGTGATGTTCCCAGTTCCTAGGCACAGTAATTTAACTTAGTTTCTGGTAACCCATAGTTTAGAAGGTGCAGCAGCTGTCATGAGGCCCTTTTGTGAATTGGAGGTGTCTTAGGTGGGTCACCCTGCGGTCAGCCCCTCACTGGGGACACTGGGGCCTGCTGGGTTATTCTGTGGCTGCTCTGGTGTTAGGTCTGGAGCTGGAATAGAACCTGGTCATGCTTCTGTCTTCTCTGCAGTAGCCTAGGTTGCTGGGTCTGTTTAATGCCAAAGCCCCTCTGCCTAGACAGACACTGCTGAGATGCAATGTGCTGTGATATTTAATCTTCAAAGGCCAGTTAATCTCCCAGCCCTCTACTGCCAGGTACTGGGATTTTAAGAACTTGGCTTGTACTTGGGGATGATTTTAGTGGCTAGTCTCGACTGCCACACCCCTCCCTTACATTCACAACCCAGGAGCCAGAACTCTCCAGATGGACCCAAGCCAATCACGGGAGGCTGAGGAACAAACACAGGGCACCTGAAAATTTGGAGGCCACTGGCATCTGGAAGGGTTGTATTTTGATTTTACATTTCCTTTTAGATCCTAAGTGCAACAGATTTGTTAGAGCAGACAGACTACAAACTAGGAACTGGATCAGTGGGAACTCTCTTGTACTATCAGCTCAGTTTCCTATAAACATAAACCTGCTCTAGAAAAATAAAACCTATTAATTTAGAAGTGCACAATAAAAAGCACGCATGTATAGATATTTTGCATTCTGCCTTCTGTCCTCCTCCAGCCTCCCTGTTGAAGAGGGTGTGTGATTTGCGTGAAAGATGGGGAGTGAATTGATTCAAATTTCACTCCTCTGAGACCTCTCACTGCAAAGATTTGGGGCAGTTTCCACTGAGCTCCTTTTTGCACAAGCAGACTATTTTTTGAAAATTGTCTGGAGAATCTTGAATTTGGATTGAGGGTGAGATGCCTCTCTTTCTGGCTGTGATGCACCAGGAGCTTATCTTCTAAGGCTCCTTATCTATCAGATAAGGGGAAGTCACAACGTCCTCCTATCACATTCTCCCGGGACTGACAAGAGATACTAAAATGTAGGCCTAGCTGGTAGGCTGACTTGCAGGAAGCCCTCAAGAAGCATCAGCTCTGCCTCCCTGCAGCAGCACAGCCTGCCATGTTCTCATCCACTGAGATCCCCCCACAAGCACATCTGTCCAGCTTCCAAAATGAACAGATTTGATATATCAAGGGCTTGCACTGGAAAGACCATTACAGGCAGACCCTGTGCCATGGTCATCTAATTTCTAAAGTTTTTATTTTTAGTTAAAAGCATTATAAACACAGAAAAGTAGAAAAACACAGTAATGACTCTATACCCACCGTCAGTATTAAACATTTTAAGATTTTGCTCTATGTGCATATTTGTTTCTATTCTGTATATATATATATGTGTATATATGTGTGTGTGTGTGTGTGTGTGTATGTATACATATTCGAGACAGAGTCTCACTCTGTTGCTCAGGCTGAAGTGCAGTGGTGCAATCTCAGCTCACTGCAAGCTCCGCCTCCCAGGTTCACGCCATTCTCCTGCCTCAGCCTCCCGAGTAGCTGAGACTAAAGGCACCCGCCACCACGCCCAGCTAATTTTTTTTGTATTTTTAGTAAAGACGGGGTTTCACCGTGTTAGTCAGGATGGTCTCAATCTCCTGACCTCGTGATCTGCCCGTCTTGGCCTCCCAAAGTGCTGGGATTACAGGTGTGAGCCACCACGCCCAGACTATATATATTTATTTATTTATTTTGAGATAACTGCCACTTGTTCTATCAGTTTTCCCTGTTTTAAAGCAGCAATCACTGTTTTGAAGTTGGGCTATAGATAGGGGAAGATAGCCATTGCCATCTATATTTTTAATTCATGTATGAAAGTGTTTAGATAAATGTATCTATTCTTTTGAAATTGACATTTCCCCATTTCACTGTCACATGCCAATGTATGTTACTTGATTTCTCTTTACTGTTCTATAATTTTACCTGGTATTACTATACAATCATTTACTTAGTTTCCTGTTGGTGGCTGCTACGGTTTGAACATGTTCCTCAAATTTCATGTGTTGGAAGCTTGATCCCCAAATTCATCTGTCGATTGGAGGTAGGGCCTTTGGGAGGTCACTGGGATTAAATAAGATCATCAGCATGGGGTCCCCATGATGGGACTTATGGCTTCAACAGAAGAGGAAGAGAGACCAGAGCTGACATGCATGATCTCACCCTCTCACCATGTGATGCCCTTTGCCGTGTCATGATGCAGCAAGAAGGTCCTCACCAGATGCCGCATCATGCTCTTGAGTTTCTCAGCATCCAGAGCTGTAAGAAATACACTTCTTTTCTTTATAAATAACCCAGCCTATGGTATCTTGTTATAGCAAGAAAAAGTAGAATAAGATAGTGGATTTAAGCTGTTTCCAGTTCATTGGTTAATTCACCAAGTGTCCATAGAGATCATGTGATGCTCCAGAACAAAAAGCAGAAAATGCTGCAGGGGTGTCTCATTCAGTGTAAAGAGAGGCTGTTGCAATGGCTTAGGGAGCCTCCATACTGTCTACCAGATTTGAGGATGCTGCCCTGCCTGTGGACAGACTGCAAAGACATTTCCTCCTGTGTCTAAGTAAATGCCAAAGAAAAATAGTCAACTCTGTGAAATATTTAAAGATGTTTATTCTGAGCAAACTATGAGTGACTACGGCCCATTTTATAGTCTCAGAGGTCTGAGAACATGTGCCCAAGGTAGTTGGGTTGCAGCTTGATTTTATACATTTTAGGGGGTAGAAGTTATAGGAAGACATCAATGAGTACATGTAAGGTGTACATTGGTTCAGTCCAAAAAGGTGGGACAACACAAAGTGGAGTCAGGGGAGGGTTTCCAGGTCATAGGTAGATTCTTAGAGATTTTCTGATTGGCAATTGGTTGAAAGAGTTGTTATTATGTAAAGACCTGGAATCAATAGAAAGGAATGTCTGGCTTGAGATAAGGGGTTGTGGAGACCAAGGTTCTTATTATGTGGTAGAAGATTCCAGGTAGCAGACTCAGAGAATAGAGGGTAAATGTCTCTTAACAGACCTAAAAAGATGCCAGCCTCTTAGTTAATCTCTCCTGGATCAGGAAGAGGCCTGGAAAGGTAAGGGGATTCTCTACAGAGTGTAAATTTTCCCCACAAGAGACAGCTTTGCAGGGCCATTTCAAAATATGTCAAAGAAATATATTTTGGTAAAAAAAATACGTTGTTTTCTTTCAGGACCTGCTGTCTATCATGTGATGCTATACTAGAGTCACGTTGGAATTTGGTATCTTATTGCTACAAAGAGTCCATTTTGTCCATCTTGAGATCTCTTGTTTTAATGTTAACGCTGGTCAGTTGTGCCTGAATTACAAAGGGAGGCACATATAATGAGGCATGTTCAATCCCCACTTCCCGTCATGCCTTGAACTAGTTTTTCAGTTTTACTTTGGAATGCCCTTGGCGAAGAGCGGCTGGGGGATCCTTTCAATTGGTGGTGGACTTAGAATTTTATTTGTGGTTAACAAAAGTAAACTTCTTAAAGAAGGCTGTCTGCAAACTTAGTTTTCAGTTTTGAAGCAACTGGTTTCTATTGGAAGCCATCTGCTTTGGAGGCAGACATGTCTCAGGAGGCTCAGCAGCCCAGGGATGAAGGCTGCCAACATAGACTGTCATTTAAGGTGTCATTGATGGAACTGAAATAACACAGCAGGGATTTTCCTGGTTTCTGCTGGGCTCTGGGGACAAAATGGCATATGTCAGAGTGGCCTTCTCAACTTTTTCCCCATCAACTCTGTTATGTTTTACACATGATGTTGTAGAAGGTGGGTATCTTGGGCAGCTCAGGCTATAACAGAATAGATAGGATGACTTAGCAGAAATTTATTTTCTGACCTTTCTGGAGGCTGGACCTCTGAGATCAAGGAGCTGGCTGATTCAGCTCCCAGTGAGGGACTGCTTCCTGGCTTGCAGAGGGTTACCTTCTGACTGTGTCCACACATGTTTGGTTGCAGGGAGATGGGAATGCGTGACCACACATGAACACACATGCTGGCTCTCTGATGTTTCTTCCTTTATAGGGATGCTAGTCCTATGAGATCAGGACCCCACCCTTGTAATCTCATAACCTGAATTACCTCTTAAAGGTCCTACCTCCAAATGCCATCACATTGGGGGTTAGGGCCTTAGCATACGAATTTTAGAGGAAGACAGTTCAGTTCATAGCAGTGAGAATTTGAGGGCTGCTTTAGTGGGGGATGACAGAGTCCCCAGGAGCCTCCAGAACAGTCCCACTTTGCATTCCCTTCCCCATCCTCAGACTGCATTTTCACTGTGGGCCTTGGCATTGCTTGTTTTCCTGGTACCTTTGGGATGTGTTCTCCCATGCCAACTAGCCCTTCAGGTGTCCCCTGTGATGGACTGTACCCATTTGCATCTGGAATTGTTTCTTTTTTGCCCTGTAGGAATTCTTCCCAGATTTTCCACAGCACTCTGTCCTATGTTGTAAAGGTCCCTTTCAGGTGTCTTCTTTTTTTTTTTTTTTTTCCTGCCACCCAGGCTGGAGTGCAATGGCACGATCTAAGCTCACTGCAACTTTCATCTCCTGGGTTCATGCGATTCTCCTGCCTCAGCCTCCCAAGTAGCCAGGACTACAGGTGTGCACCACCACGCCCAGCTAATTTTTTTGTATTTTCAGTAGAGACAGGGTTTTGCCATGTTGGCCAGGCTGGTCTCCTGACCTCAAGTGATCCACCCACCTCAGCCTCCCAAAGTGTTGGGATTACAGGCATGAGCCACCATGCCTGGCCTGAGGTGTCTTCTTACTGTTGTGTCTGATGGAAGTCTTAACTTTTACATTGTCCAATTTTTCTGTCCCTTCATGCCTTATACCCGATGCCTTGTAGAAAGAAACATCTTCTTTCTCTCCTTGTTTTATTCAGCAAATAACAGTTGAACATATTTGTCGCTGGCTAATTAATGGCTCCCAAAGATATTCAGGTCCTAGTCTCTGGTACCTCTGAATGTGCGACCTCATATGGCAAAATGAGATTTGCAGATGTGATGAAGTTAAGGATCTTGAGATGGGAGGAATTATCTTGAGTTATCCAGGTGGGCCCTGAATGTCATCACAAGGGTCATTATTTTTAAGAGGGACATTTGGCTGCAGAGATTTGGCTGCAGACGGTGATGTGAAGATGGAAGCCGAGATAGGAGTGACCCACTTTGAAACTGGAGGAAGGGGCCATGAATGGCAGAGTACAGGTCACCACCAACATCCGAGAAAGGCAGGGAAGTGGATTATTCCCCAGAATCTTGAGAAGGAGCCAGCTCTGACAACACCTTGCCTTTAGCCCAGTGGAATTCATTTAGGACTTCTGACCTCAGCATGATGAGAGTGCATTGCCACACATTTCTGTTGCTCTAACCCACTAAGTCTGTGTTATCTTCTTACACAGCAACAAAGCAGTATTTATTGAGCAGCCAGAATCCTGTCTTCAGGACCTTACATGAAGGCATTGCCTCTTACTTTTTCTTCTAGAGGTTTGTTGCGTTGCTTTTCATGTGACAGTAGTCAATGCTTCTGGAATGGATTTGCGTGTCTGGAGTGGTGTGGGGCTCTATTTCTCATCTTTTCCATATGAGTACCTGCTAGTGTCAGCCTCATAGGTTTATTAATTCTTCCCTTTCCCCCAACTCATATGGGAGTCTGATATTTACAAGCCCAAACTAAGGTTCTGTGCTTTTTAAATCCATCTATTTGTCTTTGTCTAAACCATACTGTTTTTATACTATAACTTTTTCTGGTAAGCCTCAGCAGTTGGTAGAATGAGTGTCCTCTTATTCTCCAGAGTTATCTTGGTTTTATCTGGCTCTCTGTCTTCTTTGAGCTTTAAGATCAGAGTGTTAAGTTCTACAAACAGTCCTATCAGGGTTTTATTAGAAGTTACATCAAGTTTATATTTTGTGGAGAATTTTCATCTTGAAGATATTAAAGCCTAATGTCCATGATCATTGTATAGCTCTTCATTTATTTGGGTCTACCTTCATTTATTTCTTTATTTCAAAAAGATAATGCTATGTAGTATTACTTTTCTCCATAAAGGTCTCACACATATTGTGTTAGATTTTTTTTTTAGTTGACTTTGGTTATTGTTGGTGGTATTATAGTGTTTTTTGAATGTTTTTCAATTGTTTATTGCTAATGTAACAATTCAGTTAACTTTTGTATATTCTTATCTTGCATTTTGCTGGACTTTTTTTCTACTAGTTTTATAGTTACACATTATTTAATTTGTCCCTAGATTTTCTTGGATTTTCTATTCACAGTAGCATATTATCTGAAAATAATGATTTCCCTGCTTTTAGTCCATAAACAGTGCATTCGGTTATCTGTTTGCTTACTTATTTTTGATGTTTGCACAGGATTTGAGTAGGTTCTCTGTTCGAGTTCAGGAAATTCTCTTCTATTCCCAGTTTTCCAAGACTTTGGTCATGACTGGGGGTGGTTTGTGTCCCCCCAGGCTGTCCGTGGCTGGGCCTCTTGTTCCTGCTGAACACAGGGCCTTGTTGGACCCACACTTAAGAGCTGCACACAGGGGCAGTGTCCCAGAAGGAGTTTGTTGACCTGTTGTCTTGATTGGTTTCCTTCTCTGTAGGTTGTCTCCCAGGAAGCCTTTTACCTTGGGCATGTCACTCCCTTTCTGGTCATGGTGAATGGTTTCTGCAGAACTGTGAGATGGGTAGGCCAGCATATCACAAATAGGCTAAGAGAGGGTTCATGCTAGCTGGCCAGAACCCCTTGAATTCTGCTGTAAGAGAATTGAAATGGAACCCTGTCACAAAATGAAGCCTTCTTTATAAATCACGTGCTCTTTACAGCAGCCGGACAGAAACCCACTGAGGCCCAATTAGAAAGCCAGACAGACTCTTCTCTCTGGCTTTTCTAGCAGAAGCTGAGAGACTGTTGGAGGCTGTGTTGAGTCTGGCCAAAGAAAGATAGTGCAGACCACATTAGTGGTGTGGTCACTGGTGCCACCGAGAAAACGGCACACTCCCACGTGAATGCTGAGGCATGGCAGAGAAATAGACTTACCTAATGAATGTACCATCTCACCAGTCTTTTGCAAGACCTGGACACCCCAATATCTTAATAGAACGCACCAGTGAGGCATTGCAATTCATCTAAGGGAGTGCTCTTAAGTGACGTATCATTTTAATTCAGGCATCTGATTTATTAGTAGTTTGTTTTCTGATTTGGGGATATTGGTTTTAGTATTAAGAGGAAGGTGTGAAGTAGCCGTTATATCCCAACAGCCCACTTCTTTTAGATAGAGAACCATTGCAGAGTTCCTGCTGTCAGTGTCTTTCCATATATATATTTATTAAACTTTAAGTTCTAGGGTACATGTGCAAAATGTGCAGGTTTGTTACTTATGTATACATGTGTCATGTTGGTGTGCTGCACCCATTTACTTGTCATTTACATTAGATGTATCTCCTAATGCTATCCCTCTTTCAGGCGATAATACTTGGCAGGGTGCTGGCCTCAATGGGCCATGCATTGTAGGTTTGTGATTGGCTTTTGCTTCTAAGATCTTGAGTCTAGCAAGGAAAGGCCCATGGGCAACTCAGACCATAGCTTCTCTTCCTGTTGTGGGAGATTGTTTATGAGCCCCAGGGGAAAAGAATGTCTGGGGCAGGGGCACTTGGGAAATGCTGCATTTACCCCTCTCTCTGAGACACTGCTATATAAAGCCCTCTTAAAAATTCAGCAGCAAAATGACCTGTGTGTTTTTGTTCTATCCAGTTACATTTCACAAATGTATATGTCCAGAGGAGGGTTTGAGGGTGTATGTGTAATGGAATTAGTTGTCAGAGCTGGAGTCAGGAGGCACAGTTTAGGAAGGAATTAGATGTGGAATTAGGCGTTGACTCCAGGCCCTCTGAGGTGAGAGGAAGGGGAGCTTGTGTACCATAGGCAGTTGGTACTGACCTGGGGTAGAACGAGTCTGAAAGGGAAGGATTTGGCTGAACAGGGAGAGAAACTCAGGGCAGGAGATGGTGACACCAGTGGAGGGCAGAAACTCAGAGGCAGGATCCCGTTTCCTGAGTTCATCCCGAGATGCCAGCGGGGCTGGCAACAGAGTGTTTGTCTGATGGTGATTAGGGAAATCCCAGGAAACCTGGATAGATGGAGGTTCTTTTCAGAAATCTGTTTGTTCCATGCATCTGTTTCACAAACCTATCAGGAGGGTCCTGGGGACTGGAGGAGTCAGCTCGGGCTGCCATCACAAAGCACCACAGAACTGGCAGCCTAGATGACAGACATTGATGGTCTCACAGTTCTGGAGGCTGTTTGTCTGAGATCAAGGTGTGGCAGGGCTGGGTCCTCCTGAGGTCTCACTCCCTGGTGTGCACGTGGCTGCCTTCTTGCTGTGTCTTCCCATGATCATCCCTCTGTGCACTTGCACCCCTGGGTGACTCTTGTGTGTCCAGAGTTCCTCTTCTGGTAAGGACACCAGCCTTGCATTAGGGCCCACCTGTAAGACCTTGTGGAAACTTAACTACTTTTTAAAGGCCTTGTCTCCAATACTGTCAATTTCCCAGGCCCCAGAGATTCAGACTTCCACATACGGATTTGAGCTGGGGACCCAGTTCAGCTCACAGTGAGTCTAATGCCATGCTGATTCCTGGGGCCTACGTGGCAGAAGGCACAGCCCTGACGTGGGGTTGCCACGTGGTTTCATGTGGACACAGCCATAGTCACTCTATTTGGGGTGGATGGGATGGGCCACCTCTCTGGGGGGCTTTGAGGAGTAGTGGGGCAGGGCGGGTTTGGGGGACAGCTTCTAGGCAAGACTGCAGGAAGAGGTGGTGCTAGACTGAATCCCAGCACTGATGTGGTCGGATCCCCAGACCTCCCCGCCAGGTTCTGCTTCAGTTACTGGGGGCTGGTGGCTTCTCCATGTTGAGGGCGTGGCGGGGGGCATGGGAGGGGCAGGTCCATCCCTACTCTGGGAGCATGGACAGGGTAGGTTCATCCCTCTGGGAGCGTGGGCTGGGGTAGGTCCACCCCTCCTCCGGGAGCATGGGCTGGGGTAGGTCCACCCCTCCTCTGGGAGCATGGGCTGGAGTAGGTTCATCCCTCTGGGAGTGTGGGCTGGGGTAGCTCCACCCTTCCTCCGGGAGTGTGGGCTGGGGTAGGTTCATACTTCCAGGAGTGTGGGCTGGGGTAGGTCCACCCCTCCCCTGGGAGTGTGGGCTGGTGTAGGTCCACCCCTCCTCCGGGAGCATGGGTGGGGATAGGTCCACTCCTCCACGAGCGTGGGCTGGGGTAGATCCACCCCTCTGGGAGCCTAGGTGGAGTAGATCCGCCCCTCTGGGAGCATGGGTGTGGCATGTCCATCCCTCTGGGAGCCTGGATGGGCGTAGGCCCACCCCTCTGGGAGCATGGGCAGGATAGGTCCACCCCTGTGGGAGCATGGGCTGTGGCAAGTCCACCCCTCTGGGAGCGTGGGCAGGATAGGTCCACCCCTGTGGGAGCGTGGGCTGGGGTAGGTCCACCCCTCTGGGAGTGTGGGCGGAACAGGTCCATCTCTCCAGGAGACTGGGCTGGGGTAGGTCCATCCCTCTGGGAGCGTGGGCGGGGGTAGGTCCATTCCTCTGGGAGTGTGGGCAGGGTAGGTCCATCCCTCCTCTGGGAGTGTGGGCCAGGGGTAGGTCCTCCCCTCCGGTAGTGTGGGCAGGGGTAAGTTCAGCCCTCCAGTATTTGTGGCAGTGTGTCAGAAGGTCTGCTTTTGCAGCAACTTCCAGAGCAGTCCACTCCCTTGGCCAGGGCCCCCATATGTTGTGTTCTAGCTCCTTCTCAGCTGATGTGTTTTGCAGGTGCGGGGAGGAGAACAGTGGATTAAATGAACAGAAGGAAGCCGGCATGCCTTTCTCTCCTCTGCCTGGCTGGCCTCCCCTTCCCTCACACCTGGCTGGCCTCCTCTTCCCTCACACCTGCCAACTCTGGACTGGCTGGCGGCCCACCCTTCCCTGAAGCCCACCCCCTCGCAATTGCCCTCAGCCCTATGTTTATGTCAGCTCCTAGAACGGCAATTTTCTAACATCCGATGGAACCTGGATTCCTTGAATATTCTGTTCCAGTTCCACGGGTTCCCATGGAGTGCTGTCAGTCCTGCAACCATTTGACCCCGAGTTTAAATGTCTGTAAATGGCACCAGGGTAGCCTCGGGGTCCTCACTGCCTTGAGGACGGGCGCATTTTACACAGGAATGCGCAAAATAAATGAAATGTTTAGTCACAAAATCTCGGTTTCCATGTGTTTCACACACAGGGTGTCTCTCAGAGATTCCATATCAATAAAAACCTTCTTATGGTGAAAAAGTATCTTAAATCAGAGTTCAGCTGAGGAAACTCTTGCACGGTTTTTGTTGTTGTTGTCGTTGTTTATTTTTTGAGACAGAGTCCCACTCTGTTGCCCAGGCTGGAGTGCAGTGGTATGATCTTGCCTCACTACAAACTCTGCCTCCCAAGTTCAAGAGATTCTCCTGCGTCAGCCTCCCAAGTAGCTGGCATTGCAGGCGCCCACCGCCATACCCGGCTAATTTTTGTATTTTTAGTAGAGATGGGGTTTTACCATGTTTACAGGCTGGTCTCAAACTCCTGAGTGACATCAGGTGATCCACCCACCTTGGCCTCTCAAAGTGCGGGGATTACAGGCGTGAGCCACTGCGCCTGGCTGAACTCTTGCACTTTTAAAGGTGTTTACAAAGGTTTTGCAACTCTAACCTTGACAAAGTCAGCCCTGGCTGTGAGGTTTTTTGTTTGTTTTTATTATGTATCTTCTCTCCCAGGTCAGCTTTCATATTTTCACAGTGGCTGAAATAATTAGTGGAAAAGTCTCTCTACCTTTTCATCAGAGGTATTGGAGGACGAATGAGCCAGTTGAGGATTTTAGGTTTTCTTGGAGTAAGTTAGCAGCAAAATGCTAAGTTTTTGTTGAACTTGCTTTGACTGTGATGATTTTCTTTTCTCCTCATTAGTAGCTACCCTAGGAGGGCCAAGGAAAGATACACACACTAAGAGTCATTGAAGTTCATGGACCTGGGATTTTATAGCCTCTCCCCCCACCCCCCACCCACCCAAGAGATCAGTTACATAGAAAACGGTTGCCCGGGTAGGTGAGCAACCTTCCTCTCCTCTGACCTGGCACTGGCTTTTCCTGGGGAAGCCAGGATTTCAGATTGCGTCTTCGGCTTTGCTTTCATTCTCTCTGCGGAGCCTCCCGGCGTGCTGGGCCTCACGGGGTAAGAGAACTCAGCCCAGCCCCCCTGGCTCTCCCATGGTGTTGCCAGATAAAATGCAGCACACCCAGTTCTGCCTGAATTTCAGATGAACAGCAGAGAGTTTTTTAATGTAAGGATGTCCCCTGCAATTATTTGGGACATGCAGTAAAGTGTCTTTGTTGTTTGTCTGAAACGCAGATGGGACTTGTGCCGTCTGCCATGCCCGGTGGCTCTCCACCCGGGAGTTAATAATTAAATGTTTTCCCAGGCAGTGATCAGGTGTCTGCTGTTCCCAGGAAGCTGCTAATCATGTTACTCAAGCCCCTTACCAAGGTCAAGACCCTCCCAGTCAGATCTCTGGCCATGAGCTCCCAGGATGGTTCTGGAAAGAGCCCAGGAAGTGTGACCCAGCCTTCTCCTCCTGTCTGCTCACCTGCTTCTGCACAAAATCCCAGTTCCTCTTCAGACCAAGCACCGGGGCCCTTCTGCACCATGGCTTGGGGGCAGATGCGCCTGTTTTCACCGTCACCCCCAGAGCCGGTACTAAGGGGACACAGGAGTCCTAGGGGGTGAAGATGTCCACTGGCAGAAGCAGGGGCTGTGGCCTCAGGAGCCCCTCCTTGCCGTCCTTCCTGCTGTGGGCTGTTGGTTTTGTTCCTGGACTCAGGGCCAGCTGTAGATGTGTACTATGTGGCCTGCAAAGTAATCCGTTAAAAACAGTGAATTTCTGGCCAGGCGTGGTGGCTCATGCCTGTAATTCTAGCACTTTGGGAGGTGGAGGCAGGTGGATCACTTGAGGTCACGAGTTTGAGACCAGCCTGGCCAACATGGTGAAAACCCGTCTCTACTAAAAGTACAAAAAATTCTCCAGGCATGGTGGCAGGGACCTGTAATCCCAGCTAATTGGGAGGCTGAGGCAGGAGAATGACTTGAACATGGGAGGCTGAGGTTTCAGTGAGCCGAGATTGAAAACCTGCACTCTGGCCTGGGTGACAGAGTGAGACTCTGTCTCAATAAAAAACAAAGTGAATTTCCAATGTTTCTAAATTTCATGTTTTTTTTGGTCAAATCTGACATATCTAAAAGATATCTGCAGGCCTGGCAACACCAGACCTGTGTTCCTACCTACCAGCTGTGGCCAGAGTGGGAATGCTGCTGCCTGGCTGATTGAGGGACCACATTCTGCCAGCCTCAACCCCTTCATGTCCCCCTGACTGCTCTTGTGGGTGTCTGTGATCAGGAGCCCTGGCCGGCCACCCAGCATGTGTTCACTGGGTGTCCACTGTCCACTGACGGGGGCTTCCTACACACACACCCCTGGAAACAGCTTGGAGCCTGGATGGTCTCTCGCCTGCTCTTGCCAGTCAGACATTATCTGACCTGAGCAGGGGCAGAATCAGTGTGGGCCTTTTCTGCTCTGTGCCAGGGCTCTGAGCTGCAGGCTCCTCCCACCTCCCGTATTTCAGATGTTGACGCTGAGGCTGGCCTCGCTACAACACTAGGCTTCTTTCTGCATCAATGAGTGATGTGAGCTCTGAGTAGATTTTGCTCCACTTAAGAAGGGCTCCTTCCCTTCAACCTCATGCCTGTGCTGCTTTCCAACCCAGCAGGGCCCAGGAGAATGAGGATGAAGAACAAAAACGGGTGGAATAGGGTGGCATCACAGCCACAGGTGGAGGTTGATATCTGATGAGGAGTGGCTGCTGTCAGGTTTCTGGGCAGCAAAGCTGAGGGGCGAGGCCTGAGTGCCTGCTGAGGATGTGGTTCCAGTGCACCCTGCTACCCGGCAGGCTCTTCCCATGCTGGAAGAGTGCTGGGACTCAACAGCGGGTATCAGCTTTCTCCTAATTGGACATAGAGTGTTGGTTCCTGGTGAACTGCCCGTGGCCTCCCTGGGAGGTTCCTGAACACTCACAGGGCCCCCCAGTTATAAAACACTAGCACAGGGTCCACTATTCTGCTGCCCGGGCCCAGGGCTGATGGGGTGGGTGCGTTGAGTGCAGGGTGAGCCTCAGTGTACCTGGATGGTGAGGGGCAGTGGCTCCCAGCATGCAGAGGGCATAGTGAGGTGGGGCTGGGTGAATCATGTTGCCCTTGCCCCGTCCAGAGGGCCACACGGCTCGGTACCCACATGGCTGCAAGGTGGGTAGAGTGGGCTCAGGAGGCAGTAGCCTGTGATTTTTCTAGAGATGACTGAAACCCAGATGTTCTGTGAAAACTCCTAATTTCAGGATTCTTATAAAGCCCACTCTCATTTTAGGGACTCAAGAGTAAGAAACAGGTGCCCCCTTTTCTTGGCTCGTGCCGTCGTCTTTGCCTTGTGAAGTGTCTAAACACAGGGTGAGAAGTTCCTGCCCTTACCCACTCCATGTAGCCGAAAGTCCCCAGGAGACCTAGGCAGGGATTGTGTTAGGTGGTTGGACACAGGGTGCTCCAAAAACTGTGGACAATGGCATGGCGCCTTCCTTACAAAGAAAGAACGTGCGCTGGACATGAAGCCACATGCACCCTAGGGGGATCCCTCATGTATAATTGGTACACAGTAAATATATTTTGGTTTATAGCCAGAGACTTAATAGAAGACTATACTATTGATTTGGGATTATCAATGTCATTGCTACCCTGACATTCCTCTAATGTGAATAATTGGGAGCAGACTTAGGTCCTGCATTAGGAAGTCTTCTCAGCTTTCCTTCTTATCATTTTCTTCCTCTCCCTCCCTCCCCCTCTGTCTCTCCCTCTCCCTCCCTTCCTCTAACTCCCTCTCCCTCCCTGTCCCTCCCTCTTCCTTCTTCTCCCTCTCTCCCTCCTTCTTCCTCCTCCCTCCCTCCCTCTTCCTTCTTCTCCCTCCCTCCCTTCCTCTCCCTCTCCCTTCCTCTCCCTCTCCCTCCCTCCATCTTTCTCCCTCCCTCCCTTCCTCTCCCTCCCTCCCTCTCCTTCCCTCCCTTCCTCCCTCTCCCTCTGTTCCTCCCTCTCCCTCCTTTCCTCCCTCTCCCTCCCTTCCTTCCTCTCCCTCCCTCCCTTCCTCTCCCTCCTTCCATTCCTCTCCCTCCTTCCCTTCCTCTCCCTCCCCTTCTCTCCCTCTCCCTCCCTCCCTTCCTCTCCCTCTCCCTCCCTCCCCTCCTCTCCTTCCCTTCCTTCCTCTCCCTTCCTCTCTCTCCCTTCCTCTCCCTCCTTTCCTCTCCCTCCCTTCCTCTTGCTCCCTCCTGTCCTCTTCCTCTCATCCTTCCTCTCGCTCCCTCCCTTCCGCTCCCTCCTGTCCTCTCCCTCTCCTCCTTTCTCTCCCTCTCCTCCTTCCTCTCCCTCCCTCCCTCCCTTACTTTCTCTCCCTCCTTCCCTCCCTTCCTTCCTCACCCTCTCCCTCGCTCCCTTCCTTGCCCTCTCCCTCCCTTCCTCACCCTCTCCCTCTCTTCCTCCCTCCCTCTCCCTCCCTGTCCCTCCCTCTTTCTCCCTCCTTCCCTCCCTCCCTTCCTCTCCCTTCTTCTCCCTTCTTCTCCCTCCCTCTCCCTCCATCTCCCTCCCTTCCTCTCCTTCCCTCCATCTCCCTCCCTTCCTCTCCTTCCCTCCCTTCCTCCCTCTCCCTTCCTCTCCTTCTCCCTCCCTTCCTCCCACTCTCTTTCTCTCCCTCTCCTTCCCTCCCTTCCTCTCTCTCCCTCTCTTCCTCCTTCTCCCTCCCTCCCTTCCTCTCCCTGCCCTCCCCCTTCTCCCTCCCTCCCTTCCTTGCCCTCTCCCTCCCTCTCCCTCCCTGTCCCTCCCTCTTTCTCCCTCCTTCCCTCCCTCCCTTCCTCTCCCTTCTTCTCCCTTCTTCTCCCTCCCTCTCCTTCCCTCCCTTCCTCCCTCTCCCTCTGTACCTCCCTCTCCCTCTTCCCTCTCCTTCCCTCCCTTCCTCCCTCTCCCTCTGTTCCTCCCTCTCCCTCTGCCTCCCTCTCCCTCCCTTCCTTCCTCTCCCTCCCTCTCCCTCCCTCCCTTCCTCTCTCCCACCTTCCTCTCTCCCCCTCCCTTCCTCTCTTCCCCGCTTCTCTCTCCCCACCTTCTCTCTCCCTCTTCTCTCTCCCCTCCCTTCCTCTCTGCCCCTCCCTTCCTCTCTCTCCTTTCCTCTCTTTCTCTCCCTCCCTCTCCCTCCCTTCCTCTCCCTCCTCCCTCCTTCCCTCTCAGTGCCTCCCTTCCTCTCCCTCTCCCTCCCTCCCTTTCTCTCCCTCTCCCTCTCTTCCTCTCCCTCCCTTCCTTCCTCTCCCTCCCTCCCTTCCTCTCCCTTCTTCCCTTCTCCCACTCCCTCCCTTCCTCTCCCTCCCTCCCTTCCCCTCCCTCCCTCTCCCTCTCTCACTCCCCCTCCCTCTCCCTCACTTCCTCTCCCTCCCTTCCTTCCTTTCCCTCCCTCCTTTCCTCTCCTTCCCTCCTTTCCTCTCTCTCCCTTCCTCTCCCTCCCTTCCTCTCCCTTCCTCTCCCTCCCTCCCATCCTCTCCCTTCCTCTCCCTCTCCCTTTCCCTCTCTCCCCTCCTCTCCCTCCTTCCCTCCCTTCTTACCTCCCTCCCTTTTTTCCTTCCTTCTTTCCTTCTTTCCCTCCCCCCCTTGCTCCTTCCCTCCCTCCCTTTCTCCTTCCCTGCCTCCCTACTTTTCGCCTTCCCTCCCTTCTTCCTCCCTCTCACCTACCCACACAGTTAGCCATCCATCCATTCATCCATCCATCCATCTACCTCCTTCCCTCCCCTCCTCCCTTCCTTCCTCCCTCTCACCTACCCACACAGTCAGCCATCTATCCATCCATCCATTCATCTATTCACCTCCCTCCCCTCCTTTCTTTCTTCTAATACCTCCCCCTGCAGAGGAGAAATTTCTTTTTCTACTACCCTCCTCTCTACCTGGGGCCCTGAAATTGAGCTGACATAAGACACAGTCGCAAGAGAAAAACAGTTTGTGAACACATAGAGCACTGGTCAGTAAAGAGTGTCTGAAAAAGTGGCTACAGCTTGTGCTGGGATGGCGCCTCAGTGCAGGAACAGTACATTTGCAGAGAAGTGACAAGACAAAGGGAAAGGCCTGTGAGTTCCTGGAGGGCAAATTGTGGGGTGGCCAATCTTTAGGAAAGTAACAGCAGCTGAAGGCTAGTCTGTTGGTGAAGTCAGCTCTGTAGGTTCCTCCAGGGTGGGGCTGACAACAGTCTAAAGCTGTCTCCAGTGATGAACTTCTGTCCTTCCTGGTGTGGTGGGGGTGGGTACTCCTTCTGAATTTACGTCTTGCTTTGAGGCACACTGGCGGTGGGGGAAGGCAGTGAGCTGTTCTCACACCTGCTTTTCCTCCATCGCCTTCAGCTCAGGACTGTCTTTATGCCCAGGTGGCCTATTTTGGGGTGGCCTCTTCTGCCCCCTGCACTCCTGCCCTCCTTCCTTGCTCCTTGTGAATGATTTCTAACAAAGAGAATAATATGGCAAACATCTGTGTCCTCAACTGTATCAAGTTTGACCGTGTCCCATAGTTGCTGGAACTGCTTTCAGGAAGTTTATGGCTCCAAGCAACGTGGCCAGTGTGGTCCACCCTGTCTTCCTCCGAGAGGGAACTGCTCTCCTGCGTTGGGCATGTGCCTTTCCAGTTGACTGCTTCTGTGCCATTACGCATGGTGAAAATGCCCATGTACCATCTGTAGGACTGTGTGGCATCTTTCCAGCCTTTATCTGGAAATGATAGTATGTGGTTTGAATCCTTCCACGAATTGCCTTCCTTTTGTACAGTGTTGTTTTGGGGATGATCCGCATGTAGCTTGGGTTCATTCATTGTCACTGCTGTGGAGTCCATGGGACTCCACATCATGTGGCTCTCATCAGCCACGTAGAAGTGAGGCCCCGGTCATCTCAGCCAGTGAGGTGCTCCATCAGCACTGGGGCAAGGGTGTCGGGAGATCAGGGGCCTCCTACACCTGGCTGGACCCTGCCTCCCTGCCTGTTTGATGCTTTCCATGGCAGGGAAATCTTCCCCTTGCAGGGCAGGGACTGTTTCCCCAGCAGATGTTCTGCCCACTTTGCTAGAGGCACTGGAGACCTGTTGGAGTGATGGATGGAGCCACAGCTCTGCTCCAGCCCAGATTTAACCTACAGCACCTCCTCATGAAGCCCAGGGCCTCTTCAGGGTTTAGTCTCTACTCGTGGGACCCTGATTGTTTCTGAAACCTTCTGAAGACCACTTTGCTTCACTCTGTTCAAGACAAACAAAGCCCCTGGAAGCTGAAACCAGAAATTCCCTGGGTGTGAGCTCTCAGCAACAAAGCAGACATTGTTCCCATGTGAGAAATCCTTTGTGGGGCTGAGTCCTCTGTGTAGCCAGGGACAAGAGACAGTTCCTGGAACCCTGCCTGGAGGAGCCAGCCAGAAGCTGCTGAGTGAGTCTGCACTGAGGCCCAGTGCCTGTCAATTGGGAGTTGGTGCTGGAGAAGAACATGGGCAGCCCCTCTTCTCCCCCAATGCCACCCCTCCTCCCCTGCTGTCTGGGCCCACTGCTGCTGGCTGAGTGAATGCTGTTTCTGAGCCTCACCCTCCAGTGGGACTGAAGCTTTAAATCATTGAGTGAGAGCCTCTAGCAGTGCTCACAACCCTTCAGGCACAACCAGAGCCCTCACTTGAATAGTCTTGTGTGTGTGGGCTTCCTGGGCCACGCAGGGAGTGGTGGGGTGGGCTCTTGGCACAGGGGGGCAACATCTCTCCAACCTCTCAAATGCACAGTGGTGGAGTGCTGGCGCTGGGCATTCAGTGTGGCCTTTAAAACAAGTGGTATGTGCCAAAATCAATACAAACTATAGTGAGCTCTGTTATTTCTGGGGGAGTGTGAATGAGGAAGAGGGAAGAAAACTGGCCCCATGGCCCAAAGTGGTTTTTCTTTTTCTTTTTTTCCTTTTTTTCTTTTTTAAATTTTATTATTATTATACTTTAAGTTTTAAGGTATATGTGCACAATGTGCAGGTTTGTTACATATGTATACATGTCCCATGTTGGTGTGCTGTACCCATTACCTCATTTACTTTTAGGTATATCTCCCAATGCTATCCCTTCCCCCTCCCCCCACCCTTTAATCCACAGTGAATGCCATATTGCAAGGAGAGCAGAGAAGAAAACAGAACGGGACTGTGGCGGCCTTTCTCGGGCCCTCCTGGGGCGTGTACGTCAGCCCCGCGTCTGCCTCTCCCTGAGGCCTGGCACCAAGTAGCTCAGCTGAAGCTGCCACTCTGAGGGCTGATCCTTGTGACCTGGCCCACCTCCCAGCAGATGCTTAGGGAAAATGAGCATCCCATTCTGTGCTTGAGTCAGCGCTTTCATTTATAAAGCACAAGCATCTTCCAGTGGGGTACTTCATTCAGGAAAAAGCATTTGCACTGCCATCCTGGCCCCCCTCAAAGACCATGCATCGTCACTCACCTGTCCTCCCTCTCTCTCCTCCCATACAGTCACTCAAAATCCCTGCTACATTTGCCATGCTGGGAGGTCCCTGCCCTCTCATTCCTGCTGTGCTGCCTCACCCTGTGGCATGCACCTGCTGAAGGGGATGTCCTCTCGTCTGTCTGCTGCTTCCAAATGGACTCCCAGATTTTTCTTTTTCTTCTCTTTTTTTTTTTTTTTTTTTTTGAGATAGGGTCTTGCTCTGTCACTCATGCTGGAGTTCAGTGGTGCCATCACGACTCACTGGACCCTTGGCTCAAGGGATCTTCCTGCCTCAGCTTCCCAAGTGCACGCCACCACACTGGGATTTTTTTTTCTTTTTAGTAGAGACAGAGTCTCACTATATTGTCCAGAGAGGTTTTGAGCTCCTGGACTCAAGTGATCCTCCCACCTCAGGCTCTCAAAGTGCTGGGATTACAGGTGTGAACCACCGCGCCTGGCCAGATATGCTTGATTCCAAAGTGGTCTTGGCCCGTCTGCTTATTATTGTGGATTAAAATAGAACCCCAAAAGTAAGGAGGTTTCATCTCCTCCGCCTTCAAGATTTAATCCCCTCTTTTTGGTCACAGGCACATAATTACCGCATTTGCATTTTGTATTTGAGGATTCCTCTACTTTTGAATATTGGGAGGACTCTACCTGTCCTGGCAACATCTGAGCCTATCTTCCCCTCCTGTACCTGGGGCTGACTCCTCATCCTCAGAGACCATGAGGCACCCGGCCATTGTGAGAGGGGCTCTGGACGGCTGGTGCAGGGGTGGTTAGTTACCGTTAGAAGCTGTGTTCAGGTGCTTTGCTGTGTGTGTGCACCCGCCCATTGTGAGAGAGGGCTCTGGATGGCTGGTGCAGGAGTGGTTCATTACTGTTAGAAGCTGCGTTTTGATGTTTTGCTGTGTGTGTGTCTCACTGCTTGCTCCTGGACCCTGCGAGGTGAGAGCTGGGTGTCTTCTTCTAGGAGTTGATGGAGTCCATGTGCCTGAGAGATTGACAGCTTGGGTGGTCATGATCCTGAGTGGCAGCCTCTTAATTCCACTTCAAGAAGGTTTGTCCTTGACTCCCTCAGGTGGATTTTTCCAGGTAGAAAGCCGGTTCTGGTCAGATTTACCTTCTGGTGCATTCTCTTCAACACCTGGGCCTGCTGGGGAGTGGGTGGCAGGAGGGCTCCTCGGCCAGGTCCAGCTCCCTGCAGCCAGCACCCTGGCACTGATAGAACTTCTGTTAGCGGCTCCCTGCACCCAGCACCCTGGCGGTGATAGAATTTCCATTCACACAGCATCCACGGTCACCTCTCCTGCTGCAGCCTCCCTTGGGGGGCCTAGTCTTATTTCCCCCTTGATAACTTCTCTGTTGAAAGCCCAGATGCCCCTCACCTCAAGTTGTGCAAAACCAATGCTATGACCTAACCTTCTCTCACATCCTCCAGATCTGGTCCCACAGTTATTTGCTCTCTTAGATAGCAGTTACTTTTTTAAAGTACGTATTTTAATACTTATTTTTTAAGAAAAGATTCTTTTTAAAAAGACTAAAAAAAGGCTTTCTTTTTTTTCAAAAAGTTTTATTGAGTTATAATTTATAAATTATAAGATTTATTTACTTTAAGAATACAATTCAGGGTTGCGCACAGTGGCTCACACCTGTAATCCCAGCACTGTGGGAGGCTGAGGTGGGTGGATCACCTGAGGTCAGGAGTTTGAGACCAGCATGGCCAACATGGTGAAATCCTGTCTCTACTAAAAATACAAAAAATTAGCTGGGCATGGTGGTGCATGCCTGTAATCCCAGCTACTCAGGAGGCTGAGGCAGGAGAATCCCTTGAACCTGTGAGGTGGAGGTTGCAGTGAGTGGAGATCGCACCACTGCACTCTAGCCTGGGCAACAAGAGCAAAACTCCATCTCAAAAAAAAAAAAAAAAGCAAAAGAATATCATTTGATGATTCCTAATGGATTTGCTGAGTTGTGCACCTGTCACCACCATCCTGGTGTGGGAGGTTTCCATCCCTTGTGCTGGGTTGCAGTGGATCCCCACCCCCACTTCCAGCCCCTGACGACCAGGAAGCCACTTTCTGTCTGTGTGGATTTTCTTATTCCAGACACTTCATAGACACGGAGTCAAACAACATGTGGCCTTCTGTGCCTGGTTTCTTTGACTCAGCATAATTGGCTTTTTTGGGTATAAATTTAATGGGTACAAGTGCAGTTTTATTACATGAGAATGTTGCATAGAAGTAAAGTGTGGGCTTTTCATGTGACCATCACCTGAATGATGTATTTTGTACCTATTGAGTAATTTCTCACCCCCCATCACACTTCTGAGTCTCCTGTGTCCATCATTCCAAACTCTGCGTTCCTGCACACACATTATTTAGCTTCCACTTATAAGTGAGAACATTCAAGATTTGAGTTTTGGTTTCCGAGTCCTTTCATGTAAGATAATGGTCTCCAGTTCCATCCCTGTTGCCGCAAAAGACATGATCTCCTTTTTTATGGCTGAGTAGTATTCCATTGCACATATGCACCACGTTTCCTTGATCCAGTCTTGGTGGACACTGAGGCTGAAGCATGACAGCTTTGAGGTCCATCCCCAGGGTGGCATTTAGCAGAGCCCTGTTGAGCCTTGTTCTGATTGCCACCATCTTGCATTGAGGGACCACATCTTGTGAGTCCGTTCCCATTTGATGGTCAGCTGGATTCTTTCCACTTTTTGGCTGTGGGGACCATCTTTGATTCAGCTGTCACAACCAGAATGTAGGCGTCCTCCTGAGCTTTCCTCTCTACAGCTCCTACAGGCAGTCCCTCCCTAAGTCTGGTCACTGTACCTTCTAGACCCCTGCAAGCCTGTGTTGTTCCCTCAGACTTCATCACCACCCCAGCCTTCCTGTCTTATTCCTCTTGGGCAACCAGAACAGCTTCAGACCAGACTGTCAGAAGTTCTCTAGGCGAGGCCTCGGGTGGTTGTGTACATGTGAACACCCTGGCCACCGCTGAGTGCAGCCCTCCTGTGACTTCTTCCCAGTGTGAGGATAAAAATCAGGTCCTCCCCAGCCGGGCACTGTGGCTCATGCCTGTAATCCCAGCACTTTGGGAGGCTGAGGCAGGTGGATCACCTGAAGTCAGGAGTCTGCGACCAACCTGGCCAACATGGTGAAACCCCGTCTTTACTGAAAATACAAACATTACCTGGGTGTGGTGGCTGAGGCATGAGAATTGCTTGCATCTGGGAGGTGGAGGTTGCAGTGAGCTGAGATCGTGCCATTGCACTCCAGCCTGGGTGACAAAAGCGAGACTCCATCTCAAAAAAAAAAAAAAAATCATATCCCCCCCTAGTCTGGGCACACAAGTATTGGAAGTGTGCAAGTCACTGGATTTTTTTTCCTGAGGATTCCGTGGCTCCATGGCTTCTCCTCTGGCTCTTTCTTTGCAGGGGGATTTCATGGCTAATCACCTGGGGTGTGTCTGGGCAGCAGTTCCACTCCAAGAGGACACCTAGTGCAGGCTCTGCTCATCCTTGTACCCCATCAGCCGGTACAACAGAGTGAATGCTGGGTATCTGGCCATGGAGTGAGTGAATTCATTTAAACCATTGCCTCTGTGGGGTGAGGGACCAATGGCTGTACTGAGCCTCAGAGGATGGGAGAGGGTCTTTGCTTGGGATCTTCTAGGGTGAGGGTCTTCAGGGACAGCCAGCCTGAGGTATGCACAAACTTGGTGCATTGACTCAGCAGAGAAGGCTGAGGGCTGCGAGACCAGTGTGTGTGAGGCAGCAGAGGTGGGCGGTGAGCATCCAGGTGTAGGGTCATGACAAGGAGGCCATGGTTGTATTTGATGGGCAGAGTTTGGTACAGAGCATATGACATCGTTTATATTTGAAAAGGGTAATCTTGGCCTCTCTGGTGAGAGGAGAAGGATAAGAAGAAATGGGGGCTCCAGGTAAATGGTGCTGGAGGCTGGGACCCTGGGAAGTGCAGGGAAAGCTGGAGACCCACAGACACTTCCCTATGACAAAGCTAGTGCGGCAGTCCTGGAGAGAGGGTTTAAGATGTGAGGCCTGCGTCTTTGCAGTTTCTCAGCTCATGCCTGTAATCCCAGCACTTTGGGAGGCCGAGGTGGGTGGATCATTTGAGGTCAAGAGTTTGTGACCAGCCTGGCCAAAAGGGTGAAACTCCATCTCTACTAAAGATAGAAAAATTAGCCAGGTGTGGTGATGCATGCCTATAATCCCAGCTACTCAGGAGGCTGAGGCAGGAGAATTGCTTGAACCTGGGAGGTGGAAGTTGCAGTGAGCCGAGATTGTGCCACTGTGCTCCAGCCTGGGCTACAGAGCAAGACTCCAACCCCCCACAAAAAGAATTGAGATGTAATATACATGCCATATAATTCACCCACTGGAATTTTGCAAGTCGTTGGATTTTAGGAAATTCACAGATGAGTGAGCCCATCACCACTGTGAATCTCAGGAAGCTTCCATCCCCCCAAGAGGAAACCCCACCCCTGCTGGCAGTCACTTCCCCTTTCCCCCGCTCCCCTCCCCAGATGCCTGCTCTGGCCATTGCCAGTGATGGAGTGGCACCACACGTGGACTGAGAGGGAAGCTCTTTCTCAGTTCTTTGCCTCTCCTGCTGGAGATGAGCTCCTCCCCTCCCACCTGTGCTGTGTCCAGTGCCCACTCCAGGCCTCCTGCCATGGAGGAGCTTTCTGCACTGTCAAGTCACCCAGTCCACTGAGAAAGGTAAAAGCTCTTTTATCCACGAATGTAGCCTGGTGCAGTGGTGCACAACTGTAATCCCAGCTACTGAGAAGGCTCAGGCAGGAGGATCACCTGGGCAACGTAATGAGACCCCTTCTCTAAAAAAAAAAAAAAAAAAATAGTTTTCCTTTGGGCTGCCCTTTCAGTTTCAGATGTTTTGTTCCAGAATGTTCTCTCCCAGCTGCTTGTTCGCTAAATGAAAGGAAATTCTTCTGGGATTATAGACTTAAGTAGAAGTTTAGGTATATGTGGCCTTGACATGAGCACATTTTCTGCCCTAAAAGAAAAGTTATCAAAAAGAACTTGGGCAGAAGATGTAACGTGATAATGGTCTTTATTCAAAAACTTTGAGTCCATGAAGTGTGGCCCTACACTGACTCCAGCATAACCAGGGGGGTCCCATAGACCACCCCTCCACTCTATGCTTCCACCCACCTACCCACCCATCCCCTGACCCGCCAACCCATCCACATCTCCCCATCCACATCCCCCCTCCACTCACTCATCTGTCCATCTATCCATCCATCCAGCCTACCTGCCTGTCTGCCATCCATCCATCCATCCATCCATCCATCCATCCATCCATCCGCCACCCATCTACCCAGCCAGGAAGCCATCTATCCATCCATCCATCCATCCATCCATCCATCCATCCATGCATCCACCCAGCCACCCACCTACCCAGCCACCCATCCATGTATCCACTCATCTTCCTACACACCTCACCCTTCTCTCCCTCCCTCCCTCCATCCACTCATTCACCCATCTATCCATTCTCTTGATTATAGAAATACATGATTAGGATCTTTGGTCTCCACTTTGAGTAGCCCCACCATGTCCTTTGTATTATGCATTTGGATTACCTCTTGGGGAGGTAGAAGGCATGGAATCTGATTTCCTTTATGGTTTCATTAACTGGTTGCTAAGGCCAAAGAGAGTGCTGCTCCCCAGCCCCTCAGCCTTCTGCCTCTATTGTCTCTGTAATACAGCAGTGAAAACTAGCCTCCATGTCCTTAAGAGGAGTGGTTTACACTTGACCATTTTAGTCAAGAAACTGGTGAGTTACAAATTGTTTAGAACAAAAGGGAAGGCCCTGGGGCCCTCCAATGAAAGTTGCCATGGAAAGTCAAACCTTGATCATATTGGTTATTATTCATGTCACAGGGCATCCTCGATAAAGGCAGAGAAGGACTTTATTTTCTTACACATCATTTAAAGCAAATATTGTAAGGATTATATGTGGACCCTTCCTCTGTTACTTATTCGGTTCGTGCTTTGTATATGGGAGAGATTGGCCCAGTTTGCGGGGTCTCCATAGCCTGCACATAAAACGTCTGACTTGAGGTGCTCTTCCTCATTAGCTTGGAGTTAATACCTATTTAAATCTCATGGAGAAAACAATGTATAGGAAAATTGACTTTGGTCTGGAATTACTACAAGTTCTGTAGCAAAGCTCTGTAAATCCCACACTGTGGGAGGAGTATTGTGGTTTGGGGCCATGCTGGTGAGGAGCAGCCATCCCTTCTTTGCTGGCATCCCAAGTTGGTAAGGCTTATCCAGAGGGTGGCAATACCAGGGCCACAGATCATCAGTTTTTACTTTTCTGTGTTAAATCCAAGGGTGAGGAATTTTTCCAACATCTTTGCTCTGAGTTTGGACCTGGACAATTCCTCCAGCCTGGCTCTGACTCTGCCTCCCCACCAGCCTCCACCCTTCACTTGCTGCCCTCCCTTCTGGGCGGACAAGTCCTCCTGCACCAGAGCTTCTGAGCAGCATCTGCGTCCCGGCAGCAGCCTCACCCGCTTCTGTGGCCTCCTCTGTAATCCACTTTCTGGCCTCCTGCTGGCTTAATCTTCCTGACTCATGGCTCCATCTGTGTGCTGCCAGGATCGAGTTGGACTCATTAGCTCAGCCTTGGGGTCTCCCTTAATCACCATTCCTCCTCTTGCAGCTGTGTGGCTCTGGGAATGATCTGGCATTTTTGGAGTATTCCTCTTTGGTCCTGGGGGTACTAATGCTGCCTTCCGGAGAACATAAGGAAGAGATGATGTGTTTAACACGCTTACGAGCCAGGCTGTGGGTGCATAGTAAGTGTTTTGTGTCTGCAGTCAGGATTTTAAATTATAACTCCCCCTCCATGGCTGCCTGTTACTTCACTTCAATTTATTGCTCCTAAAGGGACTTCTCTGGCCAGCATCTGATCTCTGCTTTACAATGGCTCTGCCTGAAATCATGGCTATGAAAAGAGGAAGATTAAGTCACCCCCAAGGAGTCCATGGACCGCTGGCAGAACCTAGCATTGTCTCCCAGTTTAGCATCACCTTGACAATAGCAGAGACAGACAGGCAGCCTCTTACTAATCTCCCAGAGATACAGTCTGCCCACCACTTCACCACAGCATCCAGCGGCTGCCATGAAGCTTTCACTGTGCGAAAAATGTTCTGACTGGAAAACCAAATCCACAGCTCCGTTATGCTTTATTGGCATTTAAACATGCAGAAGCACTAAGCCTGACTCTTGGACCTCAGCACCCCCCGACTAGGCTGTCCTTCTGAGTCAAGGTCACCCCGTATTTCCCTGTTCCATTGATGTGTCTGATTTCAGCTTCGTGTGTTACCCGTGCATGCCAGGGTTTTAGTGTTTGCCACCATGAGCACCAGTCCAATGGGCCTCTGTCCACAGTAAGAAGTATTATTTCATTTGGATAATTGCATTTGGGAATAAACCAATTGTAGTTTGGGATGACCTTGATGTTGGTTATCTGTCAGAGGCGTGCAAGTACATGGATTGCATGTGAACAGCTATCAAAGGCCCGAAGATGTCTGCATGTACCTTTCTGTGGCCCCTGCTAAGCTTGTGTTTATGATGGGCCCTTAAAAATGCATCATGCAGAAATTGATGATGACAGAAACCATAACTGCAGAGGAAATTCTGAATGTGAAATGCGCTTCTTTGTAATGAATGATGTGCTCAGAAACTTGGAGTTTTTCTGGCTTTCCTAAGTTCGTGCTGAACACTGCTTACATTCGTTTGCAGAGCTGGCATCTTGATCGTCCCTGAGGTCTGTGTTTCTGGCTCCAGATCCTGAATAGGGAATGTCCCCATGGGGCCATGACCTGAGATGCTCTGGCATTTCTTCCCCCTTGTTCTCTTGGCTTTTCCTGGGCTCCTTGGGTAGAAGTCAAGAGGAAGGTGGATGTAAGTCTCACCTGAGGAAGGTGAATTAGCAGAAGCCATAGAGGTGGAAGTCCCTGAATCCATCAGTATAATCCAAGCCTCATGTTGTGGATGGCCCTTTCCACAGCCTTCAGATAACCCATGGCAATAAGACCTATTTTATATGGTATAATATTTACCATTTTCTCAAGCTTTGTTTAGACACTCCCTTGTCCTCACTACAATCTTCCAAAATCACCCATCATCATCGCCATTTTACAGGGCCCAAAGCAGATTTGGAAGGCAATTTAGTCTCTCACAGGAAACTCTTCTTGCTACATTGCTGTAAATCAAAACAGCATTGCCCAAGAAGCTGCTGTGACCCTGGCAGGCCAGATACTTTTTGGCACTGGTTTGCTGATCCACCATTGTTTATGTATCTTACTCATCAGTGCGGACGTGTCCCACCACATGGAGGTGGTGGCCCTCGGTAGGTTGCAGAGACTCACCCCATGGTCATTCAGTGTTGTGGGCTAAGTCTCTCCCCCACCAAAATTTCTATATCGATTGAAGTTGTAACCCAGGACCTCAGAATGAGACTTTATTTGGCGATTGGGTCTTTACAGAGGCAATCAAGTTAAATGAAGTTGTTAGAGTGGGCCCTGATCCCATCGGACTGGAGTCCTTATGAGAAGAAGAGGTGAGGATGCAGACACACAAAGAGGGACAACCACCTGAGGACACAGAGAGAAGGCGTCCATCTGCAAGCCAGGAAGAGAGGCCTGCGGAGGAACCAGCGCTGCAGACATCTTGATCTCAGATATGTCTTCCAGAATGGGAGACAATAAATGTCTGTGGTTTAAGCAGCCTGTTCTGTGGTGCTTTGCCACAGCAGCCTGAGTGACTCATAACTCAGCATAAGTGGCAGACTCAGGCCAAACACAGCTGCCTTTACCTGTCTCCAGTGCCTGCATTCTGCCCACAGTCCAGTAGTCTCAGTTCTTAGCCTCTCACCTTGCAGAATACTTGTAACTCTTGTGAACCAAGTGTGAGTGACTTTCCCTCACTCTCTCCATTTTTTCTTTTGTTTTGTTTTGAGTTGGGGTCTTGCTCTGTCACCCAGGCTGGAATGCAGTGGTGCAATCGTAGTTCACTGCAGCCTCAACCTCCCAGCTCAGGGGACACTTCTGTCTCTGTCTCCAGAGTAGCTGGGACTGCAGACACATACCACTATGCCTGGCTAGTTTTTTAAAAATTTTATTTTTCATAGAGACCTTTTCCCTATGTTGCCTTGCCTGCTCTTTGGTTTTGATTTGAGCTTGAACATGAACTGTACTAAGAGGGGTGTAGATGTATCACTCTGTTCAACAGCATGGCCAACCCTAGCTCTGTAACTTACAGCTCTGCAGACCTCAGTGATGTAGCCTCCCTTCACCAGGATCATTGCTATAGTTTATGATCTGCACAGTCCACTGAGTACAAGCAAGGCTCAGTAGGCAGAAACACCCATCAGCCCCGCTGTGAAGTCCAGACTTTTCTTGACTGTTGGATAATACTACCCAGGAGTGTTCCTTGTCTGGAATGTTGATCCAATGCTGTTCAATGCCATCCAAGTTTAATAGCTTCGGTTTGGTTATGCAAATTAAAAACAGAAATGGCCAGGCACAGTGGCTCATGCCTATAATCCCAGCACTTTGGGAGGACAAGGCGGATGGATCATGGAGTAAAGAGATCAAGACCATCCTGGTCAACACAGCAAAACCCTGTCTCTACTAAAAATACAAAAATAAACCGGGCGTGGTGGAGGGTGCCTGTAGTCCCAGCTACTCTGGAGGCTGAGGCAAGAGAGTTGCTTGAACCCAGGAGGTGGAGGTTGCAATGAGCTGAGATTGCACCACTGCACTCCAGCCTGGCAAAAGAGTGAGATTCTGACTCATAAAAAGAAGCCCCTGTCCTCAGGCAGCTCGGGCTGGGGCAGGGAGGAACACTTAACTGGCTGGATGTTGCAGTGGTGCTGAGACAGATGTCAGGGGAGAGAGAGATGGGGAGGAGTAGGAGGGACAGGAAGATGTGGATGGTTCATTTGTGCTAGGACTCAGCTCCCTTTTGTGGCTGAGGGCCTTTGTGGTATGAAGGGAACTTAGAGAGAACTGAAGCTGGCCTAAAGAAGTCCTGAGAACATCATCACAGGGCTGGTGTCAGCCACAAATGCCATCTCCACAGCTCCTGACCATGTCAGCCCCTGTCCCACTGCGTCACCACCCACGTCTCATGCTGTGTGTACTGCCTTTCTGGAGATAAGGGAGAAGACAGCCTGGTTTGGGTCTCAGAGATCTCGTTACATCCATTTGCAGGTTTTATGTGTCCTGAGCCCCTTGGGCCAGGCCCACAGCAGGTTTCGGAACGATCTGGACATCACAGCCTTCAGGAGATTGAGTGACAGAGGGACCAACTCCTGCCTGCCAGTTAGGAGAGAGTGAGGAGAACCATCCTAAGGCAAAATATGAAACTCAGCACTGCTCTCACCTTCCTGGGAGACAGGAAATGCAAGGTGAAGAGGCCAAGACTCACAGGCCAGACAGGAAAGGGAGCAGGGCCAGTCAGCTGGCCTGAGTGCTGTGGGCAGTCAGAGCAGCTCCCTGTGTTCCCACCCAAGGTGCCCAGTGGTCAGCTCAGCCTGCAGGAGGCCAGGGAGATGACATCGTGAGACCTCGGCCCCAGTGGAAGGATGAGTGGGGCTCGAGCCGGCAGACGCGGAGAGGATGGCTGGTCCACCGGAGGCTGGGGTGCTGGGTTGTATGCAGCCTGGAAGGTCTGAACAAAGGGAATATTTCTTCTGATCCAGAAATGACCTGACCATCAACATCTTCTTCAGCATTCTCAATGACTTACATAACAGGCATACCTTAGAGATAGTGAGTCTGGTTCCAGACCACTGCAATAAAATGAATCTTGCAATAAAATGAGGCACACACATTTTTTGATTTCTCAATGCACATTAAAGTTATATTTATACTCTATGTAGTCTATTAAGTATGTAATAGCATAATGTCTAAAAAAGCAGTGTATATACCTTAATTAAAAAATACCTTGTTAAAAATACTTAAGAATCACCTGCATCTTCAGTGGCCTGTAATCTTTTTCCTGGTGGAGTGTGTTGCCTCATGTTGATGGCTGCCGACTGAGCAGAGTGGTGGTTGCTGAAGGTTGGGGTGGCTGTGGCAATTCCGTAAAATAAAACAGCAAAGAAGTTTTCTGCATTAATTGACTCACGAACGATTTCTCTGTAGCATGCACTGCTGTCTGATAGCATTTTACCCACAGTAAAACTTATTTCAAAATTGGATGAAATCTTCTCAAACCCTGCACTGCTTTATCCACTGAGTTTATGGAATATTCTAGATCCTGTGTGGACATTTCAACAGTGTTCATAGCATCTTCACCAGGAGTAGATTCCGTCTTGGGAAACCACTTCCTCTGCTCCTCCCAAAGAGGCAACTCCTCATCCATTCAAGTTATATCATGAGATTGCAGCAATTCAGTCCCACTTCTAATTCCAGTTCTCTTGCTATTTCCACATCTGCAGTTCCTTCCTCCACCAAAGACTTGAATAACTCAAAGTCATCCATGAGAGTTGGAATCAACTTCTTCCAAACTTAATGTTGATATTTTCACCTCCTCTTATGAGTCGTGAATATTCTTGGCTGAGCACGGTGGCTCAAGCCTGTAGTCCCAGCACTTCAGGAGGCCGAGGTGGGCACATCACGAGGTTAGGAGATCGAGATCATCCTGGCTAATGGTGAAAACCTGTCGCTACTAAAAATACAAAAAATTGGCAGGGTGGGGTGGTGGGCACCTGTAGTCCCAGCCACTCAGGAGGCTGAGGTGGGAGGCGGAGGTTGTGGTGAACCGAGATCACTCCACTGCACTCCAGCCTGGGTGACAGAATGAGACTCCATCTCAAAAAAAAAAAAAAAAGTCGTTTATGAGGGTTGGAATCAACTTCTTCCAAAGTTAATGTTGACATTTCCACCTCCTCTTATGAAACATGCATATTCTTAATGGCATCTGGAATGCTAAATTCTTTCCAGAAGGTTTCAGTTGACTTTGCCCAACTCCATCTGAGGAATCTATGGCAGCTATAGTCTTACAAGATATATGGTGAAATAATAAGACTTGAAAGTCAAAACTAATCCTTAATCCATGGACTGCAAAATGGATATTGTGTATGCAAGCATGAAAACGTTTATCTTCTTATACATCTCCATCAGTGCTCTTGAGTGACCAGGTGCATTGTCAAGGAGCAGTAATATTTGGAAAAGAATCTCTTTATCTGAGCATTAGGTCTCAACAGTGGGCTTACAATATTCAGTAACGTGTGCTGTAAACAGATGTGCTGTCATCCAGGCTTTGTTGTTCCATTTATAGAGCACAGATTAAATTAGTATAATTCCTTTTTTTTTTTTTTGAGATGGAGTCTCACTCTGTCACCAGGCTGGAGTGTAGTGGCGTGATCTTGGCTCACTACAACATCCTGCTCCTAGGTTCTAGCGATTCTTCTGCCTCAGCCTCCCAAGTACCTGGGACTACAGGTGCCCGCCACCACACCCAGCTAATTTTTGTATTTTTAGTAGAGATGGTGTTCCAACATGTTGGCCAGGCTGGTCTCTATCTCTTGACCTCATGATCCACCCACCTGGGCCTCCCAAAGTGCTGGGATTACAGGCCTGAGCCACCGCACCCGGCCGATTGATTTAGCATCATTCTTAAGGGCCCTCAGTTTTTTTGAATGATATATTAGGATAGACTTCAACTTAAAGTCACCAGCTACATTAGCCCCCTAAGAAGACAGCCTGTCCTTTGAAGCTTTTAAATCAGACGTTGACTTCTTTTCTCTAGCTACGAAAGTCCTAGATGCCATCTTCTTTCAATAGAAGACTGTCTTGTCTACACTGAAAATCTGTTGTTTAGTGTAGCCACCTTCATCAATGATCTGAGTGAGATCTTCTGGAGAACTTGCTGCAGCTTCTCCAGCAGCACTTGCTGCTTCACCTCGCACTTTCCTGCTATGGAGACGGCTCCTTTCCTTCAACCTTAT
This sequence comes from Homo sapiens, assembly GCF_000001405.40. Taxonomy (NCBI): domain Eukaryota; kingdom Metazoa; phylum Chordata; class Mammalia; order Primates; family Hominidae; genus Homo; species Homo sapiens. The sequence goes on along the minus strand of NC_000024.10, from coordinate 11,050,478 downwards.
GAATAAACCTCTGCTGGTTTCCAGCCTTTCTCCTGCAGCTTCCTCACCTCTCTCAGCCTTCAGAGAATTGAAGAGAGTCAGGGCCTTGCTCTGGATGAGGCTTTGGATTAAATGAATGTTGTGACCATCTCGATCATCAAAGTTTGGCGGTTAAAACTTTCTCCCTATCAGCACTAAAGCCTGTTTCACTTATCATTTGCATGTTAACTGGAGTGGCCCTTCTAATTTCCTTCAGGAACATTTTGTTTGCATTCACGTGATGGTTTACTCTTTGGTGCAGGAGGCCTCACTTTTGGCCTGACTCAACTTTCTTGTTAAGCTTCCTTGTTAAGCTTAATCACTCCTAGATTTTGATTTCAAATGAGAGATGTGTGACTCTTCCTTTCACTTGGACATGTAGGGGACACTGTAGGGTTATGACTTCTCCTAATTTCAATATTATTGTGTTTTAGGGCATAGGGAGGCCCAAGGAGAGGGAGAGAGATGGGAGAACAGCTGGTCAGTGGAAGAGTCAGAACACACAGAACTTTTATTGTTTCCTATATATATATATATATATTTTTTTTTTTTTTTTTGAGACGGAGTCTCGCTCTGTCGCCCAGGCCGGACTGCGGACTGCAGTGGCGCAATCTCGGCTCACTGCAAGCTCCGCTTCCCGGGTTCACGCCATTCTCCTGCCTCAGCCTCCCGAGTAGCTGGGACTACAGGCGCCCGCCACCGCACCCGGCTAATTTTTTGTATTTTCAGTAGAGACCGGGTTTCACCTTGTTAGCCAGGATGGTCTCAATCTCCTGACCTCATGATCCACCTGCCTCGGACTCCCAAAGTGCTGGGATTACAGCCGTGAGCCACCGCGCCCGGCCTGTTTCCTGTCTTATATGGGTGTGGTTCATGCCACGCCAGAACAATAGTAACATCAAAGATCACTGACCATGGATCATCCTAACAGATATAATAATTATGAAAAATTTGACATAGTGCCATAATTACCCAAATGTAACAGAGATATGAAGTGAGCATGTGCTATTGGAGAAATCATACTGATAGATTTTCTCGTTGCAGGGTTGCCACAAGCCTCCAATTTGCAAAAACAAATTCTCTGTGAAGTTCAACAAAGCAAAGTGAAATAGAACAGGTTATGCCTCTAATTTATGTTTTGCCTGCACTAAGATTGGCAGTGGGTGTGTATAGAGGGGAACATCATCTATCATTTGAACAGCAAAGACTCGGGAGATCGGGAGATTTGACTTGGGTTTCAATCAAACTTCTACTGCTTTCTAGAAATGTGACCTTCGGGTAGTTACTTGGAGTCTCTGAGGCTCAGCTTCTTTATCTAGAGAAAGAGAATATTATTATTATTATTAAACAGTAATAATATTATACAAACAGTAATCATAATATCCACTTAGGGTTGTGGTGAAGGTGATATGGTTAGCATAATTTCTGACTTATTAGGATTCAATACATAGTAATCATCACTGTGTCATGGTTATCATTATCACTGTCATCATCATCATCTTCATCATCACCACTACTGTTATCATTGCAGTGACCACTGTCATCATCACCATCATCATCCTCATTATGATCACCATCATTATCATCATCATCGCCATCATCGCCACCACCATCCCCATCACCAACATCATCACCATTATCACTATCATCATACCATCACTGTCACCATTATCATCACCATCATCACCACCATCATCACCATCACCACCATCACCATCATCACTATCATAATACCATCATCACCATCACCACCATTATCATAATCACCATCATCATCACCATTATCACCATCACCATCATCACCACCATCATCATAATCACCACTATCACCACCAACACCATCACCATCACCATCACCATTATCACTACCATCATGACATCATTATCACCATTATCATCACCATCATCATCACCATCACCATCATCATCACCATCATAATGCCATCATTATCACCGTTATTGTCACCATCACCTTCATCACCACCATCCTCATAATCACCATCACCGTTATCACCATCACCACCATCACCATCATCATCACCACTACTATCATCCCCATCACCAACATCATCACCATTATCACTACCATCATACCATCATTATCACCATTATCATCATCATCATCACCATCACCATCACCATTATCACTACCATCGAGGCGGGGTGGTCATCCATAATGATGACCATCACCTCAATCATCTCTATCACAATGCCGTCATCATCGCCGTGATTGTCGTCATCACCATCATCACCACCATCATGATGATCACCACCATCACCATTATCATCATGGTCATCAGCACTAGCATCCCCATCACCAACATCATCAACATTATCACTGTCATCATACCATCATTATCACCATCATCATCACCACCATCATCATCATCATCACCATCACCAACACCATCATCACTATCATAATACCATCATCACCATCATCACCATCACCATCATGATCACTATCATCACCATTACCAACATCTCCATCATCACCATTATCACCACCATCACTGCCACCACTACCACCACCATCATCACCATTACAACCAACTTCATCATCACCATCACCACCATCATCATCATCCCCTCCTTGTAGACACTGAACTCTTTAAGGGACAAGAGCACATCTTGGTCATCTTCATGTCCTCTCACCCACTCCTGTCCTGGTGAGACCATGTGCACAGAAGATAGAAGCTCAAGGAGAAGAGAGGTGTTTCCTCCAGTAATCCTTTAGAGGAGTTGGCCAGAGTTGGGACTTCCTACACACTGTTGTCTTTGCCATCCTTTCTGTACTATCTGTGAGTCATCTAACAAATCACTGACTCACTCAGTATATCTCTAACAAATTGTAAAGGAATAGCCACCTCACAGGGCTGTGGGGAGACCAGAATCAGATACTGTTCTCCTCAAGGAGAACTTGACATGGCCAAGGCTCACACTGGTAATAGTGGAACCAGGAAGGGTCACTTAAGGCAGAAACTGTCTTGGGCCATCCACCACTAGACTCATCACTGTTCTACCTTTGCCTCCCTCCCTCTCCTTATGCTCGGCCCTCAACTTGGAATCCTACCCCAGACTCACATATCCCTCTGTGTTCCTGGGCAGCAGCCTATGATGCGCGCTCCTTACCAAGCAGCGTCACTTACTCCTTCCTCAGGGTCCCCAAGGGAGCTCGTGTTAGCATGGATTTTTACCTTTTCCATATTGTGTGACAGTTGAGTACGTGTCTTTCCCCACTACAAATGGTGACCTCAGGCTGGTTTGCTTCTTATTTATTGTCCTTGTGGCTCCCACATCATTCAGCTAGTGTCAGTCACCTGTACTGTGTCAGGCCTGCTCTTGGACCTGGGGTTTGCCTGATTAGACAGTGAGTCAATGATGGGTAAGTGAAGAATTGAAGTAGGATTCATCCAAAGGGTCTTCTGACGTCGTGGGCTTGCCCGGAGCTGGTGTAAACATGCGGGCGGCTCCCATCACATATGGAGGGAGGGGAGCTCCCTAGGAGCTGGGAATGCTCGACCTGCTGAGTTCCGCTCTCAGAGATGATGCTGCTGCTGTTTTTTTGCTGTCACAATTAGTGGCAGGTGATTCACACGTTTATGAGTTCCCATGCCTGCCGTAACCAACCACAGACTGGTGACTTAAATCTCAGACATGTATTGTCTCACATTCTGGAGGCTGGAAGTCCAAGGTCAAGGGGTAGGCAAGGTTGGTTCCTTCTGAGGCTTGAGGGAGAATCTGTCCCAGATTCTCTAACTCTACCCCAGCTGCTGGGGGCTTACCAGCAATCTTAGCATTGCTGGGTTTGCAGGTGGGACACACCAGTCTCTCCCTGCCCATTCACATGGTCATCTCCCTGTGTGCGTGATGCTGTGTCCAGATTTTCTCACTCTTTTTTTTTAAATTATACTTTAAGTTCTAGGGTACATGTGCACCATGTGCAGGTTTGTTACATATGGATACATGCACCTTGTTGGTTTGCTGCACCCGTTAATTCATCATTTACATTAGGTATTTCTCCTAATTCTATCCCTCCCCCAACCCACCTCACCAAGACAGGCCCCCATGTGTGATGTTCCCCCGCCCTGTGTCCAAGTGTTCTCATTGTTCAATTCCCACCTATGAGTGAGAACATGCGGTGTTTGTTTTTCTGTCCTTGTGATAGTTTGCTCAGAATGATGGTTTCCAGCTTCATCCATGTCACTTGAAAGGACATGAACTCATCCTTTTTTATGGCTACTTAGTATTCCATGGTGTATATGTGCTACATTTTCTTAATCCAGTCTATCATTGATGGACATTTGGGTTGGTTCCAAGTCTTTGCTATTGTGAATAGTGCCGCAATAAACATACATGTGCATGTGTCTTTATAGTGGTATGATTTATAATCCTTTGGGTATATACCCAGTAATGGGATCACTGGGTCAAATGGTATTTCTAGTTCTAGATCCTTGAGGAATTGCCACACTGTATTCCACAACAGTTGAACTAGTGTACACTCCTAGTAAGAGCATAAGAGTGTTCCTATTTCTCCACATCCTCTCCAGCACCTGTTGTTTCCTGACTTTTTAATGATCACCATTCTAACTGGTGTGAGATGGTATCTCATTGTGGTTTTGATTTGCATTTCTCTGATGACCAGTGATGATGAGCATTTTTTCATGTGTCTGTTGGCTGCATAATTGTCTTCTTTTGAAAAGTGTCTGTTCATGTCCTTTGCCCACTTTTTGATGGGATTGTTTGATTTTTCTTATAAATTTGTTTAAGTTCTTTGTAGAAGAAACTGGATGCCTTCCTTACACCTTATACAAAAATTAATTCAAGATGGATTAAAGACTTAAATGCTAGACCTAAAACCATAAAAACAATAGAAGAAAACCTAGGCAGTACCATTCAGGACATAGGCATGGGCAAGGACTTCATGACTAAAACACCAAAACAATGGCAACAAAAGCTAAAATAGACAAGTAGGATGTAACTAAACTAAAGAGTTTCTGCACAGCAAAAGAAACTACCATCAGAGTGAACAGGCAATCTACAGAATGGGAGAAAATTTTTGCAATCTATCCATCTGACAAAGGGCTAATATCCAGATTTACTCCCTTTTTAAGGACACAGTTATTGCAATAGGGTCCACCCTGCTCCTGTATGACATCATCTTAACTTGATTACCTCTACAAAGATTCTATTCCCAAATAAATCACATTCATAGGGTATGGGCATTAGGACTTCAACATTTATTTAGAGGGGCACAGTTCAGCCCATAACAAATAATCTTATTTATATCCCGTTTGATCCTGACAGCAGCCCTGAAATTAAGTAGTGGCTCTGATTTTCATGGGGGGAATTAGAAGACGGCTGGGTGGGTGAGTTTGCCTAGGAATCAAGGCTGGTGTGCCCCACTGGGTTGCAAACCCAGGCTTTCCGACTTTTGGGCTCTTGCTCCTTCTAGATGATTCTCAAGGTGGTGCTCTTAGCATTTTCTGGAGCAGATGGTTGTTGCTTTGTGGGGTTGGCCCCCGTGCTGCACAGACACAGCATCCCCACCCTGTCCATAAATGACGGTGGACACCCATCTTTGCAATGACCTACAGTGGCACAGAATCCCCTGAGAGGTGATTTGGAGCCCTGTGCTCCTCCAAGGAATTGCCCCTTGGCTGAAGCTTCTCTGCAGGTGCCAGGGAGGGAGCCATTGGCTCTGTGGGTGTTGGAGCTTGAATTGGAGGGGCCCAGAAGGATTCCCGAGGCTGAAGGGTGAGTAGTGAGCGGCCCCATCTGGTCACACCTGATACAGCTTGTTTCTCGTGCCAGGAGTTTCCAGAGAGTCCTTGTTCAGCCAAGGATCGGGGAGGGTGCGGGTCTGGAAATCTTTCTGGAATAAACAACTGCCTCCACCCAGCCTCACAGCCCTGTGAGGAGCTTTGAGAGCCACACGTGAGCTCAGGCTTTGACATTGGAAGGGAGAAAGAGGAGCTTTTGTACACAGGGTCAGGTTTCCTGACAGGGAGGACTCTGGTCACCCACTGAACCTGGCCTCCTGTTGGCAGTCTCAGGATCATTTTCCCAGCGATGAAGAACTTACCCTTGGGCTGTCCTGGGAAGATAATGGGGCCTTTTGCTTTCCTGGGCACAAACCCACAGAAACCTCAGATAGAGAACTGGTTTGAGTCTTATATTCATTCAAACCTCCTTTTGTTCTGAACACTTTGACAGTGACAAAGTGAATTATTGAGCCCCTGCTGACAACTATTCAGTAGAATATAATTTTAATTCGACAAAAATTATAAGTCATGGCTAGAAGTGGATTTGCCTGGCCTTTGCCTTTCCTGGCTCACTGGTGAGTCTCACAGAGGGGATCTGGGAACATGACCAAGTTGTTGTTATTTCAGTCCTCAGAGGTGCTATTTTGTGTTTGAAGTGTTGTGATTGGTTTGCAGGCCCTGTTGACACTATTTAACTTTGTAAAAATGAACTCTTGTGGCAACTGATTTGATTTTCCATCAAATCGTTTTTCCATACTTGCTTTCCTGTGTCCTTTGGGAGAGGTGATGACTGCGTTTTTAAAGATTTGTGTTCATAGTCAGCGTGGGTAGTATGAAAACTTTCTCGTCAGCATGGTTATAAGACAAGGTTTCCACCGAATCTGAAATGCTAAAGAACGATCCATGTCAAAATTAAGTCACATTGAAATATATGTGGGCTGTGGTTCTGAATGTGTGTTCTCCAGGACGGCAGCAGCAGTAGCACCTTGGGATTTGTCTGAGATGTAGTTTCTCAGGTCCCACCCAGACCTGCTGAATCAGACATTCTGTTAGGGAGACATAAGTGGGGTCTGTGACCTGTTTTTTTCAAACTGCTGGAGTTTGAGAAGTGCCATGCAAGTGAGAGAGGGCCCTGAGGTGACAGGTGGTCATTGATGACCAAAAAGACACTGTGAGGGCTTGAGTTTTGTTTTTTTTTTTTTTTTTTGAGACGGAGTCTCACCTTGTCACCAGACTGGAGTGCAGTGGTGCAATCTCGGCTCATGCAACCTGTAATTCCCTGGTTCAAGCGATTCTCCTGCCTCAGCATCCAGAGTAGCTGGGATTACAGACACGCGCCACCATGCCCAGCAAATTTTTGTATTTTTAGCAGAGATGGGGTTTTGCCATGTTGGCTAGGATGGTCTCGATCTCCTGACGTCGTGATCTGCTTGCCTTGGCCTCCCAAAGTGCTGGGATAACAGGCATGAGCTGCCGCACTGAGACAGTGCTGGAGATTTGAGTCCATGGTGAGATCAAGGCCAAAGAGACCAATCCCTCGGTCTTTCCTTTTTCCCTTTTATATTTACCGAATGTCTGTGTCCCAGCAACCAGTAGGCTTTATTTTTCATCGTGAAAAGCCGTGGGTTCACTGCTCAGAGGAAGTTTCAGGAAGGGGTGGAAGCAGCTTTGCCTCTCTGGCCACGTGCCCCATGTGGGTGACTCAGGTAGCATCCTCTCTCACTCGTCAGCTGTCTTTGTCCTTCCTGGCAGAAATGCATTCGATTTAACCTGGACGCCATGGTGTGGCTTGCAAAGCAGCGTATCCTGTGTACGTTAACCCAGAGTTTGAAAGATGTCCTGATCTATGGCCTGTTCCAGCCAGCCAGCAACGGGCGCGATGGCAAGTTCCTGGATGAGGAGCGGCTCCTGCATGAGTACACGCAGCTTGTGGGTGAGGGCCTTCATTCCCTGGAGGTATATTTCTGCCCACGGTGCATGGACTGTAGTTGTGTCACAGCCTGGATGCCGTGGTGGGTGGGGGAGACATGGTGGTGGGGCGAGAACAATTCCATTTGCATTGGGAAATTATCCCCACATTTAAAAATCAATCTGGGGTCTTAAGGTTTGATATGGTTTGGCTCTGTGTCCCCACTGAAATCTCACCTCTAATTGTAATCCCCATATGTTGAAGGAGGGACCTGTAATCCCCATGTATTGAGGGAGGGAGATGATTAGACCATAGCGGTTTCCCATGCTGTTCTCATGATAGTAAGTGAGTTCTAACGAGATCCGATGGTTTTATTATAAGTGTCTGGAAGTTCCTTCTTTGCTGTTCTCTCTCCTGCTGCCTTATGAAGAAGGTGCTTGCTTTCCCTTCGCCTTCCACCATGACTGTAATGTTCCTGAGGCCTCCGCAGCCATATGGAACTGTGAGTCAATTAAACCTCTTTCCTTTATAAATTACCCAGTCTCAGGTATTTCTTTATAGCAGTGTGAAAATAGACTAATAAAATGTTGCTTCTGATTTTGCCATGAATCTCACTGTTTTACAACATTTATACATTTTTTTCACTACAGATTAAAGAATCCCTGGAGAGAAATCTTGCTGTGAATAATAAACCATGGGTCTGATTCAGGCTTTCATAGCCAGGACCGTGGGCCCTGGGCATGGAGAACGGGACTCCCCAAGCTTCTCTGAGGGGTTTTAAATTTTTCCCTCCCAGCGCCTAATGGGTGGTGTATTTTCCTTCTCCACCTCTTCAGACACCAGCTGGATGTCAAGAATTATTTCAATTCTGACACTAACTACAAGTTTAAGGGCTGAGTCCCACAAGACTGCCCTCCATAAACGTCAAGTACCCAGGCCACCCACATTTGTGTCCAATTTGGCTGTGAATTAGGGGTTCCCAACACCCACTTTTCGGGTTCCGCCACTTGCTGGAGCAGCTCAGAGAACCTAAGAAGGCATTTTAACTACTACCCCTGGCTTATTACAAAGTGTGCAAACACACAGCTGATGAAGAGGTGCACTAGGCGACATCAGGAGGGCCCAATGTGCAGGACCTTCCAACCTTGTGGAGTTGGGGATGCACCACCCTCCCAGCACGTGGATGTGTTTGCTGGCTCAGAAGCCCCCAGGCCCCATTGTTGAGGGATTTTTATGGAAGTTTCATTACATAGGCATTACATAGGATGAAGTCACTGACCACGGTGAATGGACTCCATCCTGCCAGTCAGCAGGGCGACTGGGAGTCCTGACCCTCGAGCCATAGTCTGATCCTTCTGGCCACCAGCCCCCATCCTGGAAGCTACCTGGGAGTTGAGAGTAATCTCATTAGTGTTCCAGAGATACTCTTATCACTGAGGACATTCCAAGAGTTTTAGGAAATCTGCCAGGAGTCAGGCACAAAGAAGAAATTTTTAAATTGCATCGTATTCCTCACAATAGTCTGTTCTTTCATTGCTATAAAGAAATATCTGGCTTGGTGAGGTGGCTCATGCCTGTAATCCCGGCCCTTTGGGAGGCTGAGGAAGGTGGATCCCCTGAGATCAGGAGATCAAGATTATCCTGGCCAACAGGGAGAAACTCTGTCTCTACTAAAAATAAAAAATTAGCTGGGTGTGGTCGTGTGTGCCTGTAATCCCAGCTACTCGGGAGGCTGAGGCAGGAGAATTTCTTGAACCCTGGAGGTGGGGGTGGCAGTCAGCCAAGATGGTGCCATTGCACTCCAGCTTGGGAGACAACAGTGAAACTCTGAAAACAAAAACAAAAAGAAAAACAAAAAAAACAACAAACCTGAGGCTGGCTAAGAGAAAAGAGATTTAATTGGCCCACCGTTCTGCAGGCTATACAGAAAGTGGAGTGGAATGCAGTGGAATGGACAGCAGTGGAATGGAGTGGAATGGAATCGGATGTAATTGAATGTGGTGGAGTGGAGTGGAGTGGAATGGAGGGGAATGGAATGGAATGGAATGGAATGGTGAAACGAAATGTGAGCTGAGATTGTGCCACTGTGCTCTAGGCTTGGTAACAGAGTGAGATACTCTCGAAAGAAAGAATGGAATGGAATGGAGTGGAATGGAATGGAATGGAACACAATGAAATGAAGTTGGACTGGAGTGGAGTGGAGTGGAGTGGAGTGAAGTGGATTGGAGTGGAATGGAGAGGAATGGAATGGGATGGAATGGAATGGATTTAAGTGGAGTGGATTGGGGTGGAGTAGAGTGCAGTGGAATGGAGCCGAATGTAATGGGATGCAGTGGAATGGAGTGGAGTGGAGAGGAGTGGAATGGAGTGTAACGGAATCAGATGTAATGGAATGTAGTTGAGCTTAGTGGAGTGGAGGGGAACGGAGTGGAATGGAATGGAATCGACTGAAACGGAATGGAACAGAATGGAATGGAATGGAATGCAAAGGAACGCAGTTGAATAGAATGTAATGAAATGGAAAGTTGACATGTAATGTGAGCTGAGATTGTGCCACTGCACTCCAACCTGGATGACACAGTGACACCCTGTTGAAAGAAAGGAATGGAATGCAATGGAATGCAATGTAATGGAATAGAATGGAATGGAAAGGAGTGGATAGGAGTGGAGTTGAGTGGAGTGGAATGGAGTCGAATGGAATGGGATTGAGTGAAATGGGATTGAGTAGAGTGGAGTGGAGTGGAGTGAAAAAGAGTGGAATGGAATGGGATGGAATGGAATGCAATGGAATGGTGTAAATAAATGTGAGCTGAGATTGAGCTACTGCACTACAGACTTCGTGACAGAGAGAGATTCGGTGGAAAGAAAGAAATGGAATGAAAGGGATTGGAATAGAATGAAATGGAGTTCAGTGGAGTGGAGTGGAATGGAGTGGAGGGGAATGGAGTGGAGTGGAGTGAAGTGGAATGCAGTGGAGTGGAGTGGAGTGGAGTGAACTGGAGTGGAGTGGAATGGAAGGCAGTGGAATGTACTGGAGTGGGGTGAAGTGGAGGGCAGTGGAATGGTGTGGAATGGAATGGAATGGAGTGGAGAGGAGTGGATTGGTGTGGAGTGGAGTGGAGTAGAATGGAATAGATTGGAATGAAATGGATTGGAGTGGAGTGGAGCGGACTTGAGTGGAGTGCAGTGGAATGGAGTGGAATGGAATGGCGTGTAGTGTAGTGGAGTGGAATGGAATGGAATGGAATGGAAAGGAATGGAAAGGAATGAAATAGAATGTTGAAAAGGAATGTGTGCTGAGTTTGTACCACTAAGCTACAGCCCGTGTGACAGAGGGAGATCCTGTCGAAAGAAATGAGTGGAATAGAAGGGATTGGAATGTAATGGAAAGAAATGGACTGGAGTAGAGTGGAGTGGAATTGAGTGGTGTGGAGTGGAGTGCAGTGGAATGGAATGGAATGGAATGCAATGGAGTGGAATGGAATGGTGAAAAGAAATGTGAGCTGAGATTGAGTCACTGCACACCATTCTGGGTAAAAGAGTGAGATCCTGTCAAAAGAAAGGAATGGAATGGAATGAAGTGGAATGGAATGGAATGGAGTGGAGTTGAGTGGAGTGGATTGGAATGGAATGGGATGGAATGGAAAGGAGTGGAGTGGACTGGAATGGAGTGGAGTGGTATCAATTGGAGAGGACAAGAGTGGAGTATAGTGGAGTGAAATAGAAAGGAATGGAATGGAATGGAATGGTGAAATGAAATGTGAGCTGAGATTATGCCACTGCGCTTCAAGCTGGGTGACAGAGTGAGATACTCTAAAAAAAGGAATGGAAGGGAATGCTGTGGAATGGAAGGGAATGCTGTGGAATGGAATGGAATGGCATGGACTCGAGAGGAGTGGAGTGGAGTGGAGTGGATTGGAATGGAGAGGAATGAAATGGGATGGAATGGAATGGAATGGAATGAAGTGGAGTGGAGTGGGGTAGGGTGGAGTGCAGTGGATTGGAGCGTAATGGAATGGGATGGAGTGGAATGGAGTGGAGTGGAATGCGGTGGAGTAGACAGGAGTGGAATGCAGTGGAATGGAGACAGATGTAATTAAATCTAGTGGAGTGGAGTGCAGTGGAACGGAGTGGAATGGAATGGAATGGAATGGAATGGAATGGAATGGAATGGAAAGGAAAGCAATCGAATGCAATGGAATAGAATGCAATGTAATGGAAAGTTGACATGTAATATGAGCTGGAATTGTGCCACTGCACAGCAGCCTGGGTGACACAGAGATATACTGTCGAAAGAAAGGAATGGAATGCAATGGAGTGAAATGGAATGCAATGGAGTAGAGTGGAGTGTTGTGGAATGGAGTGGAGTGGAGTGGAGTTGAATGGAGTAGAATGGAATGTGATGGAGTGGAATGGAATGGAGTGAAGTGCAGTGGAGTGGAGTGAAATAGACTGGAATGGAATGGGATGGAATGGAAAGCAATAGAATAGTGAAAAGAAATGTGATCTCAGATTGTGCCTTTGCACTCCAGACTTTGTGACAGAGGGAGATCCTGTGGAAAGAAAGGAATGGAATGGAATGGAGTGGATTGGAGTGGAGTGGAGTGTAATGGAGAGGAGTGGAGTGGAGTAGAGTGGAATGGAGTGTAGTGGAGTGCAATTGAGTGGAGTGGAGTGGAAGGGAGTGGAGTGGAGTGGAATGGAGTGGCATGGAGTAGGGTGGAATTTAGTGGAGTGGAGTGGAATGGGGAATTTAGTGGAGTGGAGTGGAATGGAGGGGAGTGGAATGGAGTAGATTGTAGTGGAGTGGAGTGGAATGGAGTGGAGTGGAGTGGAGTGGAATGGTGTGGACTGGAATGGAGTGTAGTAGAAACGAGTGGAGTGGAATGGAGAGGTGTGGAATGAGGTGGAGTGTAATGGAGAAGACTGGAATTGGATGGAATTGAATGGAATGAAGTTGAATGTAGTTGGGTGGAGTGGAGTGCAGTGGAATGTAGCGGAATGGAATGGGATAGAGCCGAATGGATTGGCGTGGAGTGCAGTGGAGTGGATAGGTGTGGAATGGAGTGGAATGGAATCGGATGTAATGTAATGTAGTGGAGTAGTGTGGAACGGAGTGGAATGGAATGGAATTTAATGGAATGGAATAAAAATTGAATGGCATGGAACGCAATGGAATGTAATTGAATAGAATGCAATAAAAAGGAAAGTTGACATGTAATGTGAGCTGAGATTGTGCCACTGCTCTCCAGACTGGGTGACACACTGATATCCTGTCAAAAGAAACGAATGGAATGCAGTGGAGTGAAATAAAATGGAATGGAATGGAAAGCAATAGAGTGGAATGGAGTGGAGATGATAGGAGCGGAGTGGAGTAGAGTGAAATGGAGTCGAATGGAATGTTATGCGTTGGAATGGAAGGGTGTGGAGTGGAGTGGAGTGGAGGGGAGTGGAGTGGAGTGAAATAGAATGGAATGGAATGGGATGCAGTGGAATGCAATACAATGGCAAAAATAAAAGTGAGCTGAAATAGTGCCACTGCACTCCAGCCTTTGTCACAGAGTGAGATCCTGTGGAAAGAAAGGAATGGAATGGAGTGGAATGGAATGGAATGGAGTGGGGTGGAGTGGAGTGGATTGGAGTGGAATGGAGAGAAGTGGAGTGGAATGGAGTGGAGTGGAGTGAAGTGGAGTGGAGTGGAGAGGAGTGGATTTGAGTGGAGTGGAATGGAGTGGAGTGGAGGTGAATGGAGTG